>NC_000017.11:19278989-19582020 GCF_000001405.40 Homo sapiens | reverse complement strand
CCCTTTCAAAAATGAAAGCTGTGACTGTGGGTCACAGAGTCGAGCCCACAGCCCCAGGGATGACAGCAGAGGCGGGGAGAGGAGAAGAGTGGACACCCAGATGCTGAGGTCCTCTTGAACAAGGTGGCTGACTGGCCATTAGATGTCATCCACATGGAGGAGTGACCGATGGCCCAGAAGTGAGCCCAGGGAGCACCCTGGGGGCAGTGATGGTTGGCAAGCAGTAATCAGAAAAGGTGGACCCCAATCCTGGGCCCTGCGGGGACACAGCAGGAAATTTCCCTGCCAGTCTTAGATCATCATCCTGTTAAGGTAGAGGCCAAGCTCGTCTTTCCCGGTGGGGACACTGGAGCAGCCATGTATACGAATCTCCTCTGCCTTCATGCCTCTTCCTAGAGTCCCAGTCTAAACTTTCAAAGGAAGCAAAAATGTCCCTTAATCCAATACGTTCACCAAATAACAGACCTGTAAATAAAATGTGTGACTGATTCCACCTGGCAAGGTCTTGGCTCCCATGTAGCTGAATGAGAAGCTCCGGTGGCCCTCCGTGTTCTTAGGGTGTGTACCCATCTCACGGGGACACAGGGGACATTTTCTGAGACTAGGGAAAGCCGCCTACCATCACCAGCAGAAGTGTTTTCCACTTTCTCTGAAAGCCTGGATGAAATGCAGGAAGAAACAACTTTCCACATCACTAACAAAAGCCAGGGAACAGACGTCCCAGGAGGTGTGATTTCAATCCATGGGAGAGGCTTTTCCACAAGGGTGAAAGGGTGGGAGCTGAATGTACTGTGTAATCCAATTAATGGCAAACAACCTAAATTACCTAAAAGTCTCCTGATTTAATTTCATAATAGAAAAAAGTGCAGTTATTTCAGTTTTACACTTTTCTAAGTATTGACACGAGCTCCTTCCAAATCTAATCAGGTAATGGTAAGCCACAGGTCAGTCCCAGACCTGTAAAGGAAGATGCATAAGACATGATACAATTCAAACTGATTTTTTTTTCTTTCCTTTTTTTTTTTTTTTTTTTTTTGAGACGGAGTCTCCTTCTGTTACCCAGGCGGGAGTGCAGTGGCACAATTCCGGCTCACTGCAACCTCAGGCCCCTGGGTTCAAGCGGTTCTCGTGCCTCAGCCTCCCAAGTAGCTGGGATTACAGGCCCGTGCCACCACACCCGGCTAATTTTTGTATTTTTAGTAGAGACGGCGTTTTCCCATGTTGGCCAGGCTGGTCTCAAACTCCTGACCTCAGGTGATCCGCCTACCTCGGCCTCCCAAAGTGCTGGCTGGGATTACAGGCGTTAGCCACCGCGCCCCGCCCTGTGTGTTTGTTTTTGAGACAGGGTCTTGCTCTGTTGCCAAGGCCGGGGTGCAGTGGTGCGGTCTCAGCTCACTGCAGCCTCGATCTGCTGGGCTTAAGCGATCCTCCTGCTTCAGTCTCCCGAGTAGCTGGGACCATAGGCGGTGCCACCACGCTGGGATAATTTTTGTATTTTTAGTAGAGACGGGGGTCTTGCTATGCTGCCCAGGCTGGTCTCGAACTCCTGAGCTCAAGCGATCCTCCCACCTGGGCCTCCCAAAGCGCTGGGATTACAGTCGTGAGCCACAGCGCCTGGGGACACCGCTCAAATCCTAACCCTTGGCCGCCCGTCGGCTCCTACAGGGGCGAAATCAGGCACCCACCGTGACGGCGAGCGTGACAGCGTCCGGCTCGACCTTGCCCAGATGTCCACAGAAGATGGAGCTGACGAGGCTGATTATAAAGATCATCAACTGCGCAAGAAACTGCGGAGGCGCGGAAAGCAAGGCGCGTTCACAGCCGCCCTCCCTCCTGGAAGCCCGCGCCCACCCCTGCGCGGCGGCCGCTCCGGAGGCGTCGGGCTGGGCGTGAGGACGCCGCACTCACCACTGGGCCCGCGAGCGCCGCCAGCTCAGCCGCCTCCCCCCGCAGGTCCGGGGGCAGCGCACCCCGCAGGCCCCACAAGCCGTCACGCCATCCGAGGGCCCGGAGCCGCTATGGGGGCCGGTCCTTGGCGGCGGCGGGGAGCTCGGCGGGGACCGGGGCGTCGGCGGCCGCAGGGGCCTCCATGCGGAGGCTGGGAGCGGCTGGCGGCGGCGCGGGCGCGGGACCGCAGCGCGGTGTGGGGGTGAGGGGGGCGACCCGATCCCACCCAGCCCCGCCCCTCCCCGTCCCGGACCCGCTCCAGACGCCCAGGGCAATGGTCGCCGCCCGCAGAACTCTGGGGGAGGGCACCGGGAGGGCCCTTGGGGGCTTATGAAGGGGGCTCGGGGAAGGGGTCCCTGCGTGAGAGGACCCCTCGTGTGCTTTTGGATGACACGGGTTTTTATCAGGAGAGTTTGTAGGTCAGGTTGGAAGAGCAAAATGCCTAGAGGGTGGGCAGACAGGACTGAGCTGGTGATTCCATCCTCCCGCGGAGCACAGGGCTGGCGCTTTCTGGCATGCTTCTGGCCTGGGCTTGCTGCGGGTTCAGTGTTTCCGGGAGAGGAGGGGTCCTGCCTCGCAGGGACCCCAGCCTCCCTGCTCCTGGCGGCCCGGGGTGGCCTCCTGGCCGCGGCTATTTGTGGCTGGTGGTTGAAAGAACCTCCTCTTATCCCCAGGGGGTCCCTGCCCTACCTGGCAAGGGGAAGGGCAGGGAGTCCTGTGCGAGGGGAATGGAGACAGGGTTCGAGGGTTCCTGACGAGGAGCTGGGGAGGGGCCTCTGTGGTGTCTGCCCCCTGCCCCCAGGCCCAACCCCGAGGGCCACAGTGCAAGCCTTTACCTGCCTTCCTGGAGAATGGGCCTCGTGGCCCCAAGAACAAGGCACTGAGGGTAGAGATACCTTAAGGTGGCCCCAACCAAAATCAGCAGTTGGGTGTTTTTTACTCAAAGTAGGTAACTTTTCTGATTTTGTTATTTCAGGAAAAGGCCATGCCTAGAGCATTATATCCATCCTAGCACTAAGTCAAAAATGTAGAGGCAAAATCTCTATTTAATGTTTTATTTTGGAAGAAAGAATTGCATGTTCAGGGCATCCATGTAGACCAGTTGGTCCTCGGTATGTCGGAACAACACAGAGAAGGCTGGAGGTTTTATCAAAAGAAATGTCAGTATTGCTCTTTGAGAAAGTTTATTGGCACCAGGAAGGGTGTTGGGAGCTGGCAAGCTACAACTGGTGAGCAACCGGGCAGGCAAAATTATTCCTAGAGCTTCAGCAAGTTCTCTCAGCAGTTATGGACAAAGCTGGTCCCAGCTTACAGCACGCAGTTTCACCAGCTGGATGTGCAGAGAATTACATTACTAGATTAATGTTATGTGCCTGAGGTGCTTTTATCCCTGGCTTCTTGACTTTTGATTGGGTGTGATAAGAATGACTTAATTTGGTGTAATCCACTTTCACAGCACTGAGCATACTTAGTATGTACTGAGGGTTGCTGAATTAACGGTGTGTACCGCACCCCAGGAAGGCTTAATGAAGTAGGATTACTGCTTAAGCTAAGACCTTTATTAAAATTTTGTCCTCTGGCCAGTCGTGGTGGCTCATGCCTATAATCCCAACACTTTGGGAGGGCAAGGTGGAAGGATTGCTTGATCCCAGGAATTCAAGACCAGCCTGGGAAACAAAGGGTAGACCCTGGTATAAAAAATTAGCTAGGCGTGGTGGCACACGCCTGTGGTCTCAGCTACTCAGGAGGCTGAGGTGGGAGGATCACTTGAGCCCAGGAGGTTGAGGCTGCAGTACGTCACGCACACACCCCTACCAGGAATTATCAGTCTTTGTTTGGATTTCCACAGCTCGAAAGATTTCCCAACTGTTTTTCAGTGTCCACAGTGCCTAGATCTAGACCTCAAATGAAGATTAACAAATGCCAGCTGGGCATGGTGGCATACCCCTGTAGTCTCAGCTACTCTGGTGGCTGACACAGGAGGATTGCTTGAAGCCCAAGAGTTCGAGGCTGCAGTGAGCTATGATCGCACCACCGCACTCCAGCCTGCATGACAGAGCAAGACTTCCGTCTATTAAAAAAAAAATTAAAACAAAAACAAATACCATTTGCCCAGTGAATAGTAATCTAAGGCCCAAGGAAAGATATACTGTAAAATATATTTTACATAATTCAAGCAGTATGAATTCTTAAGCAGTTAGTTTATGGGTTTGTGTCTAAAAAAATAGCAGAAGTATCAAAGCCATTGGCCAATGCAGTCAGCACATTGATCCTTGCTTGGTTCAGATAGTGGTGAATTACTACTCATGTCATCTTTCAGACAGTGTCTTGGGCCACAATATAGCTTTTAACCTTAGTTGCTTTTTCTTTTTATAGAAAAATGTGTCTTTGCATTTCCAGCCCTCAAAATCCATGGGCACACCTGAATGACATTAACTCACAGTAAATTGTCACTGGTGGGCCTGTGAATTGTGTGTAAGCTCAAAAGCATCACTTGACCTGACTTTCTTTCCTACCACGTCACTGAATTCTGACATAGAATCTCACTAAAATCCCCACCAGCAAGATTAAGAAGACCCCCAGGAGCAGAAGCCCTCGCCGCAGCACCAGCTGTTTCCTGGACAATTTAGCGCCGTCCTGTGGATGTTCCGGCAAAGGTTCTTCTTGGCGCATCTGCTGATCTGACTGAGGCTCGCCTGTCTTTCCAACATCGTTCGTTAAAATTCCTTCAAGGTTTTCAGGGCACCCTGGGAGGAAAAAGGAACTTAGCAGCTTAAAAGGGATTTTTTTTTTCATTTTTATAAAGGGCTATGTATAAAAGGAATATGTGCTAATAGTGGAGAGAAAGTTAATTCAGGACACTATTGCTACAGTGAATAAATAAAAGAAATCTTATCGCAGAGTGCCCCTCCACTCACTCCTTCACGAACACCGATGATCCTACCAGCGCTGGCTTGGGTGCTCCAGGGAGCACTCTCCCAGGAGCTAGAGAAATAAGGTAGCCCTCTCCATTAAAATTCACAGGGAAGCCGGGCGCGGTGGCTCATGCCTGTAATCCCAGCACTTTGGGAGGCTGAGGCAGGCAGATCACCTGAGGTTGGGAGTTAGAGACCAGCCTGACCAATATGGAGAAACCCCGTCTCTACTAAAAATACAAAATTAGCCGGACATGGTGGCACATGCTTGTAATCCCAGCTACTCAGGAGGCTGAGGCAGTGAGGCAGGAGAATCGCTTGAACCCAGGAGGCAGAGGTTTGGGTGAGCCAAGATGGTGCCATTGCACTCTAGCCTGGGCAACAAGAGCAAAACTCCACTCCAAGGGAAAAAAAAAAAAGGATTCACAGGGGAAATTTTCAAGGAGCCAACACCCATCTAATAAGCATTTCAGAACAAAACACAAGGAGAAACAACCTAAGAAATAATTCAAGTCTGGGTGCGATGGCTCACGCCCGTAATTCCAACACTTTGGGATGCTGAGGTGGGAGAATCCCTTGAGCCCAGGAGTTCAAGACCAGCCTGGGCAACATAGTGATACCTCATCTCTACAAACAAAAACTTTGCTGGGCCTGATGGCGTATGCCTATAGTCCCAACTACTTGGGAGACTGAGGTGGGAGGATCACTTGAGCCCAGGATATCGAGGTGCAGTTAGCTATGATTGTGCTACTGCAGTCCAGCCTGAGTGACAGAGAGAGACCCAGTGTCAAAAAAAAAAAAAAAAAAGGAAGGAAGAAAGAATACAAGGCTATTCACAGAATGGGAGAAAGATGTGACCGTTCACATCAAAGGGCCTACTAAGTATTGAAGGATTGCAGAGAATTTCACCCCAAGATATGGCTCCCTGGTATAATGAGTATTTTAAATTAAAAACTCTTTGGAGATCAACAGGCCTTGAAAGAGACTTTTCCCCATCTACATAAAAGCCAGACAAACCCACCAAGAAGAACAATTGCCAAACCTTTTACAAAATAATGCCAGTCTCTCAGGTTCATTCAACTTCCAAAGGGAACCAGTCTGTCCACCCTGCCCCCAATCCATTCATTCTGCAAAATATTCAATCATTTTCCCTAGTACTCATTTACTATCCCTCAACAGAAGCACCAAATGCCCTATCTCCTCTCTCCCCTCTGAAAGTTGGTTATATGAGTGTTGGGCCTCACTGGGATGTTGGGTAATGACTGTGATTCTTCCCTTTTGCATGGTTAAATACATTTGTATGCCTTTTCTCTTATTCATCGGCCTTATTATAAGTTGATTTTTCAGTGAACCATCGGAGGGCAAGGGGATAGCTTCTCCTTCACCCCAACAGTTTCAAGCAGATAATGATTCACACCTAGACTTAGTCTCAAGACACTTCAGAACAGTAAGAGTAATAGGCCAGGCGTGGTGGTTCACACCTGTAATCCCAACACTTTGAGAGGCTAAAGCAGGAGGATTGCTTGAATCCAGAAGTTCAAGACCAACCTGGGCTGCAAAGCAAGACCTGGTCTCTACAAAAATATTAAAGAGTTAGCTGAGCATAGTGGCACGCACCTGTAATCCCAGCTACTCAGGAGGCTAAAACGGGAGGACTGTTTGAGCCTAGGAGTTTGAGACTGCAGTGAGCTATAATTGCACCACTGCACTCCAGCCTGGGTGACAGAACAAGACCCTATCTCAAAAAAAAAAAAAAAGGAATAATAATAAGAAAATGTCCTAAAAGCTTCCGAAGAGAAAAATGAAGGCATATTACATAATGGCACGAGAATAAGCTTGGCCATCCCACTTCCTAATGAGCATAAGTGGATGAATGTTAGGAATGTAGCAATATCCTCAGAGTTCTGAAAGAAAATCATTTTGGGCCGGGTGCAGTGGCTCATGCCTCTAATCCCAGCACTTTGGAAGGCTGAGACAGGCAGGTTGCTTGAGCCCAGGAGGTCAAGGCTGCAGTGAACCTTGATCGCACCACTGCACTCCAGCCTGGGTGACAGAGAAAGAGAGAAAGAGAGAAAAAGGGAGGGAGGGAGGGAGGGAGAAAAAGAAAATCATTTTGAACAGAATCATACCAGCTCACACTTAACAAAATGCTTTCCCTGGTCAGGCAGTTCTGGGTGCTTCTCAACCCCAACAGCGGTAGTATAAAAGTAAGTGCCATTGTTAGGCCGGGTGTGGTGGCTCACGCCTGTAATCCCAGTACTTTGGGAGGCCGAGCCAGGCGGATCACTTGAGGTCAGGAGTTCAAGAAAAGTCTGGCCAACATGGTGAAATCCCGTCTCTGCTAAAAATACAAATATTAGCAGGGTGTGGTGGTACACCACCGCACACACCTGTAATCCCAGCTACTCAGGAGGCTGAGGCAGGAGAATCACTTAAACCTGGGAGATAGAGGTTGCAGTGAAAACGAGCCACTGCACTCCAGCCTGGGCGACAGAGTGAGACTCAAAAACAACAACAGGGATAAGTGCTATTGTTATGCGGATTTCACAAATCAGGGAAATTGGCAAGATGGTAGAAAACATCCACCAACCCTTCCCTGAAGATCATTATAGAACCTCAATAAAACAAATTAAATATCATCTTGAAGGCATCAGAATGCAAACAATGTAATGAAGAGTCACCAGGGCAAGATCCAGGGACGAAGGAAACCCAGAGGGGCTGCCCAGCCTCTGAGGCTGCTTCACATCAGAGAGTTCATTCAGATCAGAGAGATGAGAGGATGCAGGTCAGAGAGACCTACATCCAGATCACATGACTGAGACGCTGACCAGGGCTTTGGCGACTTGGGTACCTACCAAGAATCAGGCCCTGGCAAACCTCTCTGTACTTGTGGTTAGAACCCCAAAGGGCTGCATCCAAGACTTAAGGATGAACCAGTCCAGGTGTGGTGGCTCACGCCTGTAATCCCAGCACTTTGGGGGGCCGAGGAGGGTGGATCACTTGTGGTCAGGAGTTCGAGACCAGCCTGACCAACGTGGTGAAACTCCATATCCACTAAAAATACAAAAATTAGCCAGGTATGGTGGTGGGCGCCTATAATCCCAGCTACTTGGGAAGCTGAGGCAGGAGAATCGCTTGAACCCGGGAGGCGGAGGTTGCAGTGAGCTGAGATCGCACCATTGCACTCCAGCCTGGGCAATAGGGTGAGACTGCTTTTAAAAAAAAAAAAAAAAAAAAAGCATGAACCAGAAGAAGTAAACCAAGCCTCACACTGGCTGCAGCACACCTTCAGTTTGGCTGGGTGCTCCAGAAAGCTCCATTTCCAAGATTGCCCTAGACTGCTGGTCACCCTCAGTGTCCAACAGAAGGAAAAGAAAATCCTCTCTGAAGATAAATAGACAACATTCTTTCAGGCTCAAGTTACTTCTATGAACAATTTTCAAATATAAAGTCTGGAACATAATCAAAGATAACCAGGCCAGGTGTGGTGGCTCACGCCTGTAATCCCACTGCTTTGGGAGGCCAAGGCAGGAGGATCGCTTGAGCCCAAGATGTAAAGGGTGCAGTGAGCTACACTGCACACCATCATGGGCAACAGGGCAAGACCCTCTTTCTATTTAAAAAAAAAAAAGTTTTTCTTTAATTTTAAAAAATTAATTTAAAAATAAATTAAAATCAAAGATAACCAGACACACAGCACAGGAGCCTAGACAACATGAATGAAAATTGGCAGAAACAACACAACTGACCACTGACTAAGTATCAGCCATTCTATGAAGTCAAAGTGTTTAAATTATAAAGGAGCAAGGGTTACTGAGAGTGGGTGGCTAACTGCCTAAGGGGCCAGGAATCGGGGGGATTACTCAACTGACTGAAGAAAACCATAACCACATTTGCACAATGTGAATCAGAAGCAAAGGTCCAAGCAACGACCTGTTTAAAGCCCACAAGTGTCTGCCTGATGAACAGCAGGGACCCCATTAAAACAAACAAATGTCAGTTTCTAAGCTATGGTAGAAGCACAGTATTTCCAAGTGTTAGAAATGCCTGCAAAGTGCTTGCAGAAATTAGGGGAGGAACTGGGGACCTTTCAGTCATCTATAGCGGTTTACTAATGTGTGGAATGAACTCAGTTTACCTTGAATTGTGTGTTACTTGGCTTTATCATGTGTTTCTGAAACATTATTGCCCTATTTAAATGAGAGCTCATAGCAGCAAATCTAGCTGTGTCTCACTAACAGCCCCTCCAGTCCTACCTAGACAGGCCTGTCCAAGGGCTGAGGGAGTCATATCTTACCTGGGTGAAGCGGATCCTGAGGGAGAGCAGAATTCCCACTCCGAGGCACGTTGTTTACTTTCAAATTGGCGTGTACCTGAGCCTGGAAAATGAAACTCAGTCCATCAGGCTTCACAATAGTGTTAATATGGTATTTTACTTGACCACCTAGTTTAGGAAGAGCCAAGCCATTTTCCTTAATTGGCATGTATAGCTGAAGTTCCTCTCATTCACAGGTCATCTTTCATAAAGATTGAAATGGGGCCAGGCTCAGTGCTCACACCTGTAATCCCAGCACTTTGGGGGGCTGAGGAGAGAGGATTGCTTGAGCCCAGGAATTCAAGGCCAGCCTGCGCAACACAGCAAGATCCCATCTCAATTAAAAAATTAAAAACAAAAAAATAACAACAACAACAAAAAAAACAGCCAGGCATGGTGGCGCATGTCTGTATTCCCAACTACCTGGGAGGCTGAGACAGGAGGATCACTTGAGCCCAGGAGGTTGAGACTCCAGCGAGATGTGATCCTGCCACTATAGTCCAGCCTGGGTGACAGAGTGAGAGCCTGTCTCTTAAGAAAAAGAAAACAGAAAAGGCTGAAATGGGGTCCATGAAAGGGAAGGTGGGATGGGAACAGTACAGGGTGAGGGAGACAGGGACAAGAGAGGGACCAAGATCATTTAGAACTCTCCCTTTTTACTTTATCTCTTTCTTTTTAAAACATTTTTATTTGTAGAGACAGGGTCTCGCTCCATCACTCAGGCTGGAGTGCAGTGATCACAGATGACTGCAGCCTCGAACTCTAGGGCTCAAGCGATCCTCCTGCCTCAGCCTCCTGAATAGCTGGGACTACAGGCATAAGCCACTGTACCTCGACTCATCTCATTTTTCTACCACCTATTTCTAGACCTCACACTGACCCTAGAAAGTTGAAGGGAAGGATGCACACAAGTATCTTAACAAAACATTTGGAGACCATAAAAACAACATCAGGATGACTTTGATGCATCCCACATTTCTCTCCAGTTCTAATTCTTGTCCTGAAATTGGATTTTCCTGCACAAGGGTGACAGCCTGGCATGGGAGACAAGGAAGAAAGGAGTCCCCTGTTTTTCTGGGAATAGATAAAGCCAGGATCATCTGGCCCTTCACATCTGAACTGTCTAGTTAAAACAACAAGAACAATAGTATTCATGAGATAAGAATAAAGAAAATGAGAAAAGAACTTTCCAAAAGAAAAAAGGGAGAGCCAGATCAGATCCTGTTTTTCTAGGAGAGGAACCTTTACCGGGACAGAATGAACATAGTTACCTGCTGACAGGCTTTTTTCCAATTTAGCTGAATAATAAAGCCTAGAAAACACACAGCTTGAAAGACTGTACAGATGATGATCCCTGACCACAGACCTAGAAATAGAAATATTTAATAGAGGTTAATTCCATAGAAAACCAGCTGCCCCTGGGGAGTATGTTTTGCCTATATCACTTCTGTCAGCCATACTGAATATCTGCTTTCATGGCTGAGGTGGAGCCCACAGCGGGCCAGAGACCTCTATCCTGCTCCTCCTCAGGCTTCCAGAAGGTTCCAGAAGGTTCTGGAAAGCCCAGTACTCCTTGAGGCCACCCCCAAAAGGGCCATCTCTTTTGGTTCAGGATTTCGGAACAAATATTCAGAGGATATTTTTGGCCTTACTGATTATAATGCTTGAATATTAAGAAAAATGCCAGTTATAAGGAAATTAAAATTTCCCAGGACCAACTACTTCTGCCCTGGTTTCCTCAAAAAAGGGGACTAACATTAAAAAAAAAAAAAGCAGAAATCACTAGCCATATAAACTACTAATGTTCTCTTCCTCAGAGTTCCTGCCAGACCTTGGACCTTAACTTGCTTCTGACACAGACTTTGCTAGAAGCTTCCAGAGCAGGGCTGAGCACCTACAGATGACTGGAGAACACCAAAGGCAGGCCAGGTGGGAATGGATGGCGGGAAAAGCCCTGTGAATCTCAAGGCACCACACAGGGCACAGAGGGAGACCCCAGGTGAGGAGGGTTTTTTGGTCAACAGTAAACTAATGGCAGAACCAAAAGCTCCAACAATAACCAAGAGACAAAGTCCTGACCGTAATAAAAACAGACCTCTGCCTCACAACCTGCAGCACCCTGCCCAAGAAACCCCACCCCATCTACAATAAACCCAGGAAGCCAGCCTTCCCTAAATCAGACTTGCAGGAAGCAAGATCGCTGCCTTTGGTAACAATCCAGGAAGCTAACCAGTAACTTCTGTAACGATTGGCCCCAGATGGCCAGGACTTGATTAGCAACTGACAGCTTGCCTAATTTTGGTCTGCACTTCCAACTTAGGACCAACCAGAGAAAGTAAAATACATCCCCCTAACCAATCACATGGGAGGCCCATTTCTAGTCAGCCACCTCCAGCATCCCCCAGATCAACAATCTCCACTCAGGACACACCTGCAGCCTCCCCTTTTATCCACTGTGACGCTTTCCCACTCCTTTGCCTGCCTTTGAGTTTCTGCCCAAATGCAAGTGGTGGCAGCCAACACCCTTGCTGAGAATACACAGACTTTGCTTGTCTTGCTTGGTTGGTCCTGGTTTATTTCCACAGCTGTCCAGATCTATGTAAGGGTTAAGGTGGCTAGTCTGGGTTCCTGGTTTATGGATTCGGTACAGGTTTTACAGCTCTGTTTCTTGGTACCAATCACATTTTTCAGGTATGATCAGCCTGCCCTTTTGTTTGTTTGTTTGCTTTTTAGAGTCAGGGTCTTGCTCTGTTGCCCAGGCTGGAGAGCAGTGGCATGACCACAGCTCACTACAGCCTCCAACTCCTAGAGTCAAGTGATCCTCCTGCCTTGGCTTCCAAAGCACTAGGATTATAGGTATGAGTCACTACGCCCAGCCTAGCCTGCTCTTAGAATAGTATAGTTGGTGCCACCTGCTAGTCCTATAAAAAATTAGTAAAAGCAAGCTACTGGCTTCCTCTTTCAAATCCAGTGTTCTCAGTACATAGAAACTACAAGCTCACCTGAACCACCTTAAACAGGAAATAACCAGCTAACTCCAGCTATAATTTGAAAGTTATGAATTAGATTTCCAATAATTTTAGCATACATCATTTAAAAGATTTCTATTTGACCCAACCTATGAGCCCAAAGTGGGATGATTATTAGATCTCATGGGCAAGGCCCAGGAATTTACATATTTAAAATGTCTCCCAGGGATTCTGAGGGTCATTATGATTTCCTGAGGTTGCTTCTGAGAACCTGCAGAATTCTGATGCTCTCCTAGACACCTTGTATAGGTATACTGCATACCATACCAGGAGACACAATACTCAAAACCAATTCGTACCACAATTTCTTCTAATAGGTGGGTGGGGGGGATTGACTATAGGCTTCTCATAGAGCCCTCACATCCCCAGGGCCCCCACCATTTCTTTTCAGTGATTCTCAACTTCCTCTTCTACTTTGCACAATTAGTTACGCTTTTTTTTTTTAAGGTAGAGTCTCACTCTGTCGCCCAGGCTGGAGTGCAGTGGTGCCATCTTGCTCACTGCAGCCTCCGCCTCCCGGGTTCAAGCAATTCTTGTGCCTCAGCCTCCCAAGTAGCTGGAACTACAGGCGCACACCACCACACCTGGCTAATTTTTGTATTTTTAGTAGAGACGGGGTTTCGCCAAGTTGCCCAGGTTGGTCTCAAACTCTTAACCTCAAGTGAACCACCCACCTCAGCCTCCCAAAGTGCTGGAATTACAGGCATGAGCCACTGTGCCTGGCCTAGATATATTCTGTTAAATGAATAGGTGAGCCAAGGACGGCACTTGGGATACAGATGGATTTATATTTCAAAGCAGGTTCCTCATGCCTGTAATCCCAGATACTTGGGAGGCCAAGGTGGGAGGATCACTTGAGTCAAGGAGTTTGAGACCAGCCTGGGCAACATAGCAAGACCCCATCTGTAAAAAATGAAACAGGAGAATAAAGTAGACTCCTCTTCTAAAAAAGTTGAACTCATAGAAGTAGAGAGTAGAATGATGGTTAGCAGGGACTGGTGGCAAGGAGGGGAGGGCATGGGAATGGGGAGTTGTTAAGGTACAAATTTCTGATAGACAGGAAGAATAAGTTTTGAGATCAATTGCACACCAGGGTGACTGTAGTCAATGTACTGCACATTTTGAATTAACTAAGTAAATTTCAAATGTCTCACCATAAAAAATAAGTGGTGATAAGTATGTTAATTAGCTTAATTTAATCATTCCACATTTTATACATATATCAAAACACCACACTGTACCCCATAAATGTATACAACTATAATTTGTCAATTTAAAGTTTAAAAGATATAATATAGAGAATTTAAATTATTTCCTTAATATTTTATACTGATTGCACGTTGCAATAATTTTAGACATATTGTGTTACATAAAATACATTACTTTAAAAATAAAAATAAATTAGATTTCTATAATATTTGCATTAGCTAGGCAATTGGCAAATCCAAACTATGAATCGCACCAGAAACTCAGCTAAATAATTTTCTGCACTATCATGCAAGCCCAATGAACTTTGCATTGGCAATACTATTCTTTGAACAACTCCTGTATTTTTAATTAAAATATTATTGAACTTGAGAAAAATGTGCCACATAAAGGAACATACTGAACTGGAAGTTCCCTGTAGGTATCAGTTGACTTCTCACCACCTCTGAGCCTGCCAAGTACAGATGAATCAAAACAAGCCACGCTTTAAGTCAGTCACTACTCACCCCAAAGATAAATGTCCAGGTTTTCATATCATCATTTATTAACTGCCAATATGTTCCAAATTATTATTTTAGAAATCAAAGCTGGGCAGTCATTTATTTCCGTACTTTTTAAAAAGATTAGCTCTGGTAATTTCAGATGCTGTGGATTAAGTTTTTTCTTCCAAATGTGGGAAGGTGCTCAAGTCCGCCCCCTTCCTTCTGTGCTGTTCACACCGACCACGTGTATGGCCTTGTGGGGAGCTCTGTGGGGGCACAGAGCTAAGGCTGCACAAGGAGGGAGGTGGAGGCTGCGGAGTGCGATGAGGGTGATGAGAAGGGCACTGGCCACCCATTGCCCTCCAAGGATCCAGCCATGCTGCTTGGTGAGCACATGGGGCACTGCTCTAGGATGCAGAGTGCCACCGTGAGTGCAGACCCTGCAGCACCCCACGCACGCAGGACCGCCTACGATAGCCCTGGCCCTGCAGAGTCACCCTCAGGGGCTCACATGCTGTCTCTAAAGAACAGCACGAAACACACTAAGGGGATGCTTCCAAATGCTTCTTCAGCGGTCCCTGCTGTTGCCTCCTTTAGAGAAGTGAGGGCTGGATGACTCAGGATAGGAGGTTGGTAGAAAGGGCATCTGTGCTCAAGTGTGTCAGCGTGGAAGATCGCCCGCAGGGGTGTGAGGGGCAGGACCACATAGCCTTGGGGCCCTGGCTAGAGCTGGAGGTCACCTCCTGAACGCCCCCTACACTCTCTGACAAGACACAGAATGGACGTGGGCGAGCTCCCGAGTTTCAGAGGTGAGCCTCAGTCAAAGACCCGTGTGCTCCGACGGTCATTTCCTGGGCTGGTGAGCAGCTAAGCCCTGCCTGCAGAGGTTAGAGCTTACCCATCACTCCAAGTGTGGTTGCAAACATCAGCGCGATCCCGATGGGGAGGCCAACCACATAGTACCCAATGGTATTCACAATGGCTCCAACCTTCTGATTTCCACTCCCCCTCAGAACACCACCACTCGTGCACTGCAGGCAGAGAGCATTCCATCACTGTGAACACATCCGGCGCTCTTGAAACACTCCCATCTCCCGAGCACTTCATATTCTGTGCTAAAATCCATGGTAAGGTGACAGTATCCTTCTAAACGAAATGTGGTAACAATATTCAATCTTCCTACCTATGCTGGCCCCTCCTCTCAGCTGAAATTTACCACCATCAGAAGATCATAACAGTGCTTAGGGGACTACTACATAATACTTACAGCAAGAGCTTCAAAGAGGTGGGAAACAGCATAAATTGGAACCACCTGAGCCACCAGATTAATGATGTCTCTGTTAGGAAAATAAAGCACGTGGTGATTAGGAGACAAAGTGGAGAAAGAAGTATATAGCTTTCTGGCTAGGCGCAGTGGCTCATGCCTGTAATCTCAGCACTTTGGGAGGCTGAGGCGGGAGGATCACCTGAGGTCAGGAGTTTGAGACCAGCCTGGCCAACATGGTGAAACCCCGTATCTACTAAAAATATAAAATTAGCCAGGCCTGGTGGTGGGTACCTGTAATCCCAGCTACTCAGGAGGCTGAGGCAGGAGAATCGCTTGAACCCGGGAGGCAGAGGTTGCAGTGAGCTGAGATCTCATCACTGCACTTCAGCCTGAATGACAGAGCGAGACTGTCTTAAAAAAAAAAGTATATAGCTTTCTGCATATTACAGACATGCACATGCATTGAGGCCAGCAGCCTAGTCAGGGACAGTTCACCTGTTGCTGGGTCCATAGAGGAAACTAACTGCATGTTGTATCTCACAGCTTTTAGAAAAAATAGGCAGCACCACACCCTTGTCTTCAAGAGATATGTTTCAAGTCCCCCAGTGGATGCCTGAAATCGCAGAGAGGACTGAACCCTAAATACATTGTGTTTTCCTTATACACAAATACATTATGATAATGTTAATTCATAATTTGGGCACAGTAAGAGAGTAACAACAGTAGTAATAAAGTAGGCCATAACCACATGCCAGCATCACTACTTTTGTGCTTTGGGATTACTAGCACTGTGATACCAAAACAGTCAATCTGAAATAACTAGCGGGTGGAAAGCACACACAGCGTGGAGATGTTGGACAAAGGGATGATTTCATGTCCCAGGCGGGACGTGAGATTTCCTCCTAATACTCATAACCGCACGCAATTGAAAACTTATGAATTGTTTATTTCTGGAATTTTCCACTTAAGATTTTCAGACCACCAGGCACGGTGGCTCACGCCTGTAATTCCAGCACTTTGGGAGGCCGAGGCGGGCGGATCACAAGGTCAGGAGATCGAGACCATCCTGGCTAACATGGTGAAACCCCGTCTCTACTAAAAATACAAAAAAATTAGCCGGGCGTGGTGGCGGGCGCCTGTAGTCCCAGCTGCTGGGGAGGCTGAGACAGGAGAATGGCGTGAACCTGGGAGGCAGAGCTCGCAGTGAGCTGAGATCATGCCACTGCACTCCAGCCTGGGCGACAGAGCGAGAGTCCATCTCAAAAAAAAAAAAAAAAAAAAAGATTTTCAGACCAAAATTGACTGCAGGTGACTAAACCTTGGAAAGCAAAACCAAGGATAAAGAGGGGTTACCGCATAGTCCATCTGGTCAGTGTAGACAAATCAAGGGATTTGGTGACATCCCTCCCCCGTTCCCCATCAGCTGAAAAGAAGTTTGGCTGGGCACAGTGGCACGCACCTATCATCCCGGCAAGTTTGGATGCTATGATCATCCTTCTTTTAAGATGATGCCACAGGCCAAGTCTGACTGTGTCTCCTAGTAAGCCTCAGTGAAGCACTACAGAGTAAAAATTAAGTTCCCTCTATGGAACGAAGGTTGGTAAAGGCCATAGATATATTCTGCAGAATTATCCTTGGTTCCTAGAAATGGAACCCCTAAAGCTAGAGACTTGGATTCTAACCTCTGCATGTGAAGGGAGATGAGAAAAATGCTGCCCTGACCTGGGGAAGCAGGAAATTCACAACACCCTTGGAGTGAGTTTTGTCACTCTAAACTAGAACCTAGAAGACTGTCTCCCAATAAATACTTGTTTAATTACTAAATAAGAAATCCAGCACTGGCCCAGGAGTGGTGGCTCATGCCTGTAATCCCTGCACTTTGGGAGGCCAAGGCAGGCAGATCACCTGAGGTGGTGAGTTCGAGACCAGCCTGACCAACATGGAGAACTCCCATCTCTTCTAAAAATACAAAATTAGCAGGTGTGGTGGTGCATGCCTGTAATCCCAGCTACTCGGGAGGCTGAGGCAGGAGAATCACTTGAAACCAGGAGGCGGAGATTGCGATGAGCCGAGATCGTGCCATTGCACTCCAGCCTGGGCAACAAGAGCGAAACTCCATCTCAAAAAAAAGAAAAGAAAAGAAATCCAGCACTGAACAAGATGATCACTTCCTCCTCACCAAAAAGGACAGAAATATAATTATTTTATTCAAATTTTATTTTTTGAATAGGTAACATGCACATGGTCAAAAAATGGAACAATATGAACAAGATAGTAAGCAAAGTCTTACTGCAATGCCCTTCCAGTTTGCCCCAGTACCAGCCCTGCCTCCTCCAGGTAACAATTCCTAGCACGTTCCATGTTTGTCTAGTGTCTATGAAAATATAAGCAAATACAAATGTATATTCTTAATTTTCCTTTCTATATTCTATCATTTCACATGCAGCATTCTCTATATGATGTTCTGCACCTTGCTTTTTCCACCTGAGATATTATATTCACTTTTTTTTTTAGACAGGGTCTCACTGTCACCCAGGCTGGAGTGGAGTGATGCAATCATGGCTCACTGCAGCCTCAACCTCTCAGGCTCAAGTGATCCTCCCACCTCAGCTTCTTGAGTAGCTAGGACTACAGGTGCACACCACCATGCCCAGCTAAATTTTATTTTTTGTAGAGATGGGGTTTCGCCATGTTTCCCAGGCTGGTCTTGAACTCCTGGGCTCAAGTGATCCTTTTGCCTCAGTCTCCCAAAGTGTTGGGATTACAGGCATGAGCCACCGCGCCTGGCCTATATTCACTTTTATATTTCACCCAAATATATTCTTTTCAATGTGCTGCTAAATTCTGTCTAATAACATTTTTTTTTTGTCTGAGACGGAGTCTCGCTCTGTCGCCCAGGCTGGGGTGCAGTGGCTCAATCTCGGCTCACTGCAAGCTCCGCCTCCCGGGTTCACGCCATTCTCCTGCCTCAGCCTCCCGAGTAGCTGGGACTACAGGTGCGTGCCACCACGCCCGGCTAATTTTTTGTATTTTTTAGTAGAGACAGGGTTTCACCATGTTAGCCAGGATGGTCTCGATCTCCTGACCTCGTGATCTACCCACCTCGGCCTCCCAAAGTGCTGGGATTACAGGCGTGAGCCACCGCGCCCAGCCTATGTCTAATAACATTTTATTTTGGATTTTTAAATTCATATTAATACATAAGAGTGATCTGTGATTTTCTTTCTTTTTTATGTGCAAACTTTGTCAGATTTTGGCACCAATGTTATATTTGCTTCATAAACAGAATGCAAAGTTTTCCTTTTCCTGTGCTCTGAAATTTTCTGTTTTATCTATGTTTGCAATTCCCCATGTTTTGAAGATTTTATAAAATTATCCTTTGGAACCTTCTGGGATTGTGCTTTTTGACATTTTAAAATAGCTTTCTCGGCCGGGCGTGGTGGCTTATGGCTGTAATCCCAGCACTTTGGGAGGCCGAGGCGGGCGGATCACAAGGTCAGGAGATCGAGACCATCCTGGCTAACACGGTGAAACCCCATCTCTACCAAAAATACAAAAAATTAGCCGAGCGTGGTGGCGGGCGCCTGTAGTCCCAGCTACTTGGGAGGCTGAGGCAGGAGAATGGCGTGAACCCGGGAGGCAGAGCTTGCAGTGAGCTGAGATCATGCCACTGCACTCCAGCCTGGGCGACAGAGGGAGGCTCCGTCAAAAAAAAAAAAAAAAAAAAAAAAGCTTTCTCTTATTTCTTACAGGAAATCAGTTATTTAGACCTTCTATCTTTTCTAGGGTACATACTGATCAATTATTTCCCTAGAAAATTATCTGTTTATTCCACATTTTTAGATTTCCTTGGAAAAAGTTGTGCAAAGTAGTCTCTTAGGATTTTTAAAAATGATTGTGTTTAGTAGTAACGTCCCCCTTTATTTGTTAGAGGTGCCGTTTCCCGCCCCCTGTGATTAAGTTAGGTAGAGGTTCATCTCTTTCACCGATTCTACCAGGTTGGGTTGATCCTGGCCACCTTACAAGTAATTTGATTGTTGAGTTTCTGATGTTTCCTCATCTCGTCAGTTCTATAGTTTGTGGGCCTCTTGTTTTTCATTCTTTTCCTGGGCTGTATGGTTTCCCAAGTGGACAGATTCAGAGTCCAGCTTCTACTATATTCCTTCTGAAACCATCCATTTATCCTGGTCCTCATAAAGTTCATCCTGATTCCCTTTGTGAGAAAAGCCAACTATTTGCCATCGCCTTCCCCACTCATTCTGAGTGAGGGAGTTATAAACTTTTTTTTTTTTTTTGAGACAGAGTCTCACTCTGTTGCCCAGGCTGGAGTGCAGTGGCACAATCTCAGCTCACTGCACCCTCCGTCTCCCAGGTTCAAGTGATTCTCCTGCCTCAGCCTCCTGAGTAGCTGGGATTGCAGGCGTGCCTCACCACGCCTAGCTAATTTTTTTTGTATTTTTAGTAGAGACAGGGTTTCCCCATGTCGACCAGCTGGTCTTGAACTCCTAAACTCAGGCAATCCATCTGCCTCAGCCTCCCAAAGTGTTGGGATTACAGGAGTGAGCCACCGTGCCTGGCCTAAACATCTTATTTCCCCATAACAAAATAGCTGAAGCTGAAAAATGAAAACCTACGATCTGAAGTCAAAAGTCAAATGTGTGAAGAATAAACCATGAAATTAGTTCTGTCCGCTCCACCAGCTTTCTGAATCCAGGAAGGCAAAGTCCATTTGCATTTTGTAACTGCTGACAAAGGTGTCCAAATAAGAAGTACCCCCACGAAGTTTCTATATAGTCCGAATGTACACACTAGCATCGCTGATGAAGGAAACAAATTCTGCAGAGCAGAGGGGACTTATCCAAGAATTCTTCAGTAATCAATCTGAGAATATGACTTTTGAGACAGCTCACTGGTGAGATTTTAACTTCAATTCAGTTTGACAAACATATTATGCAACTACTACAAACCGGGCACTTTGGCCGATACTAAGAAACCAAGAGGATTCTTATCACTGGAAACAAAATAATTAACTGAAAATGTAATTAATCGTACTAAAAAGGGGTTTCCACCTTTAAAATACATGACCAGCAGAAGCATAAAATCATTACCAATGCCCATTAAGTTGGCACTGTAGATTATACATCAGTTCCTACATCTAATATGTTCTTCCCAAGTAACATCAGTGGAGCCTCTGATCTTTTTTTTTTTTTTTTTTTTGAGACAGAGTCTTGCCCTGTCGCCCAGGCTGGAGTGCAGTGGCGGGATCTCAGCTCACTGCAAGCTCCACCTCCCGGGTTCACGCCATTCTCCTACCTCAGCCTCCCAAGTAGCTGGGACTACAGGCGCCCGCCACCACGCCCAGCTAATTTTTTCTATTTTTAGTAGAGACGGGGTTTCACCGTGTTAGCCAGGATGGTCTTGATCTCCTGACCTTGTGATCCACCCGCCTCAACCTCCCAAAGTGCTGGGATTACAGGTGTGAGCCACCGCGCCCGGCCGAGCCTCTGATCTTGCAAATGAGTCAGACATCCCTGCTGCAACAACCATAGGTGGCCTCTATGATAGCATCTATCCAATTTAACCATTTCTTTTTTAAATTTTGAGATGGAGTCTCATTCTTGTCACCCAGGCTGGAGTGCAGTGGCACGATCTTGGCTCACTGGCACCTCTGCCTCCTGGGTTCAAGTGATTCTCCCACCTCAGCCTCCTGAGTAGCTGGGATTACAGGCGTGTGCCACCATGACCAGCTAATTTTTGTATTTTTAGTGGAGATGGGGGTTTCACCATGTTGGCCAGGCTGGTCTCGAACTCCTGACCTCAGGTGATCTGCCAGCCTTGACATACCAAAGTGCTAGGATTACCAGCGTGAGCCACTGTGCCCGGCCTCTTTTTAAAAAAAATTCCTAGTTTTAAAAAACTTTTTCTGCTGGCATCTTGCTCTTGGAGGAACCATTTCTTTCTTTCTTTTTTTTTTTTTTTTTAAGACGGAGTCTTGCTCTGTTGCCCAGGCTGGAGTGCAGTGGCACAATCTCGGCTCACTGCAACCTCTGCCTCCTGGGCTCAAGAGATTCTCCAGCTTCAGCCTCCCAAGTAGCTGGGATTACAGGTGTCTGCCACCACACCCAGCTAATTTTTGTATTTTTAGTAGAGATAGGGTTTCACCATGTTGGTCAGGCTGGCCTTGAACTCCTGACCTCAGGTGATCCCAAAGTGCTGGGATTACAGGTGTGAGTGAGATGTTTTCTTTTTACTGATATGATTTCAAACAGCAATGTTTCTGAACAGCCTGATTTTAGAGAACAAATTTTCTCAATGAACCATTTCTTTATCACAGATTTCACATTTCAAGAAAATCCTAGCACTCACCGGTCGGTAGTAAAAATGTACCCCACGTGATCCTTACAGCTTAACAGCAGGACACTGAAGGCTACAGCAAAGAGCACTGAAGGTAAAAACGGCAGAAGAAACAACACAGTGAACAAGAAGATCCACAGGAAGTGGAGGAGCCTGGGTTTTGCATGCAGAGACTGCACCAAGAGCCTCGGGTAAAGGGGTCTCAGCACCTGTAATCAGCAGGGAAACGGTAGAGGACTTCCGTGCCTGCTCCATGTCTCCAGCACCCAGAGCGTTTCCTACCCGGACACTGGCAGCCACACTGAAGCCTGCAGGGACCTAAAATAAAAAGGAAACCTGCAACAATGAGTGAGAAACTGCAGAGCGAGAACACGTGCAGAGAAGCAGCCTCATGCCTCACACCTGGTGGGAAAACTTGGTCCTAAAAGTTTTGAAAAGACTGATTTGCAACATCCCCTTTGTCTAGCCGGGAACTCCCACGCTACTGTGGAAACTGAGCCCCAGGTTACGATGCTTAGCACAAACTGGGCTTTGCTGCAGAGCTTCCAACCTCTGCGACATGAGGGTGCTGCACAACCATGTTCCTCCTCTGGGTGTCGGGGGATGGACTGACTCACCAGGAGCCCAGGTTTTGTCTGTTTTTTTTTTGTTTTTGTTTTTAAATAGGGACAGAGGTCAGGCGTGGTGGCTCATGCCTGTAATCCCAGCACTTTGGGAGGCCGAGGCAGGTGGATCACTTGCGGTCAGGAGTTTGAGACCAGCCTGGCCAACATGGTGAAACCCCATCTCTATTAAAAAATACAAAACTTAGCTGGGCGTGGTGGTGCACGCCTGTAATCCCAGCTACTCAGCAGGCTGAGGCAGGAGAATCGCTTGAACCTGGGAGGCGGAGGTTGCAGTGAGCTGCGATAGTGCCACTACATTCCAGCCTGTGCGACAGAGTGAAACTCCTTCTCAAAATAAATAAATAAAATAAAATAAATAGGGACAGGGTCTCACTCTGTCCCTCAGGCTGGAGTGCAGTGGCACAATCATAGTTCACTACAGCCTCGACCTCCTGGGCTCAAACGATCCTGCAACCTCAGCCTCTCAAGTAGCTGGGATCACAGGCATGCGCCTCCACACATGGCATAGTGTCTGTTCTGAAAGACCATCAAGGGATCCAGCTTAGAAGACAGGAGTGGCACTAAAGGAACTGCAGGGAAACAACCCTGTATTGTGGTTAGGGATCAGGATTCTGAAGCCAGATTGCTTGGGCTCAAATCCCAGCACAGCCACTTTATCAGCTGCATCACCCTGAGCAAGTTACTTACCCTCTCAAAACCTCCAGAGTTTTATCTGTAAAAGGAGTTGAATCATAGAACCTATCTCATTGGGCTATTGTGGGAACTTAATGAGTCCATACATGCTAACTGCTTAGAAGAAGCATGTAGGAATTGCTCAATAAAGATTTACCATTACTATTATTTATAAAGTTACCACTTGAAAAATTAATATTAATAAGGAAAAAGGAGTCATCACTTGTTGAAACATGAACATTGCCTTAGGATCAGGATGACTATGGACCAGCTTAAAGAAAATCTGATACACAGATTGAGAAATAAAAAAGTAATAGAAGACTGAGTCTCTGCCTATAAATTCACAAGTAGGGACAAACAGAGATCGCCTGACAAATTATTTATTCATTACAAAGGGAAAGGTAGTAACTTGACAGGAGAAACCTGGCAGGTACCACCTTAACCAAGCAATCAAAGTTAATACTGGCAGGGTGCAATGGCTGTGCCTGTAATCCCAGCACTTTGGAAGGCCAAGGTGGAATGATTGCTTGAGCCCAGGAGTTTGAGACCAGCCTGGGCAACATAACAAGACCAAATTTTTTTTAAAAATTAGCTGGGAGTGGTGGTGCATGCCTGTAGTCCCAGCTACTCAGGAGGCTGAGGTGGGAGGATTGCTTGAGTCCAGGAGGTCAAGACTGTAGTAAGCCAAGATCAGGCCGCTGTCACCAGAACAAGACACTGTCTTAAAAAAAAAAAAATAAGTAAAATAAAAACAACCACCAACAAGTAAAAAGTAGTATCACCAACACTGAGACAGATCAACATCATGTGCCTCCTGATATGGTGCACTAAGAAGGACACAGCATCACTTCTCTAGCTTTCCTGCCCAAAACGGACAATCTAAATTTATTTATAAGGAAACATCAGCTGCACCACACTGAGTGAACTTCTACAGATAACGGCCTATGTTCTTCAAAAATGCCAAGGTCAAGAAAGACGAAGGAACAATGAAGATCTGTTCCAGATTAAAGGACACTAAAGAGATATGACGCTAGGGGAAAATTAGTGATAAGGGACATTACCAGAACAATTGGTATTGTTTTGAATTGACTGTATTGATATAGTATTTGAACATGGACTGTGTAGATAGACCAGACAGAATAAATGTGACAAAACTGGTGAACCTGAGGAAAGGGCATACATCTTTCTTTTGATTAAGAAATACAAGTGTAAATTCTTACAAGCCTATTGGAAAGCATATGGAAATATATTCAAAAGACATAAAATCGTACCTTTGTTTCACTTTTATGAATCTTTTTTTTTTTTTTTTTGGAGGGAAAGTATAACTTTTATTTACAAATAATTATTGAGCATGCTAGATGCTACTAGAACAAAAGTTACAGTTTCCACTGTTAAGGAGAAACAATGGAGAAACCAGCGTGAGCTCCAGTGCTTTCTTCGATTTGGTGCACTGAAGAATCCCATTTTGGGAGCAGAAAAACCCTGTGTGTTGTGTTAGCTGTTCCTTATCACCAACGAGAGTAAGTATTGTTACCCTCACTACATCTACGGGTAACTGAGGCACAAACGTTGTGAGGCAGTTAATGTTCCCAGGGTCACCCATGGGCCAGCTGGGAGGGCAGCATCGCCCCGTGAACATACCCTGGGCCCACTTTTATGAATCTTAAAGAAATAATCAGACAAGTATATGAAGATATTTTTTCCTAGGATGTTCCTTGAAGAGTTGTTAATATTGAAACATTGGAAATAAACTATTCAACCATAGGAAATTGATTTTAAAAGTATATCACATATAGTGGAATCCTATATACCATTAAGCATTTTGACTTAGATATAGTTAATGAATTTACTCAAATATAAAATGTAAATAAAATATTAAAAGTGAAGTAAAAAATCCATGTTAAAAAACTCTGCCAAGGATAGAAAAACAAAAACAAAAAACATAGGTCTGCAAGAGAATAATTCTTAAACAAAACAGAAAATGTGTACTCTATGTTTTAAAACATAACCAATATCAGAGGGAAAAAATCTAAGTGTTAATACTGCAAAAAATGCCAAGCATATCTGCTGGCTTGAGTTTCTCCCCACATTATAAACTCCCTTTGTTTTTAATTTTACATTTCTAAAATGGTACTTGCTTCCTTCAGAATCTCCAGTTGATGTTTTCAGGAAAATAAAGCCAAAGAAAAGCCTCCTAATGACTAGTGTTCTCTATGATCAAAATTTCCTCCCTTTTAAGGCTGAATAATACTCCACTGTATGCATAGAACCCATTTCATTTACCCGCAGACACATAGGTTGCTTCCACCTTTTGTCTACTGTCAATAATGCTCCTGTGAACACAGTTAACAAGTCAGGCGCGGTGGCTCACGCCTGTAATCCCAACACTTTGAGAGGCCAAGGCGGGTAGATCGCCTGAGGTCAGGAGTTCAAGACCAGCTGACCAACATGGTGAAACCCTGTCTCTACTGAAAATACAAAATTAGCTGGGCGTGGTGGCAGGCACCTGTAATCTCAGCTACTTGGGAGGCTGAGGCAGAAGAAATGCTTGAACCCGGGAGGCGGAGGTTGCAGTGAGCCGAGATCACACCATTGCACTCCAGCCAGGGCAACAAGAGTGGGACTCCATCTCAAAAAAAAAAAAAAAATCCCTTTAAGACCCTGCTTTCAGTTGTTTTGGGGATCTACCTTGCAGTAGCCACACTGTGTTTTCAGAGGCTTCAGAACCAGGCAGGAGCGGGCATAGTGACACAGGCAGCTTGATGTTTATGGTCATACACCCAGCCTCATCCCTCTGCTATGCCACCCACCTGGCCCCTCAAGGCATTTGTGTTGTGACAACTGAAAAAGATTCTAAAAGTATGGAAACAAAATCAAATCTTTCAAGGGAAGATTCAGCTGGGAGCTGCGTTAGGAGATGGAGAACCAGCAGATCATGTGCAGTTTCTCTCCAGCCCCCCTTCAGTTCCTAGGGAAGATCCAGCTGTAGCAGAGGTACCCTCCCAGGCTCAAGGATGGGATTTGACTTTTGTCCATCATTTCACAAATGATTCATGTACGAATGCCTGTGCTCATCCATAGACTCTTTCAGATACCAAGCAAGGAAAACGCCTGGCACCTCCCCATGATCGGCTCCCCTGCTTACCATGTACACAATGATGGCCAGTTCATACACGATGGACTGAGCGCCCAGCTCCACCATGCCGAGGATGCCTGGTGAAGAAAGACAGCTGTCGCCTTGCACCCAGACAGGGCCCCCAGGTTCCCACCAGTCCCCGTCATCCATCCTCATACAGACCACTGAGGAAGCTCCCGACCTCATAGGCCCACCACTCCATGCACAGCATGAGCATGCTGGGGATGGCCAGGCGGAGGAAGGAGGCCCAGTCCTGCAGGCACTCGAGGGACCAGCCTGTGGGGGGGACACACACATTTCCAGGAGATCTGGCCATCGGGCTGGAACTCAACCTGAGACAAAACCCACATCCCAGTTGGAAGACAAAAGGGCAGTCATTACCTCCCCATGTAGCTTGATGCAGTTTTTTCCCGAGGATGTAGAGAAAGAGGAGTAGAGCCAGGGTGTACTGGGAAATCAAGTTTGCCAGTGCAGAGCCTCTGGAAAGAACAGTCCCAATGAGAGGGAGGTACCTTCCTGCGCCTCTCCCTGCCCAACTCAGTGAGGAGGGGAGACTCATCCCTTCCCGTGCTGTCCTCAGCAGGCCAAGGTCTTCTTCCCAGAGCAGCCTCACCCTCCATCCCTGACAGTGCTTTCCACAGTGTGCAAGAAAGAGACCACGCATGGACACAAGAACCAGCTGAAGAGCCCACTCTTCTCCCTCCTGGAAAAACCACATGCAAGTCATCCCTTCTCCCTGTCCCAAGAGTATGTTGGACTCACATCACCCCAAGATGCAGTTGATGGAGAAACAGATAGTTGGCGAGGGCATTGACAAGGTTGGCTGCAACTCCAGTTACGATCTGGGGCAGTACAATTCCCTGGAAAAAGGACACCGCATGCCATCCTTGAGATCCACAGAATAGGACTGCCTTTCTGCTACCCAAGCACACACAGGCTCCAGCTGGCCTGCTCAGCGGGTATCACAGGCATAGCTGGGGGGCTTAACTGGGGAGGTCATGTCCTTGTTGCTCCTGCCTTTCCACTCTCCCACCCCTTTCTCTTCCTTCTCTCTTTGAGGTATAAAGTGCGGAGTTCTGGCCACAGAGAGACACAGGCAAGATATGTTCAGCAGCAGGGAAGGAAGAAGATAAATGGCTTATTTCCAACAGTGCAAGGACTGGCAGGGGCTAAATGGGTCAACAAGGCACCTTTGACACTGGACGATAGGAGAAAATGAGAATACTTTCTTCACCAAAATAGAAATTCAGAAAATTGACCTAAGATCTTGAAGAAACTAGAGTTTCTTTCTAGAATACGGAAGGGATTCCAACATATCTAACTTTCAAAAGTACAGGACTGGTGAAACATCCAGACTGTTTGGTGTCTCAAAGTAAGACAGGGGTGAAAGTAAAATTACATCAGACCAAGGAAGTAAAACTCTGTCCTGCCCCGCATCCGGATAGAATAGCAGACGCAGATAAAGTCAGTGCAAACGTAAAAGGAAACCTCCTTTCTCCCAAGGTCACGCTGTCCCCATAAAGTGTCATTACTCCCCTAGTGGAATGACGAGTGCTTTCTGACTCACTGAGAAACTTTGTTGTCTAAAATCAGACTGTTCAGAAACATTGCTGTTTGAAATCATTTCAGTAAAAAGAAAACACCCCACTCTCGCGTGGAGGCTCAAAATCATGTTAACACAAAAAAGTAGCCTCAATTTCCAACCCAGGCACAGAGCTTCGTGGGAGCTCCTGGATGTGGCATTTTACATCTGTCCACCCTCAACATCCTTCTTAGCCTTGAGTTTCCAAAGGAGGAGCACCAGGTCCACGTCACAGCCCAGGCCTGATGTTGGGCCCCTCACTCACAGATCTGCTCAGCGCCTATCAAACCATGATTTCGCTTAAATGTCACCTGAACCCCACCCTTCTTCAAACCTTTATAATAACTCTTCTTCCTTTGCTGAGGCATCCCACAGCCTCTCTAGTCTCTCTCACTGCGACAGGCCAATAAACACAACTGCAAACCCACTGGCCTACAGTCCTGTCTCTGGTGGTCTCAGGCTGATGGGGCCAGGACAATGGTCTTGGCCGACAACTTGTGTAGGCCACATATTTATGGGGAGGCCCTGGTTAGTTTGTAGCAAGGGAATTAGTGATCAGATTTACTTTTCAGGCAGATGGCAGTGGATGGAGACAGGTTAAGGTCCTCTGAAATGACACAGAGGACAAATGGCAAGAAATGAATTCAGGGCTGGGCACGGTGGGTCACGCCTGTAATCCCAGCACTTTGGGAGGCCAAGGCGAGTGGATCACCTGAGGTCAGGAGTTTGAGACTAGCCTGGCCAACATGGTAAAACCCCATCTCTACTAAAAATACAAAAACTAGCTGGGCGTGGTGGCACGCGCCTGTAGTCCCAGCTACTTGGGAGGCTGAGGCAGGAGAATCGCTTGAACCTCGGAGGTGGAGGTTGCAGTGAGCCGAGGTCACGTCACTGCACTCTAGCCTGGGCAACAGAGACTCCATCTCAAAAAAAAAAAAAAAAAAGGAAGAAAGAAATGAATTCAGGTGGTGGCATGGAGGATTGGGAGGAGGCAGAAGCTATAGGACCAGGTGACTGACCAGATGTGGGAGGGAAGGAAAGATGGAGTCGAGGATGTGACAGGGACAAAAAGGACAGGTTACTGGGAGCAAAAATGGCTGAGGCCACGGAATTCCACCCATTGCGATGGAATGGAAGGCAGAGGAGCAGGCTCGTGGGAGAACGAGAAGAGGTGGCCAAGCCTGCAACACGCATGCGTCTCCATGTCCAGTGGAGTCACCTTCTCCTCCAAAGCCCTCTTGACTCTCCTACTTGAAAGTCTCCCTTCCCCCGATACCATCTGGCTCTGTTCCCACCCTCCACCCTCTCCGAGGGCATTCACTTTCTCCAAACTCCCAGCTGCTTCTCTTTGGTTCTACACTCAGCTAATGGTTGCCCTGTCTTCCTAGGGAAGGGCCCCAGGACAGAAACTCCTTCCACCCTGGGGGCCCAACAACCCCTGCCATTTCTACAGAACCCACCCATCATCGTATCTCCCACTGCTCCCACAACGCAAACTCTTCATCACAGACCTTCACCATTATTTGTTTGGATCATGTCCATAACTCTCCCCTCTTCCTCTCCCAATTAGTTAATTTCCCAAAACTAAATGCCCCAGCAGAGAACACAAGGCCCTGCGCACGCTGACCCTGGGCCAGCCCGCCTCTCGATGCCATCATCTCACTGCATCCCCTCCCACCGCAGTGGCGTAAAGAGACTCTGCGGGCCCCAGCCCCTAGGAACAGGCTCTGCTGCACCTCTGTCTAGGATCCCCTGCCTTCCTTCCCAACCTTGGAAACTCCACGTGTCCTCTGTAACCAAGTTCAAAGCTCCCAACCCCTCTCAGCTCGTGGCTCCTACTTCCATGCCTTTCCCTGTGCCCCAGAGAACAGGAAAGAAGACTTTCACACTCATTGTCCTCAGCAGGTCACATCAGACCCTGAGGTTAGGGCCACCACAGTGGTTGGGGGACTGAGTCCAGGAGAAGGCCTTGCAGGGTGCTAAGGCATCCATGCTGCCTTAGCAAGGGTCTAGATCAAAAGGAGACAGCCCAAAGCCGGATGAAATGTGTGGGTTTCCTTCTCTCTAGTCTACACCTATTTCTGATATGTCATTCTATGCTAATCGGGATTCTAAATATTCTTGTTTTGTTGATAGAGTAATATCCTGGCCGGATGCAGTGGCTCACACCTGTAAGTCCAGCACTTTTGGAGACTGAGGCAGGAGGATTGCTTGAGGCCAGAAGTTTGAAACCAGCCTGGGCAACATAGCAAGACCCCATATCTACTTTAAAAATTTTGTTCTAATAGAGGAATATCTTAACTTTAAGAACACTGCATAGGTGGGAAACTTCCTTTCTTCCTCCTCCCCTCCTGGCCCTTCCTGTTGCACATGCCTGGAGAGCCCGCCAGTGTGGCCGGGATCCATTGCCGAGTACCCCTGTTTACCTGGACTTATCTGGAAGAATGTAGAGAGTCCCACATATGCTGATTTCATAAATCCACCCCTACCAAGCCATGGCCTTTGGCCCTGACTGTTTAATCACAGAGGAGGAGTTCTGGCTGACGTTAGGTGTCATTAGAGTTTGAGCTCTTACATCCTCAATGAGAAAAGTGGGGCCATTCCGACAGAACAGAGCAGACAGTTTGGTTCCCTCTCTGCCAGACGAGCTGCCCCCAGCCTGCGCTCTGTCTTAGGAGCAAATGGGCATGCACCCTTCTTTCCAGGACGCTGGTTAAAATGCAGAGCCAAGGAACACTGCGGCTCTGAGCCCACCCTGCCAATGACAATATTTCCAAGTGGGAATTGGATAAGAGTTTTCCAGAGCCAAATATAATATGTTCTTTCCTTGACATCACTTAACAAACCTCTTGACATCCAAGTTCTGTGTGCACAACACTGAAAAAATATCTTTCAGTGGCTCCCAGCAGTGAGCTCCCTCCACCCTGGGGTCCCTGGTCCTGGAGTATCTTCAGGGCCCCCATTCCCAGAAAGGTACAAACTCCCATTAGCCTCCCAAAGGAAGAGAACAGTCAGTATTACCTGGTTGAGCAAATATTTAACTTGTAACATATAAAGAAAGGTTGCCTACAAGAGAACAAGAGAGATGAATGTTAATGTTTCAGCCTTGCCACACAGAAGTGAGGTCACACGGCAGGGAGCTAGGAGCCACAGCCAAGGTTCGGCTGCCCTCTGCTCCCGCACGGAGCCACAGAGGCTGTCGTCTCAGGACAGGGCTGGGGCCAGGGTGTTATGGCCCAGGGGCTTCCCACATCTTCTTTATGGGTGCATATGCCCCAAGCATATTCCCTCCATCTGGCAAAAGGAGGTGGAGTTTCCCTGGGTGAATGGCCAGGACTCTTCTGGGGACACTGGCATGGAAAGGAGGCCCCAGGCACACTCCAGATGGGCACCTCCATATAGACTGGTCCTATGTGGTGGAATCATGAAAGACTGTCACATTTACAAGGTTTCAGGATAAGTAAGCGAGCACACTGCCAATTCTGAGGGCAAATGGTGTCCCTAGATCCGTATGTTGAAGCCCTAGTCCCCAGTGTGACTATTTGGAGGTCCTCAAGGGGAGATTAAATTAAAATGAGGTCATTAGGGTGGGGCCCTAATCCAATAGGACTCGTGTCCTCATAAGAAGACAGGGGATACCGGGGGATGAATGCACAGGGGACAACCTGCAGAGGGTGGCCGTCCACAGGCCAAGGAGAGAGGCCGCAGAGGACACCAACCCTGCTGCACCTTGACCTTGGACTTCCAGCTTCCTGAACTGTAAGAAAATAAACTTCTGTTGTTTAAGCTCCCTAGTGTGTGGTATTATATTACGGAAGCCCCTGCAGACTAATTCAGCTACAGCCTCCAGCTGAATAACAAACACTTAGCTCTCAGGCCAGGTGTGGTGGCTCACACATGCAACCCAACACTTCGGGAGGCCAAAGCAGATGGATTGCTTGAACGCAGGAGTTTGAGACCAGCCTGGGAAACATGGTAAAATGCTATCTCTACAAAAAATACAAAAATTAGCTGGGCGTGGTGGTGTGCACCTGTAGTATCGGCTAATCAGGAGGCTGAGGTGGGAGGATCACTTGAGCCAGGGAGGCAGAGGTTGCAATGAGTGAGGACTGTGCCACTGCACTTCAGCCTGGGTGACAGAGTGACACCCTATCTTAGAAAAAAAAAATTAGCAAGACCCTGTCTCTACAAAACTAAAAAATTAGCCAAGTGTGGTGGCATGTGCCTGTAGTTCCAGCAACTCAGGAGGCTGAGGCAGGATGATGGCTTGAGCCCAGGAGGTCAAGGCTGCAGTGAGCTATGACGATCCCACTGTACTTCAGCCTGGGTGATGGAATGAGACCCTGTCTCAAAAACACCAAACAAACAAACAAAAAAACCACTTAGCTCTCATTGTTCATTGGCCACACACTGCTGTGTCAAACATTAACCCATGCTTAAGGTTCTGTGTGGTCAAACGCAGCAGACCAAAAAAAAGTCTAAAGGTTCTAAGTGACACCCTCAGGGGTTCTGAGATGGGTGAGACTTTGCCCTTGTTTACAATAAAAGTTTGCACTCTTCTCCATGGATGATTCTGGAGGTCTCTCCAGCTCTACTCCAGACGTCCTGGAGTAGCCTCAATCTTGGTGTTCCTTGAGATGAACATCTGTTGTGTCCTTAACAGGCATAAATAAAAACAGGCTTCCTTGAAGGCACCAACACCACAGATAAGAATCATCTAAGACTGAGCCAATACACTGAGCTCACAGATATGGTGGCTACCTTTCACCCACGGACCCCAAGAAGGGAATCTCTTAGCCCTTGAGCACTTACAGGAAGAGCTGGAATGAAGATCGTGACATAGGTCTGGGTAAGCCTAAATAACGAAAAGAAAAAGAAAACAAAAACTGTGATGGAGGCCTCTGTTTCCAGGGAAAGTTAGGCAGAAGAAAATAACTAAAACTGCCTTTTCCATTCTTGGCTGTTTCCAGATTAATGGGCTTAAGTTGCTGGAGCAGGCCGGGCGCGGTGGCTCACGCCTGTAATCCCAGCCTGTAATCCCGAGGCAAGCAGTTCATGAGCTGAGGAGTTCGAGACCAGCCTGGCTAACATAGTAAAACCCCGTCTCTACTAAAAATACAAATATTAACCAAGTGTGGTGGCGGCCACCTGTAATCCCAGCCACTTGGGAGGCTGCGGCAGGAGAATCTTTTGAACCCAGGAGGCGGAGGTTACAGTGAGCTGAGATCACACCATTGCACTCCAGCCTGGGCAACAGGGCGAGACTCCATCTCAAAAAAAAAAACAAAACTGCGGAGCAAATGTGAAAATTTACATATAGAGCTTGTCATCTTATAACCCTGATAACCTTTCTTGATTATTTTATATCTTTATGTCTAGGACAGGGTTTTTCAACCTCAGCACTATGGCCAGGTAATTCTCCACCTGTTGTGTGGTGCTGTCCCGAGCACTGCAGGATGTTCCACAGCCTCCTGCCTTCTACCAGGAGCACCCTCCTACTGCCAGCTGTGATAACCAGAAATGTCTTCAGACATTGTCAAACGTCTCCTGGGTTCAGAGCCGCTGGTCTAGATAAGAGCTTTAAAAGCTCTTACCCAATTAAATCAGTGGGTCTCAAACTTGACAGCACAGTAGAATCACCTAGGGTGCTTTGAAAGATACCGATACCCAGGCCTCACCACAGACCAATTAAAAGAGAATCCTGGCCGGGCATGGTGGCTCATGCACTTTGGGAGGCCGAGGCGACAGATCCCGTGAGGTCAGGAGTTTGAGGCCAGCCTCGCCAACATGATTGAAACCCCGTCTCTACTAAAAGTACAAAAATTAGCCAGGCGTGGTAGTAGGTGCCTGTAATCTCAGCTACTCGGGAGCCTGAGGCAGGAGAATTGCTTGAACCCAGGAGGCAGAGGTTGCAGCGAGCCAAGATCGCACCACTGCATTCCAGTCTGGGGGACGGAGTGAGACTTGGTCTCAAAAAAAAAAAAAAAAAAGAAAAATCTTGGGTGGTAGGGAGCAGGGGCACAGGTGGGTTTGAAAGCACCCAGGTGATTTTAATATCAACGAAGGTCAAGAATAACTAAACTTTGAGCAAACGTCACAAACTACCATCCCACATGGAGGGTGCTTGCAAATCTATTTTCATTTAAAACTCTTAACCATGCAAGTCACCCAGGAGGCGAGGGGGAGTACATCTCAGATGCCAGGTGTGGAAAGTACTAAGACCTAGGAGACGTCAGCCAAGGAGAGATGAGCACCACCTTGGTGTGCAGCCTTGTCCCTGGCCCTGGCTGCACCCAGACAGGATAATCTTTCCGTGGGATGGACGCCAAGTCCCGCTGCGACAGGTTCCATCTTACCTGGACACATCTGGGTCCTGCCTGAAGAGCAGCAGGATGTGCTGGGTGTTGAGAAAGAGCGCCCAGCAGGGGAAGCAGCAGAGGAGCAGGACGAGCGCACTCCGCTGCAGGATCACGCCCACGTGCTTCAGGTTCTGGCTCCCGTACGTCTGGGGTGCACACAGCCAAAATGAGCCCATTAGCACAGACCCAGCACACCAGCTGTCCCCTAAAAGCCTTCAATTGTGCCACACAAAGAAGCAGGTTGGCTGGATAAGGTGGCTCACGCCTGTAATCCCAGCTACTCAGGAGGCTGAGGCAGGAGAATCGCTTGAACCTGGGAGGCAGAGGTTGCAGTGAGCCGAGATCACGCCACTGCACTCCAGCCTGGGGGACACAGCAAGACTCTGTCTCAAAAAAAAAAAAAAAAAAAAAAAAGAAGCCCATGGCCCTAGACACTTTGCCCCAGTGTTTAGGTAGGAGAAGGATGGTGTGAAAGATGCTTCTCAAACTCAGCTTCCAGTAGCATCACCAGGGGAACATTTTCAAAACTCTCACTAATGATATTCTGGACTTAATTCACACAGGGCAGGATTCAGAGATCCGTACCTTTTTTTAAAAAAAAATTATATTTAAAACAATTTCTTTTGCAGAGGTAAACAATCTGAAATTCACACTTCATTTATTTTTAGAGACTGGAAAAAAATTTTTTTAGGGAGGCAAAGTTTGCAGTGAGCCGAGATTGTGCCACTGCACTCCAGCCTGGGTGACAGAGCCAGAGTCCATCTCAAAAAAAAAAAAAAAAAAGCCAGGCTGGGCATTGTGGCTCATGCCTATAATCCCAACATGTTGGGAGGCTGAGGTAGGAGGATTGCTTGAGCCCAGGAGTTCGAGACCAGCCTGTGCAACATGGCAAAACCCTATCTCTACAAAAAATTAGCTGGGTGTAGTGGCACATGCCTGTAATACCAGGTACTTGAGAGGCTGAGGCAAGAGGATCGCTGGAGCTCAGGAGTTCGAGGCTGCCGTGAGCAGTGGGTGTGCCACTGCAGCCCAGCCTGGGCGATAGAGCAAGACTCTGTCTCCAAACAAAACAAGCCAAATTTTGTACATCTTTTCAAGTCGTGCACATCTCTTCCAGCTCCAGGTTCAGTGACATCTCTGGTAATCTGAAATTAACCAGAGGAAATACTTACGCCCCTGGAACTGGCAAACACTGCCAGTCATGTGTTTCCCTCCTTCCCCTTTCACCCAAGGCCTGGTTGCTGAACATTTACCAGCCTGCCACTGGGTGGGGCCAGGCAAGCTGGGTTTTAACAAGCTCTCCAAGCTCAATCAATGCACGCTCAATTCTGAGAACCACAGAACTATACCAAATTCAAACGTGGGGAGCAATAGAAGGGAATTTTACAAAATGTCCCCTATTTGATCAAAATATAGGGTAAGGCAGTTGTGCAGACAAAAACTAGTTGACAAGGCTGAAAGAAACCTAGTGACATTTCAAAGAAAGCAGGCCAGGAGAAGAGGAGTTGCTGGCTGATAGGTGCTGCAAGTGCTGGCTGCTGAACTCTTCCTGCCAGTGGAGCTCTTCCATCTACACTTGAGAAAAGATGTTTGAGGTCACTGTGAGCGTGTGACCACTTCCATTTACCTGGGAGATGAGGGTGTCACAGGCAGAAGATAAGCCGAATCCCACTGAGACACCAGTGACATTGATAACCTGCAAATAAACCCAAAGATAAGGCCCTATAGAGTTAAAGGAGGAAAGGAAGACAAAATCCCTGTGTGTATTGATAAGAGCCTGCAAAGCTCCTCCTTCAGCATTCACAAGTCAATTTTACCAACTTTGTTAGCTGCCTGGACCCCACTCATACTGAAGCCATTCTCACAGGTTTAACAAGAATTCTGGACAGAACTATAATATATATATTTTTTGAGACAGAGTTTAGCTCTGTTGCCCAGGCTGGAGTGCAGTGGCGCGATCTCGGCTCACTGCAACCTCCACCTCCTGGGTTCAAGTGATTCTCCTGCTTCAGCCTCCCGAGTAGCTGGGACTACAGGAGTGCGCTACCATGACCGGCTAATTTTTGTATTTTTAGTAAAGACGGGGTTTCACCATGTTGGCCAGGATGGTTTGATCTCTTGACCTCGTGATCCACCCGCCTCCGCCTCCCAAAGTGCTGGGATTACAGGTGTGAGCCACAGCGCGCGGCCTAGAACTATAGTATTAATCAGGCTGCACTTTGACCCACTTCCTTATAACTGAAAGTCATGTGGCACCAGACACTGGCCATGTACATCCCCACTGTTCCTACAGATGGGATTTCTGGTGTTACAATGATAAGGCTATTGTTTAAGAATTGTTGGCCAGGTGTGGTGGTTTATGCCTGTAATCCCAGCACTTTGGGAAGCCAAGGTGGGAGGATCGTTTGAGCCCAGGAGTTTGAGACCAGTCTAGGCAGCATGATGAAAACTCGTCCCTACAAAAGTACAAAAACTAGCAGGCATGGTGGCATGCTCCTGTAGTCCCAGCTATTTCCAGAGGCTGAGGTGGGACGATCACTTGATCCCAAGAAGCAGAGGTTACAGTGAACTGAGATTGCACCACTGCACTCTAGCCTGGGCAATGGAGTGAGACCCTGTCTCAAAAAAAAAAAATTTCTGGCCGAGCATAGTGGCTCACGCCTGTAATCCCAGCACTTTGGGAGGCCGAGGTGGGCGGATCACGAGGTCAGGCGTTTGAGACCAGCCTGACCAATATGGTGAAACCCAGTCTCTACTAAAATACAAAAATTAGCCCAGCATAGTGGCGGGCGCCTGTATTCCCAGCTACTCAGGAGGCTGAGGCAGGAGAATCACTTGAACCCGGGAAGCGGAAGTTGCAGTGAACTGAGATCGTGCCACTGCACTCCAGCCTGGGCAACAGAACAAGACTCCATCTCAAAAAAAAAAAAATTTTTTATTAAGCAGAGCCTGAATTCCAGTGAAACATCTGACACCAACCAGTTTGCAGACCCACAAGGAGGAACTGAATCAGCATGAGAACACAGTTTCTTCATCTCCCTGTCCCATGACTTCATGCTGCACTCTTCAACCAATCAACAATCACACTTCAGCCCATTCGAAAATCCTTAAACACCCTGCCCCAAACTCCTCAGAGAGACTGATTTGAGGTGTCCTCATTCAGTGGCCTTACAATTAAACCTCTTTCACTGTTGCAACCTGCCATCTCAGATTATTGACTTGTGACAAGCAAGTTGACAAGCCTATTACGGTTACAAGATCTTGGATGGGTAAGGACATGTACAAGTTTGGAAGGGGAAAAGCCTAGGCTAGAGGTGATTACCCAGGCTTTCTCTTTTAAAAAGTCACTTTGCTCTCCAATTTCGGGTATCAGGGACACTTCTTCCGGGAATGCAATGGCACAGTAACACAGAAAAGTCCGCCTGCTGGAGACCTAGCATGGCCTGCGTCCGTACCCTGGGGGGCACTGGGAGTGCAGAGGCGGTCTGAAGTCCGGACTAGTGCCAGAGGCTTTCCAGGTGTGCTCGCCTTCACCAGGGTCAGCAGCAAACCCTGAAGTTTCGAGGAGCCTAGAGCAGTGCCCCCCAAACCAGGGAGTGGTATCACAGGATGTCTGATGTGCTCCCCATCTGGAACCTGGTACCTCCACTTGACTCTACAGCAGGGAACCTGTGGACAACAGCCCAAACTGCACCCAGCCTGGAAGCACTGACTTTGATAAGTCCTTGGCCACATCCTGTAATTCCTTGGCCAAAGAGAATCTGCTGAGGCTTGCTAAGTGCATTTCTGTCTTCTCCTCTATTGCAAATACAATACTTAAAAACAAAATGGATAATTAAGCCTGGGATTGTCCATGTTGCCCGCTAAAGCCAAAATAAAATAAGCCATGCTGGGTGCAGTGGCTCACGCCTGTAATCCCAGCACTTCAGGAAGCTGAGGAGGGCAGATCACGAGGTCAGGAGTTCAAGACCCACCTGACCAACATGGTGAAACCCCATCTCTACTAAAAATACAAAAAATTAGCTGGGTGTGGTGGCATGTGCCTGTAATCCCAGGCTGAGGCTGGAGAATCATTTGAACCCGGGAGGTGGAGTTTGCAGTGAGCCAAGATGGCACCACTGCACTCCAGACCGGGCGACAGAGCGAGACTCCATCTCAAAATAAATAATTAAATAAAATAAAATAAGCCATATATACTCATAGCTAGCTCCACATATACTTGGTGACTAGTTCCCAGGCGTTTCGCGTAGTTCATGGATAGCAAACTCAAATGCCTGGCGAGACCAGGCAGATCAAGTGAAATTGTGTCTCCGTCAGGGCAGGAGGAAAGGGGAACATACACCTGCCCGAGAGCCACTGAATCCACTTTTCTAGAAACAACCTAACTAGACAAACCAAACCCTTTGTTCTTACATGGCCAGCTGACAATTCCTGGCTGAGATTGATGACATGTCTCTGGTTTTGGGGGTTTGCATCTATTATACAGAGAGGATTTGCAGTTCCTCCCAATTTTAAGTTTGGACACAAAGATCTAGATTTTTACCTTCCAGACCCATTTCTAGATTAGGACTCTCAGTAAGACAGACAACTGAGGAGTGGGCATGGGGGGGAGTCAGTTCCTCTGAGGAAGTCAGACTGAACTCCCCTTTTACTGTTCCCCTCCCCCAACTGTGGGACCAAGAGTGGGAACGAGTTCCATGGATTAGAAATAAGATGATGTAGGCCGGGCGCAGTGGCTCACACCTGTAATCCCAGCACTTTGGGAGGCCGAGGCGGGTGGATCACCTGAGGTCAAGAGTTCAAGACCAGCCTGACCAACATGGTGAAACCCCGTCTCTACTAAAAATACAAAAATTAGCCAGACATGGTGGCAGGCACCTGTAGTACCAGCTACTCAGGAGGCTGAGACAGGAGAATTGCTTGAACCCAGGAATCGGAGGTTGCAGTGAGCCGAGATTACACCACTGCACTCCAGCCTGGGTGACGGAGCAAGACTCCGTCTGAAAAAAAAAAAAAAGAAAAGAAATAAGATGATGTGAGGCTGGGCACGGTGGCTCATACCTGTAATCCCAGCACTTTCGGAGGCCAAGGCAGGTGGATTGCTTGAACTCAGGACTTTGAGACCAGCCTGGGCAACATGGTGAAACCCCATCTCTACTAAAAATACAAATATTAACCAAGTGTGGTGGCGCACGCCTGTAACCCCAGCTACTCAGGAGTCTGAGGCAGGAGAATCGCTTGAACCTGGGAGGCAGAGGTTGCAGTGAGCCGAGATCGCACCATTGCACTCCAGCCTGGGTAACAGCGCGAGACTTCATCTCAAAAAAAAAAAAAACAACAAAATAAAATAAAATAAAATAAATGAGAAGATGTGATAGACAGGATAATGCCCCCCCAGATGTCCCCAGCCCAATCCCCAGAACCTAGGAATCTGCAAGGTTACACAGCAAAGGGGAATTAAAGTTGCAGCACCTTGATTTTAGGCCATGAAACCCACTTCAGACTTCTGCACTCCAGCACTGTAAGAGAATAAGTCTGTGTAGGTTTCAGCCACTACATTTTGATGATTTGTTATAGTAGCAGCAGAAGGCAAACACAGACAGTGTTGGTAAACCTGCCAGAAAGCCCACACGTACCGCGATTGCCAGCGTGACTGCATCCAGCTCCAGCTTGCCCAGGTGGCCACAGAACACGGAGCTTATGAAGCTGATCAGGAACACCATCAGCTGAACCAAGAACTGGGAAGAGAGGGGAACGGGAAGGGACGTGAGTGACCACCATTGCAGGGAAGCCTGGGGCCCCAAGTGTGACCCCGACCCAACAAGTCCAGTCAGAAGTAAAGAAATACAACTTCAGTGAGCCTCTGCCACCTTTCACAGGCAAATGTACAATTTCTGGGGCTGGGGATGGGAGGCTTCTTGAAATATTAAAACATTTATTTGCAACCACTGGGTCAGAATCACTTTTTTGAGAACTTCCCAGCCTTTTCAGCTTTTCTTTTTTTTTGAGACAGAGTCTCACACTGTCACCTGGGCTGGAGTGCAGTGGCGCGATCTTGGCTCACTGCAACCTCCGCCTCCCAGGTTCAAGCAATTCTCCTGCCTCAGCCTCCTGAGTAGCTGAGATTACAGGCAGGCGCCACCACACCCACCTAATTTTTGTATTTTTAGTAGGGACAGAGTTTCACCATGTTGGTCAGGCTGGTCTCAAACTCCTGACCTCGTGATCTGCCTGCCTCGGCCTCCCAAAGTGCTGGGATTACAGGCGTGAGCCACTGCGCCCAGCCTGCCTTTCCTGTTTTTCAGTTCAGTTTCTCAAGCCATAGATCACATTAAATTTCCTCTGCAATGTGCAGAGGCTGCCTTCTGGGATAACCCCCTTGTTATCCAAGATTCCTAGTGAGGACTGGAGAGAATACAGCCTTCAACAACAAGAACACATTCCAGCAAGGAAGTCTGTAGACAGGAGGAGCTGGAGGTAGCGATGAGATCGTCCACTTGGAGTCCCAGCGGGATCCGGACTCTCAGGGTGAAACATTACAGGCCTGCTGAACGCCTTGCATTCTAGGAAGCCTCAGATGTGAGGGCAAATTCTGGAATATTGAACCATTCTTCCTCGAAATTCCAGTGGGCAATTCTATGAATTGCTCCACAGTGCTTTCACTGCATGATTGGATAATGAGCTTATTTCTGGAGGTTAACTTAAAATCACCTCCTGCCCCCCACCCACTAGACCCAGGCGGTCCAGTATCTCTCTTGGGGAAGCCCCTCTCCCCTGGCAGGCTACACGGCCCAAAATGGGGAGTTCACCTGACCCCTGCTCCCTAGGAGAGAATGGGTGTGTAAGGATTTGCTGCTGCCGCCGCTGCCTGCATCTGCCCCATGGGGCCCTCACTGAAGCTGATACCCCAGAGTTGGTGATGCTGCTGCTGGTCTAGCCACAAGGCCGCCTCTCACCGCCCTCAGGGAGAACAGAGTCCTCTGTGCTGAGCCCACAGAAAGGTCCCTCTTTTAGGGCTCCAATGACTTAGGTTCTAGAGCTGACCTCCACCAGGCTCACACACAGCCCATCTGCCAGCTCTGCAGCCACCCCAAAACTGCTACGTCAGGACCTCATCAGGCCCCCGAGCCATAATGGTTCCGATGATCTCCCTCTTTTCTTCCCTAGAATCCACATCCCGGGAGAGACTGTTTTCAACTCCTGTGATGGGCCCAGACCTTCAGAGCAAGCACAGCCTGTTCCTAACCCTAGGGGTGTGTGTGTGTGTGTGTGTGTGTGTGTCTGTTGTAGGAGAAGTATCTTTCTTGTATGAACTCCTACATGATCCAGGCACTTCTCTCACTACCACAGAAGCCTAATGTGAATTTAATCGCCACAGTCCCCCTGCTACTGAACGTGAGGAGCGCTTTTGCAATGTTTTGCGTAAGCCAAAATAAGACAGAAGATGGGAATAAAAAGGGGGTGGGGTGGAGGTGTCAATAAAAAAGGCTGACATGAAGAACCAGATGCTGGAGAATCTAAACCTAGAGCCAATGGATGCCCAGTAGGCCTGTAATGGTGCCACACGATTTGGGCGTTGTCACCACCCTTACAGATGTCCCCTGTGGTTTCACTGGGTGGAGCTTGGTGTCTCTTTAAATTGTGAATTCATGTATCTTTAAAGGCCACAGGGTCCCTTTTATTTGTAAACTCGGCATCACTTCCAAATCTGTTCAGTTCACTGTGCTTTAAGCTTTTGCACATCATCTGTAACAAATGGTTGTGTTCACAGAATCTGTCTTCTCCTTTCCCACGGAACATCACGTTTACACTCCACAGTTCCCTGCCTCCCTGTGGGCCACCTGTGAGCTGTTTTTCATGGCTTCACATGGAAGTGTGCTCGGTCTCCCCTACTGCCCGGCCTTTGGAGTGCTGCCCAGATCTTACCATCACAAATTGCACTGCCTTGAACATCTTTCTCACTTGGGTGGGGGCCAGTCCAAGGGAATCATTAGATGTCTCGGATACAAAAGGCCAGGAAGTCGAGCTGAGTTAGACTAATCCATGTGAGATGCATCTTCAATGTCAATGCCAGCAAAAATAGTTTTTTTGAGAGCTGCCGCAGCTCTGCCAGGGTTACGGCAACAACCCTGTACTCCGACTGCCTGAGTCGGGCAGCCTCATGCAGTCAGCCCATCCTGAAAGTCCGTGCCAGGGATCTTGGCTTGAGTCCAGATTTACTAACCTCTTCTCAGATCCTGGTTTCAAGCCCTTTGGGTGAACGCTTGGCCATAGACTGTGGATCATGTACATAAGGGCCACCTGGGAGCCTTTGCCCTGGCCCATCGCAAGACCCAGGAGGTTAGGCCAGGCTCAGTGGCTCACGCCTTGTAATCTCAACACTTTGGGAGGCCGAGGCAGGTAGATCACCTGAGGTCAGAAGTTCGAGACCAGTCTGGCCAACATGGTGAAGCCCCATCTCTACTAAAAATACAAAAAATTAGCTGGGTGCAGTGGTGCACACCTGTAATCCCAGCTACTCGGGAGGCTGAGGCAGGAGAATCGTTTGAACCCAGGGGGCAGAGGTTGCAGTGAGCGGAGATCAAGCCACTACACTCCAGCCTGGGTGACAGAGAGAGACTCCATCTCAAAAAAAAAAGACCCAGGAGTTCCCTGGGGCTGAGGAATCTTCATTTCAGTATATCCCCATGCTCCCTCATACACACCAGGCAAGATGCATGTGGTCCAGGGCCACACTTTGAGAGTGCTCCAGACCCTCTGGGACTGTGCTGTCACAGAGCATATTTCTGTGCTCGGGGAATGAACCAATTCTGGACAAAGGCCTGTTCCGCTAGATGTCTCAGCAGCTGCTGTCTGAAGAACAGCCTGAACTGGCAGTGGCTTGGACAGAGCTGAATGGATGACAGAAATTGCCAGACTGGGCCGGGCACGGTGGCTTATCCCTGCAATCGCAGCACTTGGGGAGGCTGAGGCAAGAGGACTGCTTGAGCCCAGGAGTTCAAGACCAGCCCAGGCAACATTTTGTAGAGACCCCGTCTCTACAGAAAATACCAAAAATAGCATGCGTGGTGGCATGCACCTGCAATTCCAGCCACTCAGGAGCCTGAAGCAGGAAGGATCACTTGAGCTCAGCTCACCACTGCATTCCAGCCTGGGTGACACAGCGAGACCCTGCTTCAAACAAAGAAACTTCCAGACTGACCGTGCTTCCGTCCCTTCTTGTCACAGTGACCCTGCTCAGATTTTGGCCAGACAACAATAAGCAAACTTGGCAGTCAGATAAAGACCTTCAGCGCCTGGCAGCTTTAGAAGTTGCTCTCCAGGGCCAGGCACCTCCAGACAGCCTCTCCTACCCCCTCCCATGATTGCTGAAAGTTCACTCACTGGAAAGAAGCTGAGAGGTCACCTGGGACAGCCCCCCTTCTTTTACATGTGAGGAAGCACAGCCCAGGAGGTTTCGCAACTAGCCCAGCCACCTGACTCTCAACTCAGATGGTTACATAAGGCCACTGTCTTTGGAGCACAAAGTACATCCCAGCACTGGGGGAACAGGTGTGAGTTAGACACCATTACTCCATTCCTGCCCCACGGGACCCACAGTACAGATGGTCCTGACTTACAATTTTTCAGCTTTGCAATGGTGCAAAAGCAATGTACATTCAGTAGAAACTGTACTTGGAATTTGGGATATTGATCTTTTCCCCGGATAGTGATGTGTAGTCTCAGACTTGCAGTGCCTGTCAGGGCAGTGGGCCACAGCTGCCCATCAGCCCTGCCATCACGAGAGCAGGCAGCTGACACTCTACAGTGGACTGTGTTGCCAGCGTTTTTTGGGTATTTTGTTTTGTGTTTTTGCATCCCATCATAACTACAAAATGGCCATCTGTGCCTCCTGCTTCTGGGGAAAAGAAGGCAGCTATTACTCTTGCAATGGAACTGAAGATAATTGGCCAGCACGGGGATAGCATGCGTCCCACGCAAGTCAGGACTCTCGCAATCCGTGATCTCATCCTTTAGAGGCATTTTGACTTAATGATATTTTCAGTGCATATAACCCCATCGTAAGCCAAGGAGCATCTGTGGAATAGGGAAAGATGTTCAAAACGCAATAAATAACACAGCTCAAGACATTTGCATGATGAGCTGTGGGGTGCAGCAGAGAATTCAGAGAAGGTTTCTGGGGGAAATGAAGTGGGGCTGAAACCTGCATGATGAACAAGTCAATGTCAAATAGTCAGGTGCTGGAGACTTGTCTGTCGGGGAGGACTTTCCAGGCTGAGGCACTGAAAGGAGGCTGGGTGGAGGGTGTAACCAGGAGATAGGGACGAGAGATGAGGCTGGAGGCCTGGCCAGGGCCAGGCCATAGAGGGCTTTGCAGAACCAAGGAAAGGGTTCTGAGCAGGAGGCACAAGCTCAGATGTGCGTTTGAAAAGGACTTGGTGGCTCCATTTGGAGCATGAGAGCGGAGATACGAAAAAGTGGATCCCTCTGAGAGGTATTTAAGGAGCTAAAGCCAAAGGCCTTGGTGAGGACGGATTGGAGGAGGGAACGGGGAGTAGAGGCGTGGGGGCCGGACCTCACCCGGCTTTCCTCTGTCCAGCTCCTGCCATCTTTGACTACTTCCTCTCACCCTTTGAATGGAAGGAACCACCTTCCCTGTAGGTCTTCCCCTCCTCGGGCCTAGGCCTGTCTGTCTCTGACCAGGCTTCCCCTGCAGAATTTGGTGTCAGTAACCACTTCCTGATCAATATCTTCCCCATTGCCTTCAGGATACAATTCAAAAGATCAGCCTGCATTTTTTCCTTTGTGTGTCCCGGGTAAAGCGGTTCTCTCCAGATCCCCCACCTCACCCCCCTCAACCTGCCTGCCTTCTCTGATATTTCTGCCCTGTAACCCTAGAAGGTCCGCCAGCTCCTTCCCACACAAGTGGAAACATTTCCCTGAGCTGGGGCCTGGGCTATCCCACCTCTGTTACATCCCGGGCAATGCCCGGGGTCCATCTTTGGGGTTACTTTTCAGAACTTTTGCTGTTTTGATTCAGCCAGGTGATGAGAGGCTGATGACCAAGAAGAGGCACAGCTGGAGTACCTGAGGCCAGGTATCTGCACGTTCCCTCCCTTGCAAATCCAGTCTTCCTCAAGCTTTCTCCAGGATAAAATGGACGCATCTTTTGAGAAATAAGCACCATTCGGCTCACATTTCCATTGTGTTATGGGTTACTCTCTTTACAAAGCCCTCATTTAAAGCCCAGTGAGACCTCAAGGGTCAGGGTTAACTTGAGAGGTCTGGAAGGGAGATGGCAAATGAGAGAGAAAATTACAGAGAGGAGAGCCAGACAGGGCATCTTCCTCATGTTATGTTGGACACTTGGAGAAGAAAGTATTGGACAATGAGCATGGGAAAAGAAGGGGGTGGTCTCTCCTTATCCCATGCCCTTTAGTAAACAGAAAACTTTATAGCAGATGGGATTAGAGATGGGAGACAGACCCAGGCCGGTCCACATACACTTCATGAGAGACTAAGCAGGTAGCAAAACTCTACAATCACATTTTCACAAAGCAGAGACACACACACACAAAGGACTAGAAGGAAAGCTCCCAAATTACCTCTCAGCGGTGAGATTTCAGAGGGTTTTTTCCTATTGTTGGTCTTGGTTTTCTATTTTTTTCTACAGTAAATATGCATGACATTTGTAATAAACACAATGGTATACATATATGTACATACAAAGAGAAAAGGTGAGGTCCCCAGCATGTCAGTCTAGTGCTCATCCCTGGAGACCTGGAGAGGTCCCCCACATCAAGGGGATCAGGCTACTGGGAGGGCTGGATTTCAGAAACCTGCCCTGTTATTATTATTATTATTATTATTATTATTGCTATACTATTAAAGCAATAACAGGCTGGGCAAGGTGGCTTATGCTTATAATCCCAGCTCTTGGGAGGCCGAGGCAGGAGGATTGCTTTAGCCCAGGAATTCAAGCAATGGGCAACACAGGGAGACCCTATCTCTAACCCAAAATACAAAAATTAGCCAGGCATGGTGGTGTGTGCCTGTAATCTCCGCTACTCCAGAAGTTGAGGCTGCAGTGAGCTGTGATCACACCACTGCACTCCAGCCTGGCCGACAGATCAAGACCCTGTCTCAAAAAATAATAATAATAATAAAACAATAATAGCCTTAGAAAGCCCCTTCTCACAGCAGCTCTGTGAGGGAGTGTTGAACCAAGACATGATTATTATCTCCATTTTACAAATGAATATGCAGAGACCAGAAGAGGTTAGGAGGCTGTTTCAATCTGCACAGCTGCTTCCTGACTTACTTTCGGAGGTCAAAGCAGGGCACGCAGCCCCAGGTCTTGAGATTCCAAATCATGAGGTGTTTTTTTGCCCAGGCTGGAGTGCAATGGCGCGATCTGGGCTCACTGCAACCTCCGCCTCCCGGGTTCAAGCGGTTCTCCTGCCTCAGCCTCCCAAGTAGCTGGAATTACAGGCGCCTGCCACCATGCCCAGCTAATTTTTATTTTTTATTTTTTGTATTTTTAGTATAGACGGGGTTTCACCAGGTTGGCCAGGATGGTCTCAATCTCTTGACCTCGTGATCCGCCTGCCTTGGCCTCCCAAAGTGCTGGGATTACAGACGTGAGCCACCACGCCCAGCCATGAGGTGTTTTTGTTTTGTTTTGTTTTGTTTTTTGAGACCAAGTCTTACTCTGTTGTTCAGGCTGGAGTGCAGTGGCACCATCCTGGCTCACTGTAACCTCCACTTCCCAGGTTCAAGCGATTCTCGTGCCTCAGCCTCTGGAGTAGCTGGCACTACAGGCGCCCGCCACCACGTCTGGCTAATTTTTGTATTTTTAGTAGAGACGGAGTTTCACCATATTGGCCAGGCTGGTCTCGAACTCCTGACCTCAAGTGATCCATCTGCCTCAGCCTCCCAAAGTGCTGGGATTACAGGCGTGAACCACCGCGCCCAGCCCCAAATCATGAGTTCTTTCTGGTCTGTGAGAAAGCATGGCTGATGGATCTTATTCCATGGCTTTGACCTCGGCATTACCCTTGCTGTCCTGCACACCACAGCGGGTGCCACAATATCCCACAAACTACCGAGCCCCCACTCCAGAGGCACAGCGGCCCCCCTCAGCCCGCGCAGGTGCAGAATGTGGGCCTCAAAGTCAAAAGCTTATTCACGCCTTAAGTGCATACCAGTTGCTTCTTGTGCCGCGTCCTACCCTCTCGGTTTGAAAACCACCCAAGCTGGCAGGAGAACGTGGATAGGATTGTGTTTTTGTGGTTTTTAAAACCACATTATTTTTAGGAGACAAGGCAGAAACAGCCCTAACCTAATGATTAAAAAGAAAAGAATCCCACAGATAAGAACACCTCGACCCCACAAAGAACCACATTAAAACCCCTTTTTTCTTTCACATACATAATTACTGGCGGGGAGGGGGTGGTACAGGATGCCTCTGGTTTCCTCGGTAGAGGTTGACTGAATTCTGAAGAAATCATTTCGCAGCTCTGAGTCCACGACAGACCACGCACCCCCTCCTCCGTGCCTCGGGATTATTTAGATCGCAGAGCTCCCGAACTTTTGACCGCTACTTTTCAAAGAAACAAGTTCCCTTGTGTTTTGAAGTTCAGGCAACTTGCGTTTTATTGGCCGGAATCAGCTCCCAGAGAAGGCACCCCCGGATGCAAATGCAGCCTGGACCTGGTAGAGCCCCGTTAGGGGCAAAGGTCCCAGCTCTCCGGTGTCTCCTGGCGCAGGAGGCTGGAGCCGCCGGCCTCTCCGAGCCAACATGCGCCCGGGCGCGTACCAGCCGTTCCCGCAGTGCCCCGCGGGGCCCCCAGTCGGGTGGTGCGGAGCGGAAAGCGGCCGGGACGCAGGCAGAGGAGCTGGGGTGCCCGCCCGGCTCCTGGCACGATGCTCCCCGGAGCCCGCCGGCGGACAGCTCGCTCGGTCCCCAAAGCCCGCCAAAGTCACCCGCGGAGGCAGAAATCACCAGGTCCCCAGCCCGCCGGTACCGGCCTGCCACTGAGGCCACCTTACTCACCGCGGGGCCAGCCAGGACCAAGAGCGCCCGCAGCTCTTCTCGGAAGGCGGACAGCCGCAAGCAGCGCGACCCACGGACCTCAAGGGTGGCCTCCGGGCCTCCGCGCACTGGCGCGGGCTCCTCAGGAGCTTCCATGTGACTCGCGCGCTGCGGCCGGGTAGCGCGGAGGCCGGCAGTGGGTACCGCGGAGGCCGGCAGTGAGTACCGCGCAGGCCGGCAGTGGGTACCGCGCAGTGCAGCCTGCTCTGCAGTCCCCGCCCCGGCCGCCCGCCCAGAGCCCGCCCCGCGCCTGGCGCCCGGGGGCCCGACTGAGCGCGCAGCCAGGCAGCCTGCGACCTTGGGCGCGCCCCTTGCACCTCTCTCTGCACCACTGCGGACGCCTGCGGGTCTTGCAAAGACCAAGGAACTCCTGCACTTGGAAGGCAAAGTTTGAAAAAGCTCTGTAAACTAACGGAACGCGCTCCGGGGGCTGGGTCCTCCACGTCTCGGACGCCAGGACTCACCCCGGCTCTCCACCTCCGCTGGGGGTTTCAGGTTCTGAATGACCTGGCGTGGAAGGACCCAGAGGCCTCGAGCCGTGACTCGGTTAGCACCCCGCGGGGTGTGTGGGGTTGGGCGCATTTGCTGTGCAGATTGAGTTGGGTACACCCTTTGATGCTGGTTAGGGTGTTGCATACTCCTCTCCTCTCATCAGTTGTTCCATTAGAGAACTTAGAATCTACCAGGATAGAGCAACATGCTCCCATTTGCCAAGTAGCACAGTTTGTGCCAGCTGGTCGTGTTGGAAGTTTATCCATCAAGCCTGCTGTGGGAGTACGAGAGGCTGCGGCCCAGAAGGGCAGGAGCAGCGCGCTTTCCTCCCAGAGCCTCAGCTTCCTCATCTGCAAACGTGAAAGAACACTCGTCGCCAGCTGTGAAGACTGGGGTTGCCTGGGCGGAGGACCGGAGTCAGTGCCACCTGCCCTCAGCCTGGCACCAGCCGTTACCTAATAAGTGTCAGTTACCAGGACAAGATTGATTTCTCTAATAGTCAAAATTCCTTCCGTTGTAATGATCCAATGTAAGTAGAGAAAATGGAAAACAAATTTTTTGGCTCACATAATCAGGAAGTTTGGATTCAGGGATTTGAAAACAAGGTCATTAGGCCAGGCGCGGTGGCTCACGCCTGTAATCCCAGCACTTTGGGAGGCCTAGGCGGGCGGATCACAAGGTCAAGAGATCGAGACCATCCTGGCCAACATGGTGAAACACCGTCTGTACCGAAAATTAGCTGTGCATGGTGGCGCGCGCCATAATCCCAGCTACTAGGGAGGCTGAGGCAGGAGAATTGCTTGAACCCGGGAGGCAGAGGTTGCAGTGAGCCGAGATCTCGCCACTGCACTCCAGCCTGGTGGCAGAGGGAGACTCCACTCAAAAAAAAAAAAAAAACAAAACCAGATCATTCTTGTTGTCCCTCTTCCCATCTCTGTCCCTCTCCTCCCTTCTCCTCGCCCCTTGGGATTCTTTCCGTAGTTTCTCTTCCTCCTCTGCCGGCAGCCTTTCTCTTCCTGTGCAAGTGACAGTGGTGGCCTCTGATACCCTCGTTCCTATCTTTCCCGTCTGTTAAACCAGAAAGTAAGGCCCTCCCCTCCTCTCTTCTGGTTCCAAACTAACAAACAAAAAACTGGGAGAAAATCTGGTTGGCCCTGCTTAGGTTTCTTGCCCACCTCTGGAACAATCGCCCTGGGTGGGAAAATAGGGTCTGATGTTTGGCTGGCCCTGGACCATGCACCCAGCTTTGAACCTACAGGGTTAGGGTTAGGTGCCCTGTGACTGGTCTCGTCCCACAAGGACTGTACATATGGAGTAGCGCAGTTTCCCAAAAGAACTGAGAGTGTCAACAGACAAATACCCGAGGATATTCACTAGATCTCTGATCACTGCTGTTTTTTGATAATTTTCTGGAAGTCCTGACTGATGTAATAAGACAGGAAATGGAAATGTAATGTATAATGTTAGGAAAGAAAAGGCAAAGGGATTACTCACAGTAGAAATTGACAGACCGGGCCAGGCACAGTGGCTCATGCCTATAATCCCAACACTTTGGAAGGCCGAGGTGGGAGGATCACTGGAACCCAGGAGTTTTGAGACCAGCCTGGGCAACACAGTGAGACCCCATCTCTTAAAAAAAATCCACACAACCCAAAGAAATAAAATATGAACAAAAGCTAATAGAATTGATAAAGGGGTTTAATAAAGTTGCTACATAGAAGTTCTTCAACAAGTCATATCAGTCCTTTATATTGGTAATAACATATATGAAAATACTAAAAGAAATCTTTCACAATAGCAACAAAAAACAAAAGGTCCTCGTGATACAGAGCATAACTCCTCACTCCTTAAAGGTGGATTGTACACAGTGACTTCCTTCCAAAAAGTAGCACAGGAAAATTAATTTTCAATTAATATATTAGGTTTTAGTCCACTACTGTGTATTCCATTATTTTAAAATTTAATAGAATGATTCTAAAAGCAATTGATAGTGTAAACAGGAAAAGATATAACAAAAACTCTGAAAAAGAAAAGTAAGGAGGAAAGAAGTAGCTCTATTGGCTGGTAAATAGCTTTTAAAACAACGTGTGGTTGGCTGAGCACATTGTACAGGTGAGTAGCCCACACCTGTAGCCCCAGCACTTTGGGAGGCTGAGGTGACAGGATCGACTGAGCCCCGCAGTTTGAGGCTGCAGTGAGCTATGATTGCACTACAGCACTCCAGCCTGGGCAGCAGAGTGAGACCCTATCTCAATAAAAAACAAAAAACAAAACAATTAAAAGAACAAAGAACCCTGTTACTTGGAAAGTGTTAGGATTTTGATTGACATTGCATTATATCTGCAGATTTATTCAGAAAGAATGCACCTCGTTAAAATTCTGTCTTCTATTTCAATCATATCCCTAGTCTAATCAGTACTCATCTAGGGAATGGGAGACTCACTGGACTAGGGATATGATGAATTTGTTATTGATGCTTGATAAATAGTCATAAGTATGTTCATATACGGTTCTTAACTTGCTGAAATATATTATTAAAAGCATGTATTAAAATTGAATTTTATCAGGGTTTTTTTTTTTTCTTTTCGGGGGGACAGGGTCTCTCTCTGTCGCCTGGACTGGAATGCAATGGTTTGATCTCGGCTCAAAGCAGCTTCGACCTCCCTGGCTCAAGCAATTCTCCCACCTTAGCCTCCTGAAGAGCTGGGACTACAGGCATGTGCCACCACACCCGGCTAATTTTGTTTTCTTGTTCCTTTTTTTTTTTTTTTTTTTTTTTGAGACAGAGTTTCACTCTTGTTGTCCAGGCTGGAGTGCAATTGTGCGATCTTGGCTCACCGCAACCTCTGCCTCCTGGGTTCAAGCAACTCACCTGCCTCAGCCTCCCGAGTAGCTGGGATTACAGGCATGTGCCACCACACCCGACTAATTTTGAATTTTTTTTTTTTTAGTAGAGTTGGGGTTTCTCCTTGTTGGTCAGGCTGGTCTCAACCTCAGGTAATCCACCTGCCTTGGCCTCCCAAAGTGCTGGGATTACAGGCATGAGGCACCATGCCCAGCCTATTTTCATATTTTTTATAGAGACAAAGAGGTCTCACTATATTGCCTAGGCTGGTCTCAAACTCCTGAGCTCAAAGTGATCCTCCTGCCTTGGCCTCCAAGAGTGCTGGGATTACAGGCATGAGCCACTGTGCTCTATATATATATATATATATTTAGTATTAATTGAAATAATCAAATTTTTCTTCTCTTTTCGGTTGTTAGTGTAAGTTCATTGTAGATTTCCTAATGTTTAGCTGTCACTGATTCCTGGAATAAACTTCCCTTATTCATAATAGTATACTATAACAGGTATATAGTGGTAGATTTATTGCTAATATTATATTCAGGATTTTTATATTTATTTATTTTTATACAGACAGGGGTCTCACTATGTTGCCCAGGCTGGTCTTGAAATCCTAGGCTCAAGCAGTCCTCCTGCCTTGGCCTCCCAAAGTGCTGGGATTACAGGCGTGAGCTGCTGCGCCTGGCTTCCGTGAATCTTTAGGCTCTGTAATTATTCAAATACCATAAGAATGATCTGTTTCTTGAAGGTTTGAAGGCCACTCACCTAGAGGACCATCTGATGCCTTTATAGAAGGGGTATTTTATTTAAAAATAAGAAAAAAAATAAAAGGTTTTCTGTTTATTTAGAAGTTGCTGGTCTATTCAGGGTTTTGTTTAACCTCTTCTTGAATTAATTTTGGTCATTCATGATAAGTGTTTATTGATTGCTGCTGTAACAAATTACCACAAATTTAATAGCTTATGATAACACAAAGTTACTATTTAACAGAGGTCAGAAGCCTGAAATGGGTTCCGTGAGGCTGAAATCAAGGTGTCAGCAGAGCTGCGTTCTTGCTAGGGCTCAGGAAGAATCCATTCCCTTGCCTGTTCCTGCTTCTAGATGCCGCCTCCCTCTTCCTCCATCTCCAAAGCACATCACTGCAGCCTCTGTTCTTTCATCACGTCTCCTTTTTCCAGCTTTTACTCTCTTGTCTTCCTCTCAGAAAAAGAGATTCCATTAGGCCCACCCGATAACCCAGGATAACCTTTGCATCTTAAGATCCTTGTAGTAATCACATCTCCAAGTCCTTTTGCCATGCAAGGTTATGTATTCACAGGTTTCAGTAGATGGATGGGGACATCTTTGGGAGGCCTTATTCAGCATCTCATACTCACCATGTTCTGACCACGTCTGTATCTTCCCTGTAATTTTAAATTCTGATTAGCTTTTCATTTTCTAGTGGGTACTTTCTCAGGATATTGTGGCGTGTGCTTTCTGAATGTTTGCGGTCATGATATTTTACACATTCCCATGCTTCTAGCGTTATACATTACAGGTGAAAACTCCAATCCACTCCAATTCTCTCTCTCTCTCTCTTTTTTTTTTTTTTTTTTTTGAGATGGAGTCTCACTCTGTCGCCCAGGCTGGAGTGCAGAGTGCAATGGCACGATCTCAGCTCACTGCAACCTCCACCTCCCAGATTCAAGCGATTCTCCTGCTTCAGCCTCCAGAGTAGCTTGGATTACAGATGTGCGCCACCATGCCTGGCTAACTTTTTTTGTATTTTTAGTGGAGATGGGGTTTCACCATTTTGGCCAGGCTGGTGTCGAACTCCTGACCTCAAGTGATCCACCCGCCTCGGCCTCCCAAAGTGCTGGGATTACAGGTGTGAGCCACCGTGCCCGGCCCTGATTCTCTTTTTTTTTTTTTTTTTTTTGAGATTAAGTCTCACTCTTTTGCCCAAGCTGGAATGGTGAGAACTCAGCTCATTCCAACCTCCACCTCCTGGGTTCAAGCGATTCTCCTGCCTCAGTCTCCCGAGTAGCTGGGACTACAGGCATGTGCCACCACACCTGGCTAATTTTTGTATTTTTAGTAGAGACAGGGTTTCACTGTATTGACCAGGCTGGTGTCGAACTCCTGACCTCAAGTGATCCACCCGCCTCGGCCTCCCAAAGTGCTGGGATTACAGGTGTGAGCCACCGTGCCCGGCCCCGATTCTCTTTTTTTTTTTTTTTTTTTTTTTTTTTGAGATTATGTCTCACTCTTTTGCCCAAGCTGGAATGGTGAGAACTCGGCTCATTCCAACCTCCACCTCCTGGGTTCAAGCGATTCTCCTGCCTCAGTCTCCCGAGTAGCTGGGACTACAGGCATGTGCCACCACGCCTGGCTAATTTTTGTATTTTTAGTAGAGATGAGGTTTCACTATGTTGGCCAGGCTGGTCTCGAACTCCTGACCTCATGATCTGCCCGCCTCAGCCTCCCAAAGTGCTGGGATTACAGGTGTGAGCCACCGTGCCCGGCCCTCGATTCTCTTTTTATTGTAGAATTGATGGTGGTCATTGTGGCTAGTTCCCCAACATTCCTTTCACCCCAGATGGGTCATTTAGCCAGCCACAAGAATCTCATTTTCCTTCTCAGGGCCCTATGTAGGAATGGACATGCATGACCCAATTCTATTTAATGTATTTATATGTATATTAGAGACAGAGTCTCACTATGTTGCCCAAGCTCATGATCCAATTCTAGCCATGAAGCCTGAGTGAAAATCTAATGGCGTTTCTGGAAAAACTTTCCTATTTCTAACAGTCAGAGAAGAAAAAGGCCCCTATTTTCTCCTTCAGATATTGTGGCATCCGAATTTTTTTTTTTCGAGACAGAGTCTCACTCTGTTGCCCAGGCTGGAGTGTAGTGTGTGATCTTGGCTCACTGCAACCTCTGCTTCCTGGGCTCAAGAGGTCCTCCCACCTCAGTCTCCCAAATAGCTGGGACCACAGGAGCCCGTCACCACACCTGGCTAATTTTTGTATTTTTTTGTAGACACGGGGTTTCACCATGTTGCCCAGGCTGGTCTCGAACTCCTGAGCTCAAGCAATCCACCTGCCTTGGCCTCCCAAAGTGCTGGAATTACAGGCGTGAGCCACCACACCCAGTGGTATCTGAATGTTATGCCTGGAAGTGCTACAACCATAATGCTGCTGGCCCTGGGATAAAGCCAATATTGGAAAAGGGCAAAGCCAAGAGAATCACAGATATTAAATGAAGACAGAGAGGGAGAGAGAGAGGGAGGCAGAGAGAGTATAAACAGGTGATTGTAAAGGGTAAATACCTGTTTTTGGCAAGAAAGGGGAAGGCTTTTTAAAATTTAGACACACAGGGTAGTGCAGAGGCTTACGCCTGTAATCCCAACACTTTAGAAGGCTGAGGCAGGAGAATTGTTTGAGCTCAGGAGTTCAACACCAGCATGGGCAACATGTTGAAACCCCGTCTCTACAAAAAAAAAAAAAATACAAAAATTAGCTAGGTGTGGTGGCATGCGCCTGTAGTCCCAGCTACTTGGGAGGCTGAAGTGGGAGGATCACTTGAGCATGGAGGGGGGTGGAGGCTGCAGTGAGCTGTGATTGTGCCACTGCACTCCAGCCTAGATGACAGAGTGAGGCCCTGTCTCAAAAAATAAATAAATAAATTTAGATACACAGAAAGAGAGCCAACTTTTTCAGTTTTGTTAACTTTGCCCACAAATCATAAAGGAAAACGCAGAACTCAAAACTGACCAATTGGTTGAGCTACAGGAATCAAAGGCTGCTCTCCATTCCAGGGAAAGAAAAGGCCCTTTTCTAATTGAATAAATTGCACTCACACTGTATATAAACAATAAAGACAAAACTGAGGAGCCAGGAGACATTGGGATCTCCAAGATAAACACACAAACCAAAACAAGAACAACAAAAATCTACTACCAATAATCAGAATTCCTGCTCAGTCTGCTGTCTGGCAGAGTTCGCCTAATGGTCAGATCATGAAAACCTCACTGAAGGGGCCATAAGTCGCTGTATACAAATCAGAACACAAGCCAGAAACAGACCTGGCCAAGAATCAGACAGAATCTAGAAAGTAAAACAGAAACAAAGCCAGCAAACAGTTAAAAAAACACAGGAGGCGGCGCGGTGGCTCACGCCTGTAATCCCAGCACTCTGCGGGGCCGAGGCGGGCGGATCATCTGAGGTCTGGTGAAACCCCTTCTCTACTAAAAATACAAAAATTAGCTGGGCATGGTGGCGCAAGCCTGTAATCCCAGCTGCTCAGGAGGTTGAGGCAGGAGAATCGCTTGAACCCAGGAGGTGGAGGTTGCAGTGAGCCGAGATCACGCCACTGCACTCCAGCCTGGGCAACAAGAAACTGTCTCACAAAAAAAAAAAAAAAAAAAAAAAAAAAAAAAAAAAAAAAACAGATTCGTGAGAGTTAAGCTTTAAGCTTTATTGCATCATGAAATTCATCCTTGGCCGGGCGCAGTGGCTCACGCCTGTAATCCCAGCACTTTGGTTTGGGAGGCCGAGGCGGGCGGATCATGAGGTCAGGAGATCGAGACCATCCTGGCTAACACGGTGAAACCCCGTCTCTACTAAAAATACAACAGCAACAAAAAAATTACCCGGGCGCAGTGGCAGGCGCCTGTAGTCCCAGCTACTCGGGAGGCTGAGGCAGGAAAATGGCGTGAACCCAGGAGGTTGAGCTTGCAGTGAGCCGAGATCGAGCCACTGCACTCCAGCCTGGGCGACAGAGCGAGACTCTGTCTCAAAAAAAAAAAAAAAAAAAAAAGGAAATGCATCCTTATTGGGAGGATCAAAGGATAAAATGAGTGTAAAAGTACACTATGACTCCTTTTTTTTGAGACAGGGTTTCACTCTGTCACCCAGGCTGGAGTGCAGTGGCATGATTTTGGCTCACTGCAGCCTCAACCTCCTAGGCTCAAGTGATCCTCCCACTTCAGCCTCCTTAGTAAGGATTACAGGCACTCACCACCATGCCTGGCTAATTTTTTTATTTTTTATAGAGATAGGGTCTACCTGTGTTGCCCAGGCGAGCCTCAAACTCCTGAGCTCAAGTGATCCTCCAGCCTCCGTTTGCCAGAGTGTTGGGATTACCGACATGAGCAGCCATGCCTGCCTGTGAACCCTATTGAGGAATGCAAATATAAGCCATCACTATTAACGTCATCATCTCCAAGTTATAGGAGCTTTAGAAATTATCTAGGTTCGGCAGGGCGCGGTGGCTCACACCTGTAATCCCAGCACTTTGGGAGGCTGAGGCAGGCAGATCACCTGAGGTAAGGAGTTCAAGACCAGCCTGACCAACATGGCAAAACCCCGTCTCTACTAAAAATACAAAAAAATTAGCCAGGCGTGGTGGCGGGCGCCTGTAGTCCCAGCTACTGGGGAGGCCGAGGCAGGAGAATGGTGTGAACCTGGGAGGTGGAGCTTGCAGTAAGCCGAGATCGCGCCACTGCACTCCAGCCTGGACGACAGAGTGAACAGAGCGAGACCCCGTCTCAAAAAAAAAAGAAAGAAAATGATCTAGGTTCATCTGTGCACCTGGACAAACCGCCCCGGAAGCTCCAGTAGATCAGTGCCTCCAGGCTTTCTGGGTGGACCCTTCCCAGTGGGAGAAAAAGCCAGAAGCAGATGCATTTTAAACAAGGGAAGAATGTTATCTGCAGAACAATTGCATGGTCAGACTTCAGGGAATGGATTTCCAAATCAGAAGACACTACAGGTTTTTGAAGAAAAAAAAAGACAAGATTACCAAAGTTACTGTCTGTTAATGATATGAAAAAAAGAAAAAACAGCGAAAATTTCACATGAAAATCATATCCATAAAGGTCATAACACATCTTCAGATATTAGCATTACAAAAATCAGAGAGAAGAATTTCAGGTCAGGGAGTCAACAACTTCCAGGAACAACTCAAGTTTCACTGATTTGGGATACTAGGACTTGACAGAGTAACCCTGGTTTTTTTGGTTTGGTCTGATTTATCTCAGAGCCCAGTGTTTGGTTTGTAATTTTTTCCTAACTGTGGGATGTGATGCCTGCACTTAGCCATCACCATAGCGGTTCAAAGCGTCAGGTTTTGGGGGGTTTTTTTTGTTTATTTTTGTTTTGAAACAGAGTCTCTGTTGTCCAGGCTCGGAGTGCAGTGGCAAGATCTTGGCTCACTGCAACCTCTGCCTCCTGGATTCAAGAGATTCTCATGCCTCAGTCTCCCAAGTAGCTGGGACTACAGGCACACGCCACCACGCTTGGGTAATTTTTGTATTTTTAATAGAGACAGGGTTTCACCATGTTGGCCAGACTGGTCTCAAACTCCTGACCTCAAATGACCTGCCCACCTCTGCCTTCCAAAGTGCTAGGATTACAGGCGTGAGCCACGGTGGCCAGTCTGTTTCTTGTTGGTGGTGGTGGTTTTTGTTTTGTTTTGTTTCTCGAGACAGCATCTTGCTCTGTCGCCCACGCTGGAGTGCAGTGGTACTATCATGGCTCACTGCAACCTTTACCTCCCTGGCTCAAGTGATCCTCCCGCTTTAGCCTCCCAAGTGGCTGGGACTACAGGCTCATGCCACCACGCCCAGCTAATTTGTTGTTGTTGGTAGAGATGGAGTTTTGCCATGTTGCCCAGGGTGGTCTTAACTCCTGCGCTGAAGCAATCCTCCCGTCTTGGCCTCTCAAAGTGCCGGGATTACAGGCATGAACCACTGAGCCTGGTCATGAATTTAAATCTTATATGATTCCTCCTCTTTGAAACTTGATAACCATGTGGCAAACATTCCTAAACACGTGGTTGCCTCTCGGGGAACACATAAACAATGAAAAGTGGCAAAATCAAGATAATTCCAATACACATGTACGAGAAATTCTAACAACCCGGATTGGATGTCCCCAAGTTGCCCAACCTGCTAAGGTCACCCTATCATCTAAAATCAAAATTAAAATGGTCGAACCGAACCCCAGCTTACCTGTAGTGGGAAACCCAACACCCTTCCCCGTAATATCTCCAAAAGAGGCTTGTGGTGGTGGGTTAGACAAGGGGCAGTGGTGATTGGTTTAGGCAAATCAGGATCAATCCCTTGAAACTTAGATATGCTTAAGTATGCATAAGTGAAATGAATGACAGCAACCATAGAAAGGAATGAGAGGGAGGAATTAGGATTATTTTGTTATTATAAAGCACTTGTATTACCTGTGAAGTGACACATTGTTATTTGGAAGTGGACTTGAATTAATTGTAAATGTATATTGCAAACTTTTGGGGAACCACTAAGAAAAAGTTTTTAAAAAAGAAAAAGAAACACAGGCTAGGCAAGGTGGCCCACGCCTGTAATCCCAGCAATTTGGGAGCTGAGGTGGGAGGATTGCTTAAGCCTCGGAGTTCAAAACCAGCCTGGGCAACGTAGCAAGATCCCATCTCTATTAAAATAATAATAATAATAATAATAAAATAAAGCTATTTTAAATATAAAGACATCTAGATTAAAGGCAAAGGGATGCAGAAAGATATATTATGCTAACGCTTATCAACAGAAAGCAAGGGTTAGCTATACTGACTTTAGACAGAACAGATTTCAGAGCAAAGAAAGGGATATCTTTATAAGGGTATTACACAATGGTAAAGGGGTTAATGCATAGCAATTTTTTTTTTTTTTTTGAGACAGGGTCTTGCTCTCTTTGTGTCACCCAGGCTGGAGTGCAGTAGTGTGATCTCGGCTCACTGCAACCTCCTCAAGTGGTCCTCTCACCTTAGCCTCCCGAGTAGCTGGGACTATAGGCACATGCCACCATGCTTGGCTAATTTTTGTATTTTTTTGCAGAGACAGGGTTTTGCCATGTTGCCAAGGCTGGTCTCAAACTCCTGGACTCATGCAATCTGCCCACCTCGGCCTCCCAAAGTGCTTCACCTGGCCCCATAGCAATCCTTAATGTGTGAAGCAAAAACTGATAGAACTACAAGGAGAAATACATGAATCCACTATTATTGGTTGAAGATTTCAACACCCCTCTATCAAAAATGAACAGATCTAGCGAGCAGAAACTCAGTAACTCAGTAGCACCACCAGTCAAGCAGATATATAAGTATTTGTAGGCTGCTTCATCCAGCAACGGCAGAATATACATTCTTCTCAAGGTAGCATGGAACATCCATGAGATAGGCCATTTTCTGGGCCATAAAACACACCTTAACAAATTCAAAAGAATAGAAACCACACAGACCAGGCATGGTGGCTCACACCTATAATCCCAGCACTTTGGGAGGCCCAGGCGGGTGGATCACCTGAGGTTGGGAGTTCGAGACCAGCCTGACCAACATGGAGAAACACTGTCTCTACTAAAAATACAAAATTAGCTGGGCATAGTTGCTCATGTCTGTAGTCCCAGCTACTCGGGAGGCTGAAGCAGGAGAATCACTTGAACCTGGGAGGCGGAGGTTGCGGTGAGCCAAGGTCAAGCCATTGCACTCCAGCCTGGGCAACAAGAGCGAAACTCTGTCTCAAAGAAAAAAAAAAAAGTTAAAGGAAGTGAGGTAAAGTGCACAGGGCTTCAGAAGAACATTTTGGGCCGGGCACGATGGCTCATGCCTGTAATCCCAGCACTTTGGGAGGCCCAAGTGGATGGATCACCTGAGATTGGGAGTTCGAGACCAGCCTGACCAACACGGAGAAACCCTGTCTCTACTAAAAATACAAAATTTAGCCGGGTGTGGTGGTGCATGCCTATAATCCCAGCTACTCAGGAGGCTGAGGCAGGAGAATCGCTTGAACCAGGGAGGCAGAGGTTGCAGCAAGCCAAGGTCGCGCCATTGTACTCCAGCGAAACTATGTCTCAAAAAAAATAAATAAAAGAAAGAAAAGAAAAAGAAAAAGAAACCACACAAAGTATGTTGTCAGGACACAATAAAATTAAACTAGAAATCAATAACAGAAAGCTAGCTGGAAAAAGCCCAAAATATCTGGAGATTAAACAACACATTTCTTTTTTGAGACAGTTTCACTCTTGTTGCCCAGGGTGGAGTGCAATGGCGCAATCTCGGCTCACTGCAACCTTCGCCTTCCGGTTTCAAGCGATTCTCCTGCCTCAGCCTCTCAAGTAGCTGGGATTACAGGAATGCGTCACCATACTCAGCTAAGTTTTTGTATTTAGTAGAAACGGGGTTTCACCGTGTTGGTCAGACTGGTCTTGAACTCCTGACCTCAGGAAATCCACCCGCCTCAGCCTCCCAAAGTGCTGGGATTACAGGTGTGAGCCACTGCGCCGGCCAACAACACGCTTTTGAGTAACACATGGGCCAAAGAAGAAATCCCAAGAAAAGTTTTAAAACATGTTGGTCATGAATTTAAATCTTATGAAAATGAAAATACAAACTATCAGAATTTGTGGGATGCAGAATTAAAAAATAGTGCTTAGGGGGATATTTCTAGCATTGACTGCATCTATGAGAAAAGAGAAAGATCTAAAATCAATCATCTAAGCTTCTACCATAGGAAACAAGAAAAAGAAGAGCAAATTAAATCCAAAGCAAACAAAAGAAAAGAAAAAAAGAAATTAGAGCAGAAGCCAATAGAATTGGAAATAGGAAATCAATAGAGAAAAACCAACAAAACCAAAAGCTGGTTCTTTGAAAAGAAAAATCATTGTGGTTCTGTGAGCACAGAATAGGAGCAGAATGGGTGTAAAGCAGGCAACCAAGAGTGAGCGTCTGACATGTATGCTCAGCAGAAGTCCATATCCTTGTCCAAGATGTCAAAGAAATCTCTTGATACATCTCTGGGCTTGAAGCACTGCCCTACAAGGTGCCCCCATGTACACCCCGACAGAGGACGCCCCTCCGCCCCACCCAGCTCACACCTAGTCATATGCAGATGTAAGACCCTGAGATTTTAAGCCCAAATGGGCAAAACATGTGGCCACATCTTTTTTATGACTTTTTGTTCAAAACATGTGGCCACATTTTAAGGGGGCCTGCCCCTCCACACCCCTGGGTACTTCTCGCAAGGTGGAGACAAGAGAGTGGGAAAAGAAATAAGACACAGAGACAAAATATAGAGGAAGAAAAGTGGGCCCAGGGGACCAGCGCTCAGCAAGTGAGGACCTGCACCAGTACTGGTTTTTGAATTCCCTCAGTATTTATTGATCACTATCTCTACCATCTCGGCGAGGGGGATGTGGCAAGACTATAGGGTAATTGTGGGGAGAGGGTCAGCAGGAAAACATGTGAGCAAAGGACTCTGTGTCAAAAATAAGTTTAAGGAAAGGTGCTGTGCCTGGATGTGCACATACGCCAGATTTATGTTTGACTTTACACATCTCAGTGCAGTAAAGAACAGTATTGCCGCCAGCATGTCTCACCTCCAGCCGTAAGGCAGTTTTCTCCTATCTCAGTAAATAGAATGTACGATCAGGTTTTACACCAAGACGTTCCATTCCCAGGGACGAGCAGTAGACAGATGCCTTCCTCTTATCTCAACCGCATAGAGGCCTTCCTCTTATCTCAACCGCATAGAGGCCTTCCTCTTTCACTAATCCTCCTCAGCACAGACCCTTTACGGGTGTCGGGCTGGGGGACGGTCAGGTCTTTCCCTTCCCACGAGGCCATATCTCAGGCTGTCTCAGTGGGGGGAAACCTGGACAACACCCAGGGTTTCTTGGGCAGAGGTCCCTGCGGCCTTCCGCAGTGCACTGTGTACTCGAGACTGGAGAATGGTGATGACTTTTACCAAGCATACTGCCTGCAAACACATTTTTACCAAAGCACATCCTGCACAGCCCTAAATCCCTTAAACCTTGAGTCAATACAGCACATGTTATCTGCCAGCACAGGGCTGGGGCTAGGTCTACAGATTAACAGCATCTCAAAGCAGAAGAATTTTTCTTAGTACAGATCAAAATAGAGTTTCTTATGTCTTCCTTTTTCTAATAGATACAATAACAGTCTGATTTCTCTTTATTTCCCCCACAACATCTTTTATGACTCAGCCCAACAATCTCCAGGCAGTGCCCAAGGTTAATGCCTAGGCCAATTGCTGCTGCAATCTGGGCTCAGGATGTGCAGACCAGAGATAGCCAAGGGTGTCTGATAACTCTAAGGGCTTGGTCGTGCTCAACCAGGATGGAGCTCAAGCCCCCAGACTGGCCAGGAGCTCAGTTGACTCAGCACTGCTCTTGAGTGCAGGTCAGAATGGGACTAGTGTTGGATTTTGGAGGTTAAAATAAAATACTCCAGGTCTTGACAGAGATGACTTAGCTGAAGTCATTCTGTTCCCCATCAAACATGACCCCTGGACTCAAGAAACAGGCAGCATCATGGGATGGGAGGCTGAGCCCTGGAGTTGGAGACCAGCCTGGGCAACATAGTAAGACCTCATCTCTACAAAAAAATTTAAGAATTAGCCAGGCATGGTGTCATGAGCCTCTAGTCCCAGCTACTCAGGAGGCTGAGGTAGGAGGATTGCTTGAGCTCGGGAGGTCAAGGCAGCAACAAGCCATGATTGTGCCACTGCAATCCAGCCTGGGCAACAGAGTGAGACCCTGTCTCAATAAATAAATAAATAAGGGCCAAGCATGGTGGCTCAGCCTGTAATCCCAGCACTTTGGGAGGCCGAGGTGGCAGATCACCTGACGTAGGTGTCAGGCCTCTGAGCCTAAGCTAAGCCATCATAACCCCTGTGCCCTGCGTGTATACATCCAGATGGCCTGAAGCAACTGAAGAGCCACAAAAGAAGTGAAAATAGCCTTAACTGATGACATTCCACCATTGTGATTTGTTTCTGCCCCACCCTAACTGATCAATGTACTTTGTAATCTCCCCCACTCTTAAGAAGCTTCTTTATAATTCTCCCCACCCTTGAGAATGTACTTTGTGAGATCCACCTCCTGCCCACGAAACATTGCTCCTAACTCTACCGCCTATCCCAAAACTTATAAGAACTAATGATAATCCCACCGCCCTTTGCTGACTCTCTTTTCGGACTCAGCCCTCCTGCACCCAGGTGAAGTAAACAGTCTTGTTGCTCACACAAAGCCTGTTTGGTGGTCTCGTCACATGGATGCATGAGACAGTAGGGAGTTCGAGACCAGCCTGACCAACATGAAGAAACCCCATCTCTACTAAAAATACAAAATTAGCTGGGCATAGTGGCACATGCCTGTAATCCCAGCTACTCGGGAGGCTGAGGCAGGATAATCACTTGAACCCGGGAGGAGGAGGTTGCGGTGAGCCGAGATCACACCATTGCACTCTAGCCTGGGCAACAAGAGCGAAACTCCATCTCAATCAATCAATCAATCAATCAATAAAATAAAAAGTAGGAGAACATCCTGTCCGCCATCTTTCCAGTCCAGAAAGCTCTGTGCAACTACAAAGGCCACTTGGAGTCATCTGAGGGACTATGTTTGTAAGAAGTACAAGGACTCTCAGATTGTAAGCCATCTTTGGAGAAGAGTGTTTGCTTGGTCATGCCTGTGAGGGGCCACTGTGGACCAAGTGTGACACCAGACCAGAAGTAATATCAAAGACCTTGGAGGGAACCATCTTCCAGGAACCTGGGTGTCATCTGATCACTGAGGGAGAATGCCCAGAAGCACTTTTTGTCCTATAGCTCCATTTGAATCTGTCCCCAAGATATTAATAACAATGACAACTATAATAATGTAATACCATTGTCCATTACCTACTATTTGATGTAATGACATTTCCTTCTTGTAATATCATTAACAGCTGCCATATTCTAGGGCTGGGCTGAGTGTTTTCAGCCATTACCTCATAATCCTGACAAGGATCCTAGAGGGGGTTATTACTTGCTTTCTTCAGATGGGTGAATTGCAGTTCAAATGGTTTAAGTAACTTGCCTGGAGCTGAATGGCTAATCAGTGGCAGATAGGGGACTGGAAATTACTTCTGCCTGATTCCAGAAACAGAGTGGGAACAAAAGGTCATCATTTAACAACAGATAATCAAAAGACAGGAATATCCAACTCCATACACAGCTCATCACTCATTCAGCAAATGCACTGGGAGCACCTGCTGTCCCCAGAAATAAAACATTCAGAATGAATAAATTCCATATTTTCAGATGTGAGGAGTCAGAAATGAAAAGTAATGTCTCTAAACTGTCAGGATATGCCTAATTCCTAGAGTCAACAAAATGTCTAAATTCCCAATCATTCTGGTGGTTTGGTTCGTCAACTAAGGTACTTCAAATCAGTTTAATTCGGAACAGTTGGGCAGAATCTTTTCGGCCGCAACGTGCATGAGAATCACCTGGAAACCTTGTTCAGGTGCTGATTCAGAGTCTGGGGTAGGTCTGGGTGGGGTCTGAGAGTCTGCAGCTACTCCCAGGCCTCCTCTGCTGCGGGTCTGAGGCCCACCTTCTAAGCAGCAAGGCTGTAGAGAGTTATCACGAGAGTGTCAAAGCTGGAGGCCTCTCCAGCTTGCATTGGACACATGGGGTCACTGGGCCTCAGAGGAAAATGGGACTTGCCCAAGGTCACACAGGAATTTAGGGCAAGAGCTGGCCCCAGAAGTCCTGGCCCTCAGAGCAATGGAAGTATAAAGACAGCCCTGTTCAGCATCACCACAAGAATAACCCCCAGTTTTGAACACCTAACTGCCAGGCCCTATAACACATTCTCATTTGATTCTCACCAAAAAGAAAAAAAAAATCACAATGGGCATTATTATCTCTTATTCTTATTTCTTCATAGGTGAGAAAACTAAGGCTTATGTAAAAGCAACTGGTCAAACCAGGATTTAAATGTAAATATGTCTAACTTTAAAGCTTGTTCTTTCTGCTAAGGCACATACATTTCATCCCATTTCAAAATGTCTAAGACCAGACAATCATGGGCGGTCTTCAACAAGTAGGGGACTTAAGTTGCATTCAAGTACAAACTATCTCTATTTTTTTTTTTTTTTTTTTTTTTGGTTCAGGATCTCACTCTATCACCCAGGCTGGGGTGCAGTGGTGCGATCATCACTCACTGTAGACTCGATCTCTTGGGTTCAAGCGATCCTCCCGTCTCAGTCTCCCAAGTAGCTGGAACTTAGACTCCCGACTAATTATTTATTTATTTATTTTTGGTAGAGACTGGGTCTCATTATGTTGATAGACTGGTCTTGAACTCCTGGGTTCAAGCAATCCTCCCTCCTCAGCCTTCTGAGTTTCTGGGATTGCACTCCGGAGCCACTAATAAAAATAAATATTATTTAAATAATAATTTTAATTAAAAAATAACTAGGCCAGGTGGGGTGGCTCACACCCATAATCTCACCCCTTTGGGAGGCTGAGGCTGGAGGATCACTTGAAGCCAGTAGTCCGTACCAGCCTGGCCAACATAGTGAGACCCCATTGCTACAAAAAAATACAAAAATTAGTCAGGTGTGGACATGCTGGTAGCCCCAGACAGACAGGAGGCTGAGGCATCAGGATTCCTTGAGCCCAGGAGTTCAAGGTCCCAGTGAGCTCTGACGGCACCACTGCATTCCATCCTCGGTAACAGAGAGATATCCTGTCTCAGAATAATAATAGTTGGGGGTAGCAGTCTTGCCATGTTGGCCAGGCTAGGCTTGAACTCCAGGCCTCAAGCGATCCCTCCACCTTGGCCTTCCTAAGGCATTGGGATTATAGGCGTGAGCCACTGTATCCAGCCCCTAAAAGTGGAGTTTAAAGAGCTATAAATTATTTCAGTGTCTTATTGCAAAGTAAGGCAATTAAATAGACTATAGACATATGTAACACTTAAAATAGAAACACTTTAACCCAAGTTAAAACATTTAAAACAGGCCGGGAGTGGTGGCTCAAGCCCAGCACTTTGAGAGGCCGAGCCAGGCAGATCTCCTGAGGTCAGGAATTTGAGACTAGCCTGGGCAACATGGCAAAACTCCGTCTCTACTAAAAAATACAAAAATTAGCGTGGCGGTGGGCGCCTGTAATCCTAGCTCCTCGGGAGGTTAAGGCAGGAGAGTCGCTTGAACCTGAGAGGCAGAGGTTGCAGTGAGCCAAGATGGTGCCACTGCATTCCAGCCTGGGTGAGAGAGCGCAACTATGTCTCAAAAAAAATTTTTTTTTTTAAACAGAAAAACTACCTACTCACGGGTGTTCTGTTATTCCTTGTCAAAAAGTAACAAAGCTATTTGGGAAAATTGCGTTTTTCTTTTTCTTTTTTAAAATGTCTACTCCTCCCTTTGCACAGATTCTACCTGTGACTCGGTCTCCAGGCTTCCTTTGGGTTGACTTGGCTGAGTGACATCTGGCCCAGCACTCCGGGGCCATGCAAAGACCTTGGGGTGTGCTCCTCCCCCAGCATCTGGAATGTTATTGCTCCGTCTGCTCTGCTGTGGTCCCTCCAGTGGGCCACTGGCTCGGTCAGCTTTCCCAGTCTCTCCATAGCAGGTTTTGACCGCATCTTCAAACTGGAGTAGTCAATACTGTATGTGACAAGGGAATACTGTGTGTGACAAGGAAAGTTTTAAGGCTCATGACTGTAATCCCAGCACTTTGGGAGGCAGAGGCAGGTGGATCACCTGAGGTCAGGAGTTCAAGACCAGCCTGGCCAACATGGTGAAACCCTGTCTCTACAAAAATACAAAAATTATCTGCGCACGATGGCAGGTGCCTGTAATTCCAGCTACTCGAGAGGCTGGGGCAGAAGAATTGCTTGAACCCAGCAGGCAGAGGCTGCAGTGAGCCGAGATCATGCCACCATGCCATTGCACTCCAGCCTGGGCGACAGAGTGAGACTCCATCTCAAAGAAAAAAAAAAAGCAACTACTGTTCCAGATTCCCAAGTTTCTGGTTAAAACTGCCTTCTCCTTTCTCTTCTCAGTGTATTTGTCACTAAAGAAAGACACCTTCTCACCTACATTGTACCTCACATTGCTCCAAGGTGGAAACACTTGTCAGGTGCCAAAGAGGCAGTCTGACAACTTCAAAACCTCATAATACATTATCAAGATGTGTAATATATTTGTGTTGTTTGTAGCAATGCTGTGTTGATATTAATTATAGTTCCCATGATTTGAGGGAGCCAAAAAATATTTTTTAAAATAGTGATAATTCTATCCCAAAGAAAAATTGTTAATACTTAGCCTTTGAAGGTCTCAGGAAATGAGACATTTTAATTTTCAATTTACATTTGTATTTTTGTGGCAAGAGTCATGGTAGAGTGGTAAATAAAAGACTTTCAGCATAAAAGTATATTACAAATTGATGGGGGAAGGAACGGAAATATGAAGAGAAAAAGGAAAGATGAATGATTCTGACTGTTAAGGAAGAACTTGTTCATGTATTTTTAAAAAATGGGTGACAGTATCAAATTGTGTTGTGTATATGTCATTGGATATATTTAAAACAATGATGTAATCGTTTTATTTTTAAATGTTACTATTTGCGATATGCCAGCCCTCGCAACTATTTTTAATTATGGTGAAAATGTTTTATGCCCACTTAGAAAATGTACAAGGGTTACATGGTTTTCCAGAAATTATTTTAGAGAATACCCAAGCACAAAGTTAATTAGTTCTATGTTGGAGGAAAAAGATGTTCGCAGTGACGTCCCTGTGATTCCTGGGCTTGCCGTTTGCGCCCTCTGCCGGTGTTCTGAGATTTTGCTTTTTAGACAGCGAAACTGTCCTTTGCTCTATCCTTTGCTAACTGTGGTCAAAATCTCCCCACCAGGAGGGCCTGACAAGAGCCAGGCGGCCTGTGATGGCCTCAGGAGCCTGTTGTGCATTTGAATGATCCATCGCAGCATGCAGGTCACAGAATCAACGGGTCCCTGTCTTGGAGCTGGGTGACAGTGGAACACACTCTTGGTCTAAGTTCTGAACTTACACAATCTTCTTTTGCTGACTGATCTAGTGATGAGTTTCTTAGCCTTGGAAATATTAATAATTCTAGAAGAGCTACTGTCAAAAAGAGCCATATTCTGGAGAATATTGGAAGAGATTTATTCTGAACCAAATATGAGGATCACAACTTGTGACACAGCCCCATGAGGTCCTGAGAATATGTGCCCAAGGTGGTTGGGTCACAGTGTGATTTTATACATTTTAGGGGGAGAGAACTTGCAGACATCAATCTATATATTTAAGGTGTACATTGGTTCTGTATGGAAAGACAGGATAACTCAAAGAGGGGAGTGAGAGCTGGGAGTGATGGAGGTGGATTGAGGCTTCCAGGTCATAGGTGGATTCCAAGATTTTCTGATTGGCAATTGGTTGAAAGAGTTAAGTTATGATCTAAAAACCTGGCATCAATAGAAAGGAGTGTCTGGAAATGGGGGTTGTGGAGATCAAGTTTCTGTTCATGCAGAGGAAGCCTCCAGGAAGCGGGCTTTAGAGCTCTTATCAGGCCTGAAAAGGTACCAGACTCTTAATCTCTCCTGGACCAGGAAAAAGACCTGGAAAGGGAGGGGGATTCTCTACAGGATACAAATTTCCTCTACAAGAGACAGCTTTGCAGGGCCATTTCAAAATATGTCAAAAAATATATATTCTGGGGCTGGGCATGGTGCCTCACACCTGTAATCCCAGCAGTTTGGGAGGCCTATGCGGGTGGATCACTTGAGGTCAGGAGTTCAAGACCAGCCTGGCCAATATGGTGAAACTCCATCTCTACTAAAGATACAAAAATTAGCCAGGCATGATGGCACGCACCTGTAATCCTAGCTACTCAGGAGGCTGAGGCAGGAGAATTGCTTGAACCCGGGATGCAGAGGTTGCAGTGAGCTGAGATCACACCATTACACTCCAGCCTGGGTGATAAGAGTGAAACTCTGTCTCAAAAAAAAAAAAAAAAAAAAAAAAAAAATATATATATATATATATATATATTCTGGAATAAAATACATTGATTTCTTTCGGGGCCTGCTATCTGTCATGTGATGCTATACTAGAGTCAGATTGGAATTTGGTACCTATAAAGACATTGTTTTGTCAGTCTTAAGATCTTTATCTTATTTTTTTTATTATTATTTATTTTTATTTATTTATTTATTTTGAGACGGAGTTTTGCTCTTGTTGCCCAGGCTGGAGTGCAGTGGCCTGATCTTGGCTCATTGCAACCTCTGCCTCCTAGGTTCAAGCAACTCTCCTGCCTCAGCCTCCCAAGTAGCTGGGATCACAGGTGCCGGCCACCATGCCTGGCTAATTTTTGTATTTTTAGTAGAGACGGGGTTTCACCATGTTGGCCAGGCTGGTTTCAAACTCCTGACCTCAGGTGATCCACCTGCCTTGGCCTCCCAAAGTGCTGGGATTACAGGCATGAGCCACTGCGCCCTGCCAGATCTTTATTTTAACATTAATATTGGTCCCTTGTACCTGAATTCCAAAGGGAGAAGGGTATCATGAGGCATGTAGACTCCTCTTCCCATCATGGCTTGAACTAGATTTTCAGGTTTGGAATGTCTTTGGCTGAGGAGGGGGCAGAGGTAGGGAATGGGGCGTGTCTGCCAGTCAGCTGGAGAGCTTAGACATTTTTATTTTACTATTTTGTATTTATTTTATTTTGAGACAAGGCCTCGCTCTGTCACCCAGGCTGGAGTATAGCAGTATGATCATGGCTTACTGCAGCCTTCACCTCCTGGGCTCAAGCAGTCCTCCCACCTCAGCCTCCTGAGTATAGCTGGGACTACAGGTGCATGCCACCACACCTGGCTAATTTTTTAAATTATTATTTGTAGAGATGAGGTCTTTCTATGTTGCCCAGACTGGTCTCAAACTCCTGGGCTCCAGCGATCTTCCTGCCTTGGTATCCCAAAGTGTTGGAATTACAGCTGTGAGCCACCACACCTGGTCAGAATTTTATTTTTGGTTTACAGAGTAATGGTGAACACAACGCCAGCGTCTATGGTGTTTGCCATGTGCCAGGCACTGTTTGAAGCTCTCTGTGTTCACTCATGCAGTATGAACTCTAATCCATTCACCGAATTCTCTTATTTGCCCTGTAAGGTGGGGACAATTATTATTCCCATTTTACTGATGAAGAAGTTGGGGACTGAGAGGTTAAATAAACTGTCCCAGGCCACACAACTAATCAGGGCAGGAGTCAGGATTTCTGGCCAGGTCCTCTCACTGTAGGCTGGAACATTTACTACTATTCTTTATTGTTTGTTGCTTCAAAATAATAAAACACAGGCAAAAAGATTGTTTAAAAAATCTGTTATCTTGTCACCCAGAGATCATTATCACTAACGTTTTGGCGTGTTCCTTTCTAGTCCTGTGTGAGTGGGAGTCTGTGGGTCCCTGGCATTCTGTCTGTTTTATGCAAATGGGACCTTCCAGTTCTGTAGTCCGCTCTGAACACTTTTTGCCTCTATTCCCAGCCACTGTCAGTTTTGTGTATCCTCTGGAGCACGAACTAGGCTGAGATCACCCGGTTTCTTTCTGACACTCAGCTTCTAGAGTTCTCTCTCCCACAGGCAGCTCCAGGGAATGAGGTCGTGAGGACTCTTCACCCAGGCCTGGCCAGGCAGTGTCCCCGGGGCTGAAGTCCCCGCTGAGGGAGGCTGCCCCTCCTCTGAGGTGGGAGTGGGGCTGACGCTGAGGAATTTCTCATGTTGAGTATCAAGTTCAGATGGCGCGTGGGAGGAACAGAAGGTGGGTTCCAGATCTCGGCTTGTGCCGCTTAGCTCTCCAGCTTTGGTGACATGTGCTCAGGCTTTAGCCCATTGAAGGAACAGATTCTGATAGGAACATTCTCAGTTCTGAAGCCCAAGCTCATTCCTCCCCTCTGGAGCCAAGGATGCCAGTATGTGGTGTAAACTAAAAATCCTAGGTTCCCCAGGCCGGGCGCGGTGGTTCACGCTGTAATCCTAGCACTTTGGGAGGCCGAGGCGGGTGGATCACGAGGTGAGGAGATTGAGACTACCCTGGCTAACACGGTGAAACCCCGTCTCTACTAAAAATACAGAAAATTAGCCAGGCGTGGTGGCGGGCGCCTGTAGTCCCAGCTACTAGGGAGGCTGAGGCAGAAAAATGGCGTGAACCCGGGAGGCGGAGCTTGCAGTGAGCTGAGATCGCTTGCATCCCAGCCTGGGCCACTGAGCGAGACTCCGTCTCAAAAAAAAAAAAAAAAAAAAAAAATTCCTAGGCCCCCCAAACAACGGAACGGACCCCTCCTCTCGGCCAAGCGCAATTCTAAAGTAAACCTGAAATACGAGTTCAGGCCGTGGTGGGAATGGGTGGTCGTGTTTCCTTATACCTTCCTCCCTTTGGAATTCAGGCACAGTTGACCAGCACCAATTTTAAATAGAGACCTTGGCCTGGCGTAGTGGCTCATGCCTGTAATCCCAGCACTTTAGGAGGCGAGTGGATCATCTGAGGTCAGGAATTCGAGACCAGCCTGACCAAAATAGTGAAACCTCATCTCTACTAAAAGTACAAAATTAGCCAGGTGTAGTGGTGCACCAAGCCTGTAATCCCAACTACTTGGGAGGCTGAGGCAGGAGAGTCGCTTGAACCCAGGAGGCGAAGGTTGCAGAGATCCTGCAGCCTGGGCAACAAGAGGGAAACTCTGTCTCAAAAAAAAAAAAAAAAAAAAAAAAAAAAAAAAAGAAAAGAAAAAGAAAGAAACAGAGACCTTAAGACTGACTTTTCGTAGCAATAAGATACTAACGTGACAGACAGCAGGCCCTAAAAGAAATCAAAGAATTTTATACCAAAACATAATTCCTTGACTTTTTTTTTTTTTTTTTTTTGAGACAGAGTTTCGCTCTTGTTTCCCAGGCTGGAGTGCAATGGCATGATCTTGGCTCACCGCAACATCTGCTTCCTGGGTTCAAGCGATTCTTCTGCCCCAGCCTCCTGAGTAGCTGGGATTAAAGGCATGTGCCACCACGCCTGGCTAATTTTGTATTTTTAGTAGAGATGGGGTTTCTCCATGTTGGTCAGGCTGGTCTCGAACTCCTGACCACAGGTGATCCGTCCAGCCTACTTTTTGTTTTGTTTTGTTTTTGAGACAGGGTCTCACTCTATTGCCCAGGCTGGAGTGCAGTGGTGTGATCATGGCTCACTGCAGCCTCCTGAGCTCCTGGGCTCAAGTGATCCTCCTGCCACAGCCTCCTGAGTAGCTGGGACCACAGCAGTGCACCACTACTTCCGAGATGGGGTCTCACCATGTTGTTCAGTCTGGTCTTGAACTCTTGGGCTCAAGAGATCCTCCCTCCTGGGCCTCCCAAAGTGCTGGGATTACAGGCATGAGCTACCATGCCTGACCCTCTATTTTTATAATACGGTTGAGCAGTTTTCAATTTGTATATTTAGTCATGACTGACCACATATTTTGAATCACCACAATATTCCATTTTATTCTTTTTTCAACTCAGTCTAATCTGCTGTTAAATATATCCATTGTGTTTCTAACTTCAAGTATTAAATCTTCCATTGCTAGAATTTTGTTTTTAGTTATTTACACATATATTTTTATTGTTTATCGTTCTCTAGTTAACTTTTTGGTCTCCTCTTTTATTTTTTGAAAAAGATTAAACATATCCATTGGGTATTCAATATCTGATAATCTCCATACTGGAATCTGTGGATCTGATTCTGCTGTTTTTGCAAAAACAGTGGACAGCAGAATCAGCTTCACAGACTTTATTTTCCTTTAAAATGTATTATGAGTAAATTTCGACTGGGACTTTATATGTGGGAAAACTAAAAGGCCTGTTGTGAGGATGTATTTCTCTCAGAGAGAATTTACCTCAACTTCTGCCAGCATCTGTGGGGTATCCTAACCTGGGAAACTATAATTTCTTGGCCTGGGGCTTTTGGACCACGCAGGTGGAGAGAATTCAGACCTGAACATCATGTTTCGTAACATTAGATCCTATGAACCCGCCAACCAGATATCATACATGGTAACAACTGTTAGACAACATTGAAGTGAATATCCAGGCCTTACGGCTGTGGCCGAATCATAGACCTGCTGAGAATGAGGTGTCAATTCAGGTGTCAGAGAAAGGACCACCAGAGAGATCATCACTGAGACTAGGAATCCCTGAAAGTGCGGCAGACAAAAAAAGAGAAGTTCAAGGCAGGCAGGGAGAAGACGGAGATGCAAAAGACACCAGTCCTTAGGGTGGGGAACCCACTTCCGGGAAGCGAGGGACCCCTTCCAGGTGAGAGCCCAGGTGAGTGGGGGGCGGGCAGAAGTGGGCGTGGGAGTGGCGGGCGGGGCGCCCTCCCTGCGACACGGCTGGGTGGCTTCCGGCTCCCTCGCGGTTCGCTCGGAGGGTTGGTGCTGCCCCTCCCTCGGAACGGAACGGCGTTTTTATTCCCAGGGAAAGGAAAAAGAAGTTGCTTTCCGTTGCGTTGGAAGGACAACATATCTTGCAGGGGGCTTAATTTCTCATTTATGACTTTTATTCCGCTCTTTCCAATCCTCTACAATTAAGAAAGAAAAAAAAAAAAACCCAACCTTGACCCCGACGTGACTTGAACACGCAACCTTCTGATCTGGAGTCAGACGCGCTACCATTGCGCCACGAGGTCACACCAAAGTGGTGACTCCGCATCGCTAAAGACCTCGTTTCTGCAGTATGGTTCTAGGGCTGGGAGGCTAAGGAGGAAAGACGCCCTCTTTCCTGAATTCCAGCACCAATTCAGAGCGCTAGCGAGTGTGGTTTCTCCGGTGCGGGAACACAGACGCGCTGGAGCATCCCAGCCTGAACTGCGGCGCCGCAGCGGAGCAGCCACCCGGCGGCCGAGACTCGGGCTCCGCCTCCTCCGCGTCGCGTAGTGACCCGGCGAGGGGACGCCGGGGTGCGGGGACTGGCACCGGGGGGTGGGATTAAGGAGATGCCCAGGAGGAGGCCCAGGATCGGGGGGATCCCTGGGCCATGGGGATTCTGGGAGGGAGCGAGGGGACGCAGGGGAGAAGGGGACGCAGGGGAGAAGGGGACGCCGGGGCGGACTAGGGGACGCGGGGGTGGGTGACTCCGAGGAGCGGTGAGGACGCCGGGGGTTAGGGGTGAGGAGATGTCCAGGGGAGGAACGAGGGACTAGAGGAAGCCCAGAGGGCAGGGGGACCCCGGGGTAGAAGGGACTCTGAGAGGGAGCGAGGGGACGTCGGGGCGGGGGTGGGGACGCGGGTGGAGGAGGGAACGCCGAGGAGGGAGGTGGGTTGACTCCGGGCGGGGCTGGGGACGACGGGGCCTGGCTGGGGGCGGCTGGGCGGCCGTCAGAGGCGTTCGCGGTCGCCGCTCGCCGGGTGCCCTGCCTCCTGTGAAGCGGCGACGTTGTCGTCGGGAGGCGGCAGGAACCCGGCGTGGCGGCCGAGAGCGGATGGCGGCGCGGGGGACGCGGGGGCGCGGGGCTCGGGGCTCGGGGCTGCTCCTTTCTCCTCTCCTCTCAGGGGACAAGCGCGGGGGTGCGGAGGGCGACGCCCACGGCCAGGAAGCACCTTGCCAAAAAGACTTGGAAAATGCCACATTTCTTTTAATTTTTGAGACAGAGTCTCGCTCTGTTGCCCAGGCTGGAGTGCAGTGGCGCAATCTCGGCTCACTGCAACCTCCGCCTCCCGGGCTCAAGCGATTCTCCTGCCTCAGCCTCCCTAGCCTCCCGAGTAGCTGGGATTACTGACGCCCGCCACCACGCCTGGCTAATTTTTTTTGCATTTTTAGTAGAGACAGGGTTTCTCCATGTTGGCCAGGCTGATATTGAACTACTGACCTCAGGTGATCCGCCCGCCTAGGCCTCCCAAAGTGCTGGAATTACAGGCTTGAGACACTTAGCCTGGCTTTTTTTTTTTTTTTAGACAGGGTCTTGCTGTGTTGCCCAGGCTGGAGTGCAGTGGCGCGATCTCGGCTCACTGCAACCTCCGCTTCCCGGTTTCAAGCGATTCTCCTGCCTTAGCCTCCCAAGTAGCTGGGATTACAAATGCGTACCACTACATCCGGCTAATTTTTGTATTTTTACTAGAAATGGGGTTTCACCATGCTGGCCAGGCTGGTCTCGAACTTCTGACCTCAAGTGACCTGCCCTCCTTGGCCTCCCAGAGTGCTGGGATTACGGGCTAAGCCACCGCGACTGGCCTGTGCATGGTTTTAAACGGCTCATTGTCCACTTAAGACTCCGGGCTCTTGTGGGAGTCTTGTGGGAGTCAAGTCCCTGATTTGAACAGTACTTTCTTCTTCCTATTAAATAAGAAAAATAAAACAGTGAGTGAATGCTTTTTTTTTTTTTTGGATGGAGTCTTGCTCTGTCACCCAGGATGGAGTGCAGTGGTGTGATCTGGCCTCATTGCAACATCTGCCTCCCAGGCTCAAGCGATCCTCTTGCCTCAGGCCCCCACTTAGCTGGGATTACAGGTGTGTGCCACCATCCATGGCTAATTTTTGTATTTTCAGTAGAGAAGGGATTTCACCATGTTGGCCAGGTGGTCTGGAATTCCTAGGCTCAAGTGATCCTCCTGCCTGGGCCTCCCAAAGTGCTGGGATTACAGGTGTGAGGTACTGCGCCTGGCCAATAAGTGAGTGAATAAATTTTTCAGTAAAAAGGCTAGTAAATAGGCCGAGCGTGGTGGCTCATGTCTGTAGTTCCAGCACATTGGAGGGACCAGGAGGGAGGATTGCTTGAATCCAGGAGGTCGAGGTTGCAGTGAGCCATGATTGCACCACTACATTCCAGTCTGGGACAGAGCGAGACCCCGTCTCAAAACAAAACAAAAAACCTTATTAAATAAGAAAGATAAACTCTCCTGGTCTGTTGAAGAACATGAAGCATCAATCTTAATTCAATAAATACAACACTGTGGGGAAAAGCAAGAGAGATCAGATTGTTACTGTGTCTGTGTAGAAAGAAGTAGACATAGGAGACTCCATTTTGTTCTGTACTAAGAAAAATTCTTCTGCCTTGAGATTCTGTTAATCTATGACCTTACCCCCAACCCCGTGCTCTCTGGAACATATGCTGTGTCAAACTCAGGGTTAAATGGATTAAGGGCGGTGCAAGATGTGCTTTGTTAAACAGATGCTTGAAGGCAGCACGCTCCTTAAGAGTCATCACCACTCCCTAATCTCAAGTACCCAGGGACACAAACACTGCAGAAGGCCGCAGGGACCTCTGCCTAGGAAAGCCAGGTATTGTCCAAGGTTTCTCCCCATGTGATAGTCTGAAATATGGCCTCGTGGGAAGGGAAAGACCTGACCGTCCCCCAGCCCGACACCCGTAAAGGGTCTGTGCTGAGGTTTAGTATAAGAGGAAGGCATGCCTCTTGCAGTTGAGACAAGAGGAAGGCATCTGTCTCCTGCCCGTCCCTGGGCAATGGAATGTCTCGGTATAAAACCCGATTGTACGTTACATCTACTGCGATAGGGAAAAACCGCCTTAGGGCTGGAGGTGGGACATGTGGGCAGCAATAATGCTTTGTAAAGCATTGAGATGTTTATGTGTATGCATATCTAAAAGCACAGCACTTGATTCTTTACCTTGTCTATGATGCAAAGACCTTTGTTCATGTGTTTGTCTGCTGACCCTCTCCCCCCTATGTCTTGTGACCCTGACACATCCCCCTCTCGAAGAAGCACTCAAGAATGATCAATAAATACTAAGGGAACTCAGAGGCTGGCGGGATCCTCCATATGCTGAACGCTGGTCCCCTGGGCCCCCTTATTTCTTTCTCTATACTTTGTCTCTGTGTCTTTTTCTTTTCCAAGTCTCTCGTTCCACCTAATGAGAAACACCCGCAGGTGTGGAGGGGCAACCCACCCCTTCACAACACCCACAGGGCTTTATGCCTTTTAGAAAAGAAAAGATCTGGCTGGTGCGGTGGCTCACACCTGTAATCCCAGCACTTTGGGAGGCCTAGGCGGGTGGATCACCTGAGGTCAGAAGTTGAAGACCAGCCTGGCCAACATAGTGAAACCCCATCTCTACTAAAAATACAAAAAAATTAGCCTGGCGTTGTGGCGGTGCCTGTAATCCCAGCTACTCAGGAGGCTGAGGCGGGAGAATCGCTTGAATCCGGGAGGCGGAGATTGCAGTGAGCTGAGATTGCGCCATTGCACTCCAGCATGGGCAACATGAGCGGAACTCCATCTCAAAAAAAAAAAAAAAAAAAAGAAGAAGAAGAAGAAAGAAAAGAAAAGAAAGAAAAAAAGGAAAAGAAAGATCTGGCCAGGCCAGGTGGCTCACGCCTATAATCCCAGCAGTTTGGGAACGAGACCCTGTCTAAAAATAAAACTTTTTTTTTTAAATTTTGTATTTATTTTTGAATCAGGGTCTTTGTTGCTCAGGCTGGAGTACAGTGATGTGATCACAGCTCACTGCAGTTTGAACGCCTAGGCTCAAGTGATTCTTCCACCTCAGCCTCCTGAGTAGCTAGGATTACAGGTGCACAGCACCACACCCATCATTAATTAAAAGTTAAGTTTTAACTTTTTTGTAGAGACAGAGTCTCACTATTTCGCCCAGGCTGGTCGTGAACTCTTGGCCTCAAGTAATCCTCCTGCCTCAGCCTCCCAAAGTGCTGGGATTACAGGCATGAGCCACTGCACCCAGCCTCCACTGTGTTTGGACACCTGCTCAGATCTGTGGCTGCACCTGTGATGTCCTGGCCCCCTATTTTCCTAGGATATGGAACCAAGCACTGTCTTGTGTTCTATGACAGAGGTAAGACATTAAACTACAGTATAGCGTTGTGATCAAATGAAGAGATTAGATCAAGTGACTTATGCAGATGTGGCTAAAGGGTCCCTTTAAAGACTAGGACTCTGGCTGGGCATGGTGGCTCACACCTATAATCCCAGCACTTTGGGAGGCTGAGGCAGGCAGGTCGCTTTAGGTCAGGAGTTCAAGACCAGCCTGGCCAACATGTGAAACCCTGTCTCTATAAAGCAAACAAATAAATAAATAAATAATAAAGACTAGGACGCTACTTACCAGGGCAAGGACTAGGAGTGAGGCAAGCATGCAGTTGTGCAGGGTGGAAACCCATCTTATGTAAAATTTTGATACTTTGTTCATCAGAGATTTTTGCACTAATTTTTACTTTTGGAAATATTAAATATTTTAAATGTCTTGATTGCTGAGTGTTTTGACAGCTCTTTGAATTATGCACCTGAGAGAGTTACATAGCGCCTCACCCTCCTCCCAGCTCTGCTGTTGCCCAGAAATTGTAAAGAATTGCTTCCTTATTTTAGAGTTTGTATATGCAAACACTAAACCTTATTTTTTTATTTTTTTTATTTTTTTGAGACGGAGTCTCGCTCTGTCGCCCAGGCTGGAGTGCAGTGGCGTGATCTCGGCTCACTGCAAGCTCTGCCTCCCGGGTTCATGCCATTCTCCTGCCTCAGCCTCCCAAGTAGCTGGGACTACAGGTGCCCACCACCGAGCCTGGCTAATTTTTTATATTTTTAGTAGAGACGGGGTTTCACCGTGGTCTGGATCTCCTGACCTTGTGATCCGCCTGCCTTGGCCTCCCAAAGTGCTGGGATTACAGGCATGAGTCACCACGCCCAGCTAAACCTTATTTAACAACAACAACAAAAAACTTCTGTAGAATATAGAAAATTGACAAATACAAACTAGGATAATTACCAACATTGGCAAGAATATGTGGAAATAAATATTGTCATGCAAGATGGGAAAAGCACGTATAAATTGGAACTTGCTTTTTGGATTATAATATGACAAATGTTTTTTAGATGCTTTTGTCTAGACATTTCTATTTCTAGAGAATATGTACTAAAGAAACAAGGATAAATGCAAAGATATGCCTTCAAGATTGTTTTCATAAAAATTGTGTTTATAATCATGATGCCTCAGAGCATCTTGACTGTCCCGTTGTACAAATGCAACCTAGATTTCCAGGGCATGAGGCCGGGAAGCTGACCCTCGTGAGAGCTGGCCCCTATGCATGAACATACAAGGCTCCTGGAGTAAAGAGGTATGACAGTGACGACTCAGAGTGACTGTTGTGGAGGAGGCGGAAGGACGCAGGGGTTACGCCACAAGCACATTATGAGTGGGGCTGCCTCATCACTGAGAAAAACACGCACAGCTTGGTTTCCTGGTCTCTGCTTAGTTTAGTATCATCTCACACCTAGGTGACTGGTGGGTGTTTTTGTGTTTGTTTTTGAGACAGAGTCTCACTATGTTGCTCAGGCTGGAGTGAAGTAGCACCTTCGTGGCTCCCTGAAGCCTTGAAATCCTAGGCTCCAAGGGATCTTCCTGCCTCAGCTTTCCAAGTAGCTGGGACCATGGCCACCATCCCCAGCTAATTTTTTTTTTTTTTTTTTGAGACAGAGTCTCACTCTGTCGCCCAGGCTGGAGTGCAGTGGTGGGATCTCAACTCACTGCAAACTCCACCTCCCGAGTAGCTGGGATTACAGGTGCGCGCAACCATGCCCGGCTAATTTTTGTATTTTTAGTAGAGATAGGGTTTCACCATGATGGTCAGGCTGGTCTCAAACTCCTGACCTCATGATCTGCCCTCCTCGGCCTCCCAAAGTGCTGGGATTATAGGTGTGAGCCACCATGCCCGTCTGCCTGGCTAATTTTTTAATTTTTTTGTAGAAACAGGGTCTTGCCATGATGCCAGGCTGGTCTTGAACTCCTGGGCTCAAGCAATCCTACCCCCTTGGCCTCCCAAAGTGCTGGAATTGCAGGTATGGGCCACCATACCTGGCCCAGGTGTATTTGTTAGTCAAGACAAAGTCTTTACTTTTTTTTTTTTTTTTTTTTTTTGAAACAGGGTCTTGCTCTGTTGCAGGGCTGGAGTGCAGTGGCACGCTCATGGCTCACTGCAACCTCTGCCTCCCGGGCTCAAGGGATCCTCCTGCCTCAGCTTCCCAAGTAGCTGGGACTACAGGTGTGTGCCACCACACCCAGCTAATTTTTATATTTTTAGTAGAGACGGGGTTTTACCATGTCGCCCAGGCTGGTCTCAAATTCCTGGACTGAAGTGATCTGCCCACCTCGGCCTCCCAAAGTGCTGGGATTACAGGTGTAAGCCACTGCGCACAGCCTTGGCTCCTGTTTTCTAAGGGGCTGAAAATGTTCCAGCTCCCCAAAGCCCATGGAAGATGTCATTTATCTTTCAGATTTACACATTCCTGATCTGACAAATTCCAACCAGAACTTGAAAACTGAACCCTGAAGGGAAAAAGCACACTGCCCTGTGGAGTGGGTTATCTCTACCACCACACCAAAGGTTTGGGGGACAGACTTGCTCTTGCAGGCTGGCTTTTTGGGAAGTATCTGCTGACACAGTGATTTTGGGAGTAACACTTATGAAAGGAAATGGGAGTTGGCCGGGTTGGCAGGGACAGCCATCAGGCCAGGATGCATGTGTACAAACTATCTCTAGATGCCTGTATTCTCTGCCTGTCCATGGGGAGCTCTGTTAGGGGAATCCCATGTCCCATGGAAATGGCTTGCCCTGTACCACCACCTTGCTCAGTCACCGGCCAGGGCCACTCCTGTGGGATGGTGACATTGGCTGGAAAGCTGAGGTAGGCAAAGGCCAGCTGCAGGCTGTCCACTAACTGCCCTTGTATGGCTGGACAGCAAGTTCTCCCTTGGAGGAGGACCTGAGGACCACATCTGGGATTTGCCACAGCATGCAACATACATTTGCAGATTTTTCCCCTCTTTGTTTTTTACCCATCTCTGATGTCCTACTTCAAGCACCAATCCCAACTATGAGTGCCCCAACTGATAGATGACTCCAGATTCTTAGGAGCGAAGTCTCTGGATGATCTCTAGCTCCCCTGCTCCCCGCTAACAGGGAATTTAGCCCAAAGGAAAGAAAGGAACTCCTGTTTCCCATTGTGACAGAAAATCTTTCTTCTAAGTCCCAACACCAGCTAGCTATGCCACTCTTCAGGACGAAAGATCCCATTAAAACTGGTGGCATGCCTTCAGTTTCCATCAGAAATCCTCACTGGGAGTCAGTGTGGGCTTCATGCAGATCCCCAGGCAGAGGGAGCCTCCACCAGGCTGCAGCCTCCTGACAAAAAAAGGCCAGTCTGCGGTGGCTCACACCTGTAATTCCAGCACTTTGGGAGGCTGAGGCAGGCGGATCACGAGGTCAACAGATTGAGACCATCCTGGCCAACATGGTGAAACCCCGTCTCTACTAAAAATAGAAAAATTAGCTGGGCATGGTGGCATGCGCCTGTAGTCCCAGCTACACAGAAGGCTGAGGCAGGAGAATTGCTTGAACCTGGGAGGTGGAGGTTGCAGTGAGCCGAGATCATGCCACTGCACTCCAGCCTTGGGACAGAGTGAGACTCTGCCTCAAAACAAAACAAAACAAAACAAAACCCCAGTCTGAATGCCATGTTATGGAGATGGAGGAAGATCAAAGTGGAGTCTAGCTGCTACTTGGGGGTAAAAATGCAGATTCGGGGAGTTTGTGAACGTTGGGCATTTAGATTTTCATGATGATTTTGTTTGATGCCAGGTTTTCATTCATTTCATATGATGTGCCTCAAGGCCCTCAAATAGGAAAGAAACCCTCTCTTAAAATGGGAAAATCCAAAAAGATTACAGGTGGAAACAATTGCCTTGTTTTTTCTCTCTGCCTGTCCCCCTTTTAAGGCTTCTGTGACCTATTAGGCTTTGGTTTTTCCGAAGATGTGGTTCAGTTCAAACCCATGTAAATGTGGCTAAACAGTCAGGGCCTAAAGTCTTTCAATGGTCTGTCTGATTAGAAGAGTGCCATGTATGTTCAATGGTCTGAAGACACTAGAGTGATTTGGATGCCCGTTGCATTGGAGAAATGGAATGTTGGAAGTGGAAAGTGCTATGTCTCTTGGGGTAACAGCTTGTGAGTGCAACTAGCAAGGGATGAGGATCCTATCCAGCCAGTCCCTATTTGACAATAAATATGACTTTTTCCATTTATCTTTGCCCCCATGACAATTTTGGCTGACCTTGTCTTTGGAGATGTTTTTCAGCCTAGAGAGCTGGACTCGGTACTTTATTAAACCCAAAGGCCATGCTTCCTCAATGCTCACAAAATGCAGCTGATGATGAGTGTGGCTTATTAGTGAGGGCTATGTGCAGAGAGAGAGGCCCAGTGGCAGACAGAGCTCTGTAATTCTGTCAACATTAATGAATATGAGGCTGTCTTTTTTGGACCACCACAGCTGTCTTCCAACCTGATATATGATATTAATTGTAAAAGAGGGCTTTGTCCTAATTGGGATTTTTGTTGTTTGTTTTGTTTTGTTTTTTGAGATAGAGTCTCGCTCTGTCACCCAAGCTGGAGTGCAGTGGTGTGATCTCGGCTCACTGCAACCTCCATTCTCGTGCCTCAGCCTTCCCAGTTGCTGGAATTACAGGCATGCACCACCACGCCCAGCTAATTTTTGTATTTTTAGTAGAGACGGGGTTTTGCCATGTTGGCCAGGCTGGTCTTGAACTCCTGACCTCAAGTGATCCACCTGCCTTGGCCTCCCAAAGTGTTGGGATTACAGGTGTGAGCCACCGCAACTGACCTGTTCTAATTGTTAATCAGAATTTACTTTTATGGGTTTAAAATGTCTTCATGGGCCTGGTGGGGTGGCTCACACCTGTAATGTCAGCACTTTGGGAGGCCAAGGCAGGTGGATCACTTGAGGTCAGGAGTTTGAGACCAGCCTGGCCAACATGGTGAGACCCTGTCTCTACTAAAAATACAAAAATTGGCTTGGCACAGTGGCATGTGCCTGTAATCCCAGCTACTCGAGAGGCTGAGGGAGGAGAATAGCTTGAACCCAGGAGATGGAGGTTGCAGTGAGCAGAAATTGTGCCACTGCACTCCAGTCTGGGCAAAAGAATGAGACTCCATCTCTAAATAAATAAATAAATAAATAAATAAATAAAATTGTAAAAATGTCTTCAGCAATACAAATAAGGAAGATCTAAGGTATGGAGATCCATTCTACCAAGAAAGAGGTAACAACTATGCCAAAGGGCCAGATGTCAGGACAGGGCCTCAAGTCCTTGCTACCTACTAGCTGTGTGATTTTGGATGGGTCACCCAACTTTTCTTTGCCAGTTTCCTCAACTCTAAAATGTGTGGAGTATAACCTATCTCAAAGGGTTATTGTAAGGATTAAGGGAAGTAATGTATGGAAATGGATTCCAGAGAGAGCAATTTTTGGATTCCTGATATTTAGTGTGCCTAGTGTATCTAGGCTTTCACAGATATCTTGGTTTGTTTTCTGTTGCTATAACAGAATACCTGGGGAGGCTGGGTAATTTATAAAGAATAAGCTTATTTAGCTCACGGTTTTGGGAGCTGAGAAGTCCAACAGCATGGTGTCGGCATCTGGTGAAGGCCTTCTTGCTATGTCATAACATCGCAGAGGGCGTCACATGGCGAGAGGGCAAAAATGTGCATGTTATCTCAGGTCTTTCTTCCTCTTGTTATAAAGCCACCAGTCCCATAATAGGACTCTGCCGTGATGACGTTATCTAATCCTAATTACCTCCTAAAGGCTTCACCTCCAATAAACATATGAATTTGGGGATTTAGTTTCCAACACATGAAATTTGGAGGACACATTCAAACAATAGCAACAGATATGTCAGAATTTAGGACTTCATGGGGTACAGAGCTGACAAGTGCTATAGGACTGAGATGTATAATTTAACCTACTTCTAGCTTCTCTGCAAGCATGAGTGACAACTAAGTTTGCTGTTAATATTTACAGTGGAGTCACATAAACCCAAAGACACCATGGTGTGAGTGGGCCCCTTTTTCTAATTACTTTGTTGTAATGTTGGTTTTCTTTTTCCCTTTCTCATTTCTCCTCTCAAATTTACTCTTTCTCTGATTAGGCCATATGGAGTCCAATCTAATCACTCTGATTGCATGCTCAGAATCCAGATTGTGTGAACTTCTTGTGATGCTTTATGAATGTGTAAATTGGCCACAGAATTGGTGTGAATCTGATGTGAATCACTACAGAATGATTCACAAACCAATTCTGAGTGGTCTGGAAATGCAAATCTTTGTTACTTTATCTAATATTTTTTCCTGAGGACCTGTTATTTTCCTAGCACTGTATTATACATGCATTATTTTAATCTTTGCTACAAATCTATTTTTGAATTCTCATTGCACAACTTTACCTTGTTTAATGGCCTTTATTAATTTTCCTCCATTCTTTTTGTTTTCCTTTTAATTGCACTTATTTTAATGCTGAATTTACTCCCGTGCCATAAGTTTTTGTTTCTTCAGTTTCTTCTGGGATATCTTTTTCTTCTGGGCAACCTCCTCTTCTGGTTTAGGAACAATCTGTTCCTTTTCAGTAAGGATCATCTCAGTGTGGCAGAGAGAGCTCACGTATGGGTTAATCCGACCATAAGCCCTGTAGGTCCAGTGGCATATCTTCGGTGCTTTGTTCACTTGGATATGCTCAATGACCAGAGAATCTACATCTAAACCCTTAAGTTCACCATTACTCTCTGCATTTTTTAGCATGTGCAGCAAAAATTTAGCACTCTTTTTGGGCCACCGACCTTGTGTCCAACCCCACTGTTTGCCAACTTCATTACTGTAACATTAGAATGGTACGCACTGTTTCTGTAAAGTGACATCTTTCAGAGACTTCGTGGCTTTTCGTATATGCACACTCTTGATGGCCTGGGCAGTTTCACAAGTGTTTTTTGAGTGGAACACGAGGAACTCTTGGATCACAACTATGAATCGCATACCTTAAAGTGAACACGAATATTGGAACCTCTTGATTTGCGTGATTTTGTGGGGTTCTCGAGGTCAAGTGAATAGTGAACCTTTTTCACAGATTACCTTGGGCCGCTGAGGGAAAGAGGCTCCATTCTTTTTTGTGTGGAATATCTTCCTTTAAAAAGCCTTTTGCTGTCCACTCCCTGCCCACAAGAGATTTTCTGCTTTTGGCTTCAATTCACATTTTGATAATATTGTAAGGACTCTTGCATCTTTATAGAGATTTTTTTTTTTTTCCGAGACGGAGTCTCACTGTGTTGCCAAGGCTGGAGTGCAATGGCACGATCTTGGCTCACTGCAACCTCCGCCTCACAGGTTCAAGCAATTCTCCTGCCTTAGCCTTCCGAATAGCTGGGATTACAGGCACCTGCCACCATGCCCGGCTAATTTTTATATTTTTAGTAGAGATGGGGTTTCACCATGTTAGCCAGGCTGGTCTAGAACTCCTGACCTCAGGTGATCCGCCTGCCTTGGCCTCCCAAAGTGCTGGGATTACAGGCATAAGACTCCTTGCCGGCCTGGAGATTTTTTTTTTTAAACATGTTTAATCTACTGTTCAGTCCATTGACATCTTCCTTTTCTGAAGAAAAGTGTTCCTTTTTTTTCCTTTTGTAGAGATGGGGTTTTGCCATGTTGCTCAAGCTAGTCTTGAACTGCTGGGCTCAAGCAATCCACCCACCTCCGCCTCCTAAAGTGCTGGGATTACAAGTCTGAGCCACCGTGTCCTGCTGAAAATGTTCCTAAGAATAAAATCGTATTGATTACAGGTTCCCCCAAACACTTCAATAAATTCTGGGCCAGGACTTAGGCCCCCATATCCCACAGAACCATTAACCAATCCTGGGGTTCTTTAAAGGAAAGAGAGGTACAATCCACACCTTTTTTTGTGGGGAAAGGTGGCTCCTCTAAGCCCTGTTTTGAGGTTCTGATGTTTCTTGTCATCATGAGCAAAAAGGCAGCCTCTCTGCACCTGTACAAACTATTTTTAGATGCTCCTATTCTAAAACCTAGTTCTTCATTCTCTGTGGTTTTGGTTCTTCTCTGCAGGGAATGACCTTCATTTATTTCTGTTCCTATGCTCCCAATTCAGTTTATTTGATGAATGTTTCCAAAGGTTCAATGGGTTTCAGTCTAAATTTGTCCCGGAGGCTCTAGAGATGTCCAGCTGGACAGTGGGCCCCACTGAGGACATCTGTCCCTGAGCTGGAGGCACGGCTTCCCATGGAGGCACCGCTACGCGGCATCCACACTTCCCACAGCACATCGGCTTCCCGAGGCCGCCACCCAACCCTGGTTACCTAGACCCAAACAGACCTGGGCGCGAGGCAGGGAGGCCGCAGGAGAGTTAGAAGGGCGAGAAGCCTGGAATGCAGTCAGAGGCTGGGCCTGGGAGACCTAGGCAGGGGTGCAGCCCCAGCCCTGGGCTGACATGCAGACAAGGCCTGGGACTTAGGGGACCCAAGACAGGTGAGCGTGGCCTCCTCACCGGAGTCAGGGTTCCGGGTTACCTAGAGGGGAGGCCGGGCAGGAGCAGCAGGAGCAGCAGGAGCAGCAGGAGCAGCAGCAGGAGCAGCAGGAGCAGCAGCAGGAGCAGCAGAGACTCTCTCTGCCCAGACTCTGGCCAGGGTGGGGGCCCTGGAACTCTGGCTTTATCCCTGGCCGGCGCCTCCCGGCCAATCCCAGCTGAGGCTGCCTGTGTGTCACAATGGGGCGCCTGTGGCGTCACGCTGGCCCGCCCCACCCCGTGTGCTCGTCTGGAACCGCCCGTCCTACTTGCTGCCCCATCGCGAGAGTCCTTCCTCTCCAGTTCGGTCCACCACCTGCCCCCATGCTCGATCCTCTGTGGAACCAGGAGCTGTCCCACACCTTATAGAGGCATACCTGGGATGACGGACAATGACTTGCCCGGGATCACTTTGCCAATTGGAAAGGAGGAAAAGTCCCACACCCGTGGCGCTGTCTCCGGAGGGTGCTGCGTCCAAGAGGCCCACCCGCAGGGATGAGCCTGAGTGCGCGAATCCAAGCACGAGAAGGGAGCTGGGAATCTCCCGGTGGCTGGGGACCCCTGCTCCTTCTAGAGCCTCTGCCTCTAGGTCTTTAATAAAGTATATACAATGTGAGTATCAAATGCCTTTAAAAGCAGATTTTCTTAAAAAAAAAAGTAGCTATATGTTATCATGAGATGTGATTCATATACCATACAAAAATAGCTAACGTTATATTGAGATAGAACTCACATGCCATAAAATTCAGTGGCTTTTAATATAGTCACAGTTATGCAGCCATCACCAAAATCAATTGCAGAATATTTTTATCATCCCAAAAAGAAATCTTAACCGTCACCTCCCAATTCCCATGAATTAGTCAGAATTATCCAGATAAAGGAAACCAATAACACATATATGCATTTGAATTGGCTCTTGCAAGTCCTAAGATCTCCAGGGTCAGTCAGCAAGCTGGAGACCAGGAAGAACTGATGGTTTTGTTCTAGTCTAAGTCCAAAGGCCTGAAAGCTAGGAGAGCCACTGGTGTAATTTCCATCTGAAGGCCAGTGGGCTCAAGACCCAGGAAGAAGCAATGTTACTCAAGGGAGGGTGGGGTTTTTTGTTCTAATCAGGCCCACCCACATTTGCAGTTGGCTTTACTCAGTCTACTGATTTAAATGCTAATCTCATCCAAAAACACCCTCACAGACACACCTGGAATAATGTTTGACCAAATATCTGGGCTCTCTGTTCCCCAGTCAGGGTGACAAATAAAATTAACCAACGCATCTGCCAGTTTCTACAGCCAAAGGCAACCACTAGTCTACTTTCTATCTTTATGGAATTGCCTGTTTTGAGTATTCCATGTAAATAGAATCATACAGTACATGGCCTCTCGGCTCACTGCAACCTTCGCCTCCCAGGTTCAAGCGATTCTGCCTCAGCCTTCCAAGTAGCTGGGATTACAGGCATGTGCCACCACGCCCAGCTAATTTTGTATTTTTAGTAGAGACAGGGTTTCACCATGTTGGTCAGGCTGGTCACAAACTCCTGACCTCAGGTGATCCACCGCCTCAGCCTCCCAAAGTGCTGGGATTACAGGTGTGAGCCACCACGCCTGGCCACATTTTATTTTCCATTCATCAGTTGGTGAATATTTGGGTTCTACTTTTTGGCTTTTTTTTTTTTTTTGAAAGAGTCTCGCTCTGTCACCCAGGCTACAGTGCAGTGGCACGATCTCAGCTCACTGCAACCTCTGCCTCCTGGTTCAAGCAATTCTGGTGCCTTAGCCTCCCGAGTAGCTGGGAGGCGCCCACCACCATGCCTGGCTAATTTTTGTATTTTTAGTGGAGACAGAGTTTCGCCAGGTTGGCCAGGCTGGTTTCAAACTCCTGACCTCAAGTGATCCCCCACCTCGGCCTCCCAAAGTGCTGGGATTACAGGCGTGAGCCACCGCGCCTGACCTTTGCTTTGTTTTTTTTTTTTTTTTTTTTTTTTTTTTGAGACTGAGTCTTGCTCTTTTGCCAGGCTGGAGTGCAGTGGCACGATCTCCACTCACTGCAAGCTCTGCCTCCCGGGTTCAAGTAATTCTCCTGCGTCAGCCTCCCGAGTAGCTGGGACTACTGGCGTGCACTACTACACCCAGCTAATTTTTGTGTTTTTAGTAGAGATGCGGTTTCACCACATTAGCCAGGATGGTCTCGATCTCCTGACCTCGTGATCTGCCCACTTCGGCCTCCCAAAGTGCTGGGATTACAGGCGTGAGCCACTGCGCCCAGCTATGCAGGAGCTTTTCGAAGTCTTTATTTCTCCATGTTTCTCTTTCCCCAGCCTCTTCCCTCCTAGGTGCTCTGGTGTGTCTGCTTCTGGCCCCATCTGTTTTCCCTTGCTCCAGGTGGCTACAGCTGGCATATGCCTTTAAATCCTTTCGACAAACACTGCTGGGAAGGTGGTTCCAATGCTGAAAGTTCTGAGGGCGATGAAACAAAGGCAAGCCTCTGAGTCAGTCCCTCTGGTTGCTGCCAGACTGGTCGAAAAATACAACCACAGCTTTTTGAGAACAAGGACCTTATTGGCCTCTCTGGCACAAGCAAGCTGCCCAAGGAATGTGGGCCACCATCTCCATAGCTGCTTTCTGAACTGGGGATTGAGAGGTGATTGGGGGTTACATTGAAATGCCACAATATCTCTTACCAAAATTTAGCTGCTTCTTTCTTCATTAACCAGACCCTCAGTGGTTGTTTTTTATTATCCCAAAATTCAGGAAAAGTAAATTCTGACATTTTTTTTGCCAGTTTAATTGTTGCTTTAGTGGAGGGATGGGTTTTGGAGTTCTCTAGTCCACCATTTTCAGTGACATCATTTCTTTAACATTCTTAAAAGCCCTCCTAGTCACACCCATACATCATTTTGAGGTATCAGTGAAGGGTCTTATAGCTTATAATGGACCGAAATTTATTAGCTCACCGTTCTGGAGGGCTCCAGGTTCTGGCAAGGGCCTACTTGCTGTGTCGTCCCATAGTGGAAGGGCAAAGAAAGAGTGAGAAACAGAGAGAGAGTGAGTGCAAGAGGGAGCTGAACTGGTCCTTTTATAAGGAACCCGCTCCCACAGTAATGAATCTTTTCCTCTAAGAATGGCATTAATCCATTCATGAGGGCGGAGCCCCCGTGACCCAAACACCTCCCATTAGGCCCTGCCTCCCAACATTGCTGCATTGGGGATCAGGTTTCTAACACATGAACTTTGAGTGTTGGACACATTCAAACCATACCATCAGGTTTTAAACTATCATTTTATAGACCTAATATATTTTCTTGAGTGCTATGTTCACTGACAATCAGAATTCTTCCCTACTTGTCTCTTTTTTCATTGAGGGTGGGAGGACTAAGTAATAAAAACACCTCCCTTCCTCTATTCAAGTCCCTATTTCCTGCCACTATTTCTGATACTATTCTGGTTTTCCAACAGTGGATCCTGCGGGTGGAAGGATAATGTTTTTCTTATAAGGACACCAGTTATATTGGGTTAAGGCCCACCGATATAATGGCCCTTGTTCCAAATACAGTCACATTCTGAGGTGCTGGGGATTAGGACGTCAATATATGAATTGAGAGGCGGGGGACACAATTCAGCCCGTAACATACAGGAAGAGGGTTTTGTGCTGCTGGATACCACTGTTGAGGCTGGAACGCAGATCCATCTACTGTAACTCATGTGCTTCTTTACTTTTTCATTGCCTTTTCAGCATCTGAAATTCTACTTTGAATCATTCATTCCTTTTTGTTTGGTTCTTATCTCTTGTATAAAGGGATCCCCTATGAGCTGAGCACTCTTCTGTAAGAGTTAGCTTAAACTGGCCAGGTGTGGTGGCTCACGCCTGTAATCCCAGCACTTTGGGAGGCTGAGGCAGGTGGATCACCTGAGGTCAGGAGTTCAAGACCAGCCTCAACATGGAGAAACCCCGTCTCTACTAAAAATACAAAATTAGCCAGGCGTGGTGGTACGTGCCTGTAATCCCAGCTACTCAGGAGGCTGAGGCAGGAGAATCGCTTGAACCTGGGAGGTGGAGGTTGTGGTGAGCCGAGATTGCACCATTGCACTCCAGCCTGGGCAACAAGAGAGAAACTCTGTCTCAAAAAAAAAAAAAAAGAGTATAGCTTAAACAACAAAAATATTCTGCCCACATGGATAATTACTAAGTGTGACCTCAGCCACTGTGGGGATAACAGGAAACTCACTTTACACCATGTCCTAGCATCGGCCTGTGACGTAAGCCTAATTATGGCTGGGTCCTCAAGGACACTGCCTCGACAGAACACGCTAACGTGAAATTTGCATGCTGAAACCTTTACATATTCAAACCTTCCAACTAGCTCTGTGTTTCCATTCTTCGATATGAGAAGAAAACCAAGGACTATGACACATCCCAAGGAAGTGTCCATAAAAGAAGGAGATCAGCAACCTTTGCTGGGTCTCAGAAAGGTAACCCACGCCAAACTCTGTGAGGAAGATGGAGTGGCAGAGAAGGTTGCACATGTGTGGCGGGGAGTGGGATGGAGGAAAGAGCAAAATACAGCATCCTATTTTGAAATATGGAGCTATGAGACCGGGCGCAGTGGCTCACGCCTGTAATCCTAGCACTTTGGGAGGCCAAGACGGGCGGATCACGAGGTCAGGAGATCGAGACCATCCTGGCCAACATGGTGAAACCCCGTCTCTACTAAAAATACAAAAAATTAGCTGGGTGTGGTGGCGGGCGCCTGTAGTCCCATCTACTCCTGCCTGTAATCCCTGATACTTGGGGGGCTGAGGCAGGAGAATGGCATCAACCCGGGAGGCGGAGCTTGCAGTGAGCCGAGATCGCACTACTGCACTCTAGCCTGGGCGACAGAGCAAGACTCTGTCTCAAAAAAAAAAAGAAAGAAAGAAATATGGAGCTATGTACCAAAAGAATCTGCAAGGAAGGCCGGGTGTGGTGGCTCACACCCGTAATCCTAGCACTTTGGGAAGCCGAGGCGGGTGGATCACGAGATCAGGAGTTTGAGACCAGCCTGACCAACATGGTGTAGTGGTGCAATATTGGCTCACTGCAGCTTCCACCTCCTGAGTTCAAGCAATTCTCCTGCCTCAGCCCCCCAAGTATCAGGGACTACAGGCAGGCATCACCACCCCCAGCTAATTTTTGTATTTTTAGTAGAGACGGGGTTTCACCATGTTTGTCAGGCTGTTCTCTAACTCCTGACTTTAGGTGATCCACCCACCTTGGCCTTCCAAAGTGCTGGGATTACAGGCATGAGCCACCACGCCCGGCCGACATTTTTTTCTTTATAAATTATCCAGTCTCAGGTGTTCATTTATAGCAACACAGGCCAAGACAGCCCCTATTCAGAAATGTTTCCCATTGTTCTTCCCCAGCTTCATTTGAATCTCAGGGGAGTGGAAGTGCAGACATGGGTGCAGACAAAACACACACAGAGAGGGAAAAGCATCAAGAGTTTGGGAGATGGAAGACGATTCAGTGCTGTTCTTGCCAGTGACTTTCCCGTGTGGCAGGGCGTTCAGCTCCCTGCTCTGCTTTCGTCTTTTGTCATACTTATTTGGTGGCTTCGATCCATCCATTCTAAGATTTGTTCTCCCTGTGCCATTTGCTGTCCAGTCATCATTTGTGCTGCTCGCCTGGCGGGATTTTTCTCCGTCTCTTACTCTGGTGGAGTATTTAGCCAGACCCTGTTCCATGTTGAGCCGTGGGGGGTTCAGGAGGGGAGCATTTGGGCTAAGAGCCTGCAGCACACCAAGAGCTGTGGGGCTTTCCCTTCAAGCATCCGGAAAGGAAGTGCTGGGATTAGGCTGGAGCCCATCAGGCCCAGAGGCCAGAGACAGGAGGGGAGGCATCATTGCCCAGTGTATCAGTCACACCTGCTGTCCCCAACCCTCACCCAGCAGGGGTTTGGTGCTGCTCACTCTTGTTAACACCCACATTAGTAGCCTGTGCCTGTGCCACGGATTCCTGCTGGCAGGGGGAGGGGCAGGCAAGGCTGTCCCACGGCATGGCTGAGCAGAGCCCAGAGCAGAACAGAACTCTCTCTCTCTCTCTTTCTCTCTCTCTCTCTCTCTCTTTCTCTCTCTCTCTTTCTCTCTCTCTCTCTCTCTATATATATATTTTTTGAGATGGAGTCTCGCTCTGTCGCCCAGGCTGGAGTGCAGTGGCGCGATCTCTGCTCACTGCAAGCTCCGCCACCCGGGTTCACGCCATTCTCCTGCCTCAGCCTCCCGAGTAGCTGGGACTACAGGCGCCCGCCACCACGCCCGGCTAATTTTTTTGTGTTTTTAGTAGAGATGGGGTTTCACCTTGTTAGCCAGGATGGTCTCGATCTCCTGACATTGTGATCCGCCCACGTCGGCCTCCCAAAGTGCTGGGATTACAGGCATGAGCCACTGCGCCCGGCCAGAACTCTATATTTGTTTTTTAGAGATGTGGTCTTGCTATCTATATCGTCCAGGCTGGAATGCAGTGGCTACTCACAGGCATGATCACAGATCGCAGCTCACTGAAGCCTTGAACTCCTGGGCTCAAGTGATCCTCCTGCCTCAGCCTCCTGAGTAGCTGGGACTACAGCACTTACCACCATGCCTGGCTCTAATATAATAAATGTTGGCGGCAGCTCTGACAAGTGCTGGAGCGGCTCCTAGCCCCACCCTCCCAGAACACAAGGGCGACTCTGTGGCCTTTTCCTTGCTCTAAGCCTCAGCCTTCGGTCTACCTGACCACCATGCCTGCTCCCAGAAGCCATGTTCTAAGCTCTCCTCTGGCGAGGTGCCTCCCAGGCTCAAGCAGCTTCCAAGTCCCCATTGACTCTGGTCCAAGTCTCAAACACATCCATAGCCCTGGGTTTGCTGGCTGGGGTTTCATGGCACTGCCTGGCCTCTCCCTCCCAGTCTGGCTTCCCTTTTCCTGCGGCCCACCACTCTCCCTGCATCTGTCACACTCGTCTCCATACACCCCTGCTGAGACCCCTTCTCTCCTGGCCCACCAGTCAGAATGGAAGTTCTACTGTCCTCCAACTTTTGAATTCCAACCTGGCCTTTACTCAAGCCCACGCCGGGGAGCTTTTCCTGACTAGGAACTCCTTGAGCCTAGCCTTATACCGAGAATTCCCTGCGACCTCCACAGACTAAGTGCTGATGTAATATGAAAGTTGTGCAGTTGTCATCCCACGGACTGTTTGTAGCTCATTGCAGGACCAGGCCCTGCTCAGCCCGAGGAGCAGTGTTGAATGGTGGGAAAATGGGTCAAGGTTTAGGACTCTGGTTTGGCTCCTCCCACTACCTACCATGTGTTCTTGGACAAATCTCTTCTTCTCTCTTGGTCGTGGTTTCTGCATCTGTAAAGTCGGGGCAGAGAGAACTGATTGAATCAGGTGTTCTTGTCAGCCTGTACGTTATAAGTACTTGGGGAGTTTCAAAAAACAAGATAAAACTGAATATCCCAACTACAACTCCAGACCATTAAAATCATTTCATAATTTTATGAGGGTAGAGCCAGACATAGTTTAAAAAATATTCCCGGCCAAGCGCAGTGGCTCACGCCTGTAATCCTAGCACTTTGGGAGGCAGAGGCAGGTGGATTACCTGAGGTCAGGAGTTCAAGACCAGCCTGGCCAACATGGTGAAACCCCATCTCTAGTAAAAATACAAAAAATTAGCCGGGCATGGTGGCAGGCGCCTGTAGTCCCAGCTCCTCGGGAGGCTGAGACACGAGAATCGCTTGAACTGGGGAGGCGGAGGTTGAAGTGAGCCGAGATTGTGCCACTGCACCCCAGCCTGGACAACAGAGTGAGACTCCATCAAAAAAAAAAAAAAAGAAAGAAAAAGAAAAAATGTTCCCAGGTGATTCCAGTATGCAGCTAGCTTTGTGAACTATGAGAATAGTCTCCAGACCCTTCCAGCTTTCCCGGTCTCCAGATTAACATCTTTGCTGGAGGAGGCCGAGTGACCTAGAGGGCCCTACTTATTCTGAACTCTTGCCGACTGAGCCCTATGTAGATACCAAAACCCCTGCAGCACTTCCGGTAGCAATAGAAGGAGCAGGTTAAAAGCAACAACAGGAACAATGATGAGAGTGATGATGACAGCTGGTTTTTCCAGCTTCTCATGGGTCTCACTTTTCCTCCACTCCCTCTAAAGGGGACACTGCAATTGACCATCCAGATCCCCTTTGGAAAAGAAACATTTCTTGGCCACACTGCTGGGAATGCTGTTGGCAGACAGCCTTCAGCCGTCAGGCCTCTCCAAACGTGCCTCCACCCAACCACACTCTCATTTCCTTCAGCAACACACGTCCAGGATGGGGATAAACATACGGGGTTGGCTGAGGCCTTCGCTGAATGCAGCCAGTTTCTGCCTCTTCCTGATCCTGCTTCGTTCTCTTCTCTTCTGCAGGTGGCGATCACAGGGCACGCCCTAAGAAACCTGCACACTAACCTCCCTCTCAGACACTGCTTCTGGAGAGCCCAACCTGTGACCGCTGGGTCAGGAGGGGTCTGAGGAAGAAGATGCTAAGATGGGATTCTGGCTCTGGATCACCCACTGCCTAGCTGCTGATAAGGATCCTTTTGCTGGGGGTAGATGGAGCGGGTACATGCCCCCGCACAGAGCAGAGGTACTATTGTTCAAACTGTCACTGCTGGCAGATGCAGAGGTGGAAGGGAATGTACCAGCAAATGATGAATGTGGGGGAGTCAGTCATTGTCAGGAGAGTGGGACTGGAGTGGCTGCAGCTAAGCAGAGCCTGATTAATCAACAATTTAAAGCTAAATGAGAAAGTAACAGGGTTTCCTTGGGAGCATGTAAAGTGGCTGAAGGATGGAGAAAGCTGAGGCCCAGGCCCAGGCCCAGGTCTTAATTGCGAGTAACTGCGCCCAAAGAGGGGGAACTCCGGTGGGGCACGGTGGCCAAGCACTTTGGGAGGCCGAGGTGGGAGGATCACCTGAGGTGGAGAGTTCGAGACCAGCCTGACCAACATGGAGAAACACCATCTCCACTAAAAATACAAAAAAATTAGCTGGGCGTGGTGGCGCATGCCTGTAATCCCAGCTACATGGGAGGCTGAGGCAGGAGTATCGCTTGAACCTGGAGGCGGAGGTTGCAATGGGCTGAGATCACGCCATTGTACTCCAGCCTGGGCAAAAAGAGCAAAACTCTGTCTCAAAAAAAAATAAAAATAAAAATAAAAAAGATAAGAAGAGGAACTCCCCATCTGAACAGGCCTGCCACACCAAGGTCATGAGCTGGTTGGAAAACAATGAGGACTATGAAACATGGATGGGGCTAGATGCACCCTCAAATCCTGAATCACCAGATTTTCCCAAATCCTCCAAGTCTGCCGAACTGGCTCCCCCCTCCCTATTTAGGAAGCATTCTTCTCTCGCTTGTAGGCAGTGCAGAGGCCACTCCCCTGCAAAACCACATCACCCCCCTCAGCTCTTCCTCCACCTCACAATCTGGCCAGTAGGCCACTAACGAGGGTTAAGTCACAGTGTGTCCCAGCTGGGTATGTGCTAGTCTGAAAAGGGAGGGATGATCCTTTGCTCCAAAGAAGCTACAGGACCTAGTCTCCATGGACCAGCAGGGATGGGGAGAGTCCTCATGGGGCTGGATCTGAGGGCCTGAGTCAAGGGCAGGGAGAAACAAATTTGGAAGATGAGAACTTCCTCAATTTGGAAGCACTCCCCCGGGATATAAGATTTGTCATCCTGAAACGGACTCCAGAAGTTGGTACAAACATGTAACTTTGGCTGGGCGCGGTGGCTCACACCTGTAATCCCAGCACTTTGGGAGGCTGAGGCGGGCGGATCACGAGATCAAGAGATCGAGACCATCCTGGCCAACATGGTGAAACCCTGTCTCTACTAAAAATACAAAAATTAGCTGGGCTTAGTGGTGCACACCTGTAGTCCCAGCTACTTTGGAGGCTGAGGCAAAAGAATCGCTTGAACCTGGAAGGCAGAGGTTGCAGTAAGCCAAGATCACGCCACTGCACTCCAGCCTGGCGACAGAGCAAGACTCTGTCTCAAAAAAAACAAAACTAAACAAACCATGTAACTATATTGGCACCTAGAAGCATGGTAAAAGGAATTACCCAAACTAAGTGAAGTTAAAAAGGCCTGCATTGCCAGAGACAGTGGGAGAAGGGATGAGAAGTTTCAGTGACATGGGCATGCTCAGATGGATGATGCTGTGTAAGGCTGGTAAACCCACCAGGTGAGGTCACACCACAGAGGCCCCAGAAGATTCACCACTTACCAAAGCAGCCAGGCATGTGCTGGGGAGGAATCCCAGCACCACAGGAATGTTGGAGTACCTCTCTTCAGAGGGCCGGGGCAGAGGTAGGAGATGCCTGTGCAATGGCAATGAGCAGGCCCCAAAACCCTTGAGACCAGCTGGTAGCATAAAACCACGTGAGTGCAAGCATATCAGTAAATGGAAGAGCAGAGTGACAGCCAAGGGGTCATCGTATAATGATAAAAGGCCAATTCAGTAGGCATATATAATAATTATAAATATATAAGCTCAATATCAGAGTACTTCAATATATAATACAAGTTTTGACAGATCTAAAGGGAGTAATTAACAGTAATACAATAATAGGAGGGGACTTCAATACCCCACATACATTAGTGCATAGGGCATCCATACAGAAAACCTATAAAAAGCTGGCTCAGGCCGTGCGCGGTGGCACACACCTGTAATCCCAGCACTTTGGGAGGCCGAAGCAGGCGGATCACCTGAGGTCGGGAGTTCGAGACCAGCCTTACCAACATGGAGAAGCCCTGTCTCTACTAAAAATACAAAGTTAGCTGGGCGTGGTGGCGCTTGCCTGTAATCCCAGCTACTCAGGAGGCTGAGGCAGGAGAATCACTTGTACCCGGGAGGCGGAGGTTGCAGTGAGCCGAGATTCCGCCACTGCAATCCAGCCTGGGCAATGATTGAAACTCTGCCTCCAAAAAAAAAAAAAAAAAAAAAAGCTGGCTCTAACAACACTATAGATCATAGATCAGTACCTAACAGACGCACGCAGAGCTCTCCACTTAACTGCAGAATACAATTCTTCTCAAGCATACATGGAACACTTTCCAGAATAGATCACATGTCAGATCACAAAACAAGTCTTAACACATTTAAGAAGGTTGAAATCATTACAAGCATCTTTTCTGACCACAATGAAATGAAACTAGAAATCAATAACAGCAAGAAAATGGGAAAAGTCACAAATACATGGAGATTAAGCAACATACCCTTGAATAATCACCAAGTCAAATAAATCAAAAGGGAATTTAAAAATATTGTTGAAGGCCAGGCGCAGTGGCTCACGCCTGTAATCCCTGCACTTTGGGAGGCCGAGGCAAACAGATCACTTGAGGTCAGGAGTTTGAGACCAGCCTGATTAACATAGTGAAACCCTGTCTCTACTAAAAATACAAAAATTAGCTGAGCATGGTGGCACATGCCTGTAGTCCCAGTTACTCAGGAGGCTGAGGCAGGAGAATTACTTGAACCCAGGAGGCGGGGTTGCAGTGAGCTGAGATGGCACCACTGCACTCCAGCCTGGGTGACAGAGATTCCATCTAAAAATAAATAAAAATTTAAAAATATGTTGCTGATGAAAAACCCAAACTCTGTAAAATATTTGAAGAAATTTATTCTGAGCCAAATGTGGGGACCATGACCCATGATACAGCCCCAGGAGGCCCTGAGAACATGTACCCAAGTTGGTTAGGTTACAGCTTGGTTTTATGCATTTTAGGGGGACAGAATTTATAGACAGACACCAATCAGTACTTGTAAGGTATACATCGGTTTGGTCTAGAAAGGCAGGACAACTCAAAATGGGGCACTTCCAGGTCATAGGTGGATTAAAATGTTTTCTGATTGGCAATTGGTTGAAAGAGTTATTATCCAAAGACCTGGAATCAATAGAAAGGAGACTCCAGGTTAAGATAGGTCCTGGAGACTGGCTGGTCGTGGTGGCTCACGCCTATAATCCCAGCACTTTGGGAGGCCGAGGTGGATCACCTGAGGTCAGGAGTTTGAGACAAGCCTGACCAATTAGGTGAAAGCCCATCTCTACTAAAAAGACAAAAATTAGCCCAGCATGGTGGTATGTGCCTGTAGTCCCAGCTACTTGGGAGGCTGAGACAGGAGAATTGCTTGAACCCAGGAGGTGGAGGTTGCAGCAGTGAGCTGAGATCAAGCCACTGCATTCCAGCCTGGGTAACAGAGTGAGACGCCATCTCAAAAAAAAAAAAAAAGAAAAAAAAGAGGTCCTGGAGACCAAGGTTCTTATTATGTAGATGAAGTCTCATAGGTGGCTACCTGTAGAGGCAATAGATGGTAAATGTTTCCTATTCAGACCTTTAAAAGGTGCTAGACCCTCAGCTAATTTCTTCAGGATCAGAAAAAGACCTGGAAAAGGAAGGGGATTCTTTACAGAATGAGAAATTTCCCCACAAGAGACAGCATTGCAGGGCCATTTCAAAATATGGCAAAGAAATATATTTTGAAGTAAAATATTTTAATTTCTTTCAGGGCCTGCTATCTGTCATGTGATGCTATACTAGGGTCAGGTTAGAATTTGGTGTCAAAGTTTTATTGCTGCAAAGACTGTTTTGTCAGTCTTAAGATCTCTGTTTTAATGTTAATGCTGGGAGTTGTGCCTGAATTCCAAAGGGAGGAGGTCATAATGAGGCATGTCCAACCCTCTTCCATAATGGCCTGAACTAGTTTCTCAAGTTTAGTTTGGAATCCCCTTGGCTGAGAGGAGGGATCCATTCAGTCAGTTGTGGGGCTTAGAATTTTATTTTTGGTTTACAGTATCTCAAGACACATAAAAAAACGTAACACAACATACTAAGAGGAAAGTTTGTGGTGATAAATGCCTATATGAAAAAAAGAAGAAAGGTCTTAAATAAGCAATTAATGTAACACCTAAAGGAACTAGAAAAAGAACAAACTAAAATCAAAGTTAGCAGAAATAATAATAAAGGTTAGAACATAAATAAGTCAAATAGAGAATAGTGTTAAAGGACCAAATTGGAGTCTGCTTGCCTGGCACAGTGAGGTCAAACATCTGTACTGAGGTTTGCATAGGGAGAAAGGAGGGAGGGCATTTATTTGCAGGGTGCCAAATAAGGAGAATCCGGCAGCTCATGCTTAAGACCCGACCTCCCTGATGGCTTGCATGCAAGAGTTGGGTTTTTTTTTTTTTTTTTTTTTGAGACAGAGTCTCGCCCTGTCACCCAGGCTGGAGTGCAATGGTGTGACCTCGGCTCACTGCAACCTCTGCCTCTCAGGTTCAAGCGATTCTCCTGCCCCAGCCTCCCAAGTAGCCGGGATTACAGGCGGGCGCCACCGTGCCCAGCTAATTTTTTGTATCTTTAGTAGAGAAGGGGTTTCACCATGTTGGCCAGGCTGTTCTCAAACTCCTGACCTCAGATGATCCACCCACCTTGGCCTCCCAAAGTGCTGGGATTACAGGCGTGCACCACCATGCCCAGCTAATTTTTGTATTTTTAGTAGAGATGGAGTTTGTCATCTCATGCTGAGAAGATTAACGACACATACACATGAGTGGGTTAAGGAGAGGAAAGTTTATTTATTTTTTCTTTTATTGTATTTCTTTTATTTTTTTGAGACAGAGTTTCACTCTTGTCACTCAGGTTGGAGTGCAATGGCATGATCTCGGCTCACTGCAACCTCCACCTCCCAGGTTCAAGAGATTCTTCTGCCTCAGCCTCCCGAGTAGCTGGGATTACAGGCATGCGCCACTACACTCGACTAATTTTGTATTTATTTATGTATGTATGTATGTATTTATTTATTTATTTTAGTAGAGATGAGGTTTCTCCATGTTGGTCAGGCTGGTCTCGAACTCCTGAATTCAGGTGATCCGCCTGCCTTGGCCTCCCAAAGTTCTGGGATTATAGGCATGAGCCACTGCGCCCAGCCTATTTTTTTTTTTTTTTTTTTTAGACACAGTCTTGCTCAGTTGCCCAGGCTGGAGTGCAGTGGCGCAATCTCGGCTCACTGCAAGCTCCGCCTCCCGGGCTCACGCCATTCTCCTGCCTCAGCCTCCTGAGTAGCTGGGATTACAGGCGCCTACCACCACACCTGGCTAATTTTTTTTTTTGGTATTTTTAGTAGAGACGGGGTTTCACCATGTTAGCCAGGATGGTCTCAATCTCCTGACCTCGTGATCCACCCACCTCGGCCTCCCAAAGTGCTGAGATTACAGGCATGAGCCACTGTGCCCGGCCGCCCAGCCTATTTTTTATTTTTATTTATTTATTTTTTTGAGATGAAGTTTCACTCTTGTAGCCTAGATGACACGATCTTGGCTCATTGCAACCTTTGCCTCCTGGGTTCAAGCGATTCTCCTGCTCCAGCCTCCCAAGTAGCCGGGATTACAGGTGCACGCCACCACACCCAGCTAATTTTTTGTATCTTTAGTAGAGACGGGGTTTCACCATGTTGGCCAGGCTGGTCTCAAACTCCTGACCTCAGGTGATCCGCCCACCTTGGCCTTCCAAAGTGCTGGGATTACAGGCATGAGCCACTGCACCCAGCCTCAATGGCATTCTTTACAGAAATAGAAAAATATCCTAAAATTCATATGGAACCACAAAAGACCTCAAATAGCCAAAGCATCCTTGAGCAAGAAGAAAAGCTAGAGGCATCACAATTCTTGTTTTCAAAATATATTACAAGAGTTCATAACCAGCCTGGGCAACATAGAAAGATCCTGTCTCTGCAAAAAATTTAAACTGGGCATAGTGACATGCACCTACAGTCCTAGCTACCCAGGAGGCTGAGGTGGGAGGATTGCTTGAGCCCAGGAGTTGGAGGTTACAATGATCACAGCTCTGCATTCCAGCCTGGGTGACAGAACAAGACATTATCTCAAAAACAAAACAACAACAAAAACCCAAAATATATTACAAAGCTACATTAATCAAAATAGTATGGTACTGGCATAAAACAGACATATAGACCTATAGAACAGAATAGAAAACCCAGAAATAAATCCACTAATCTATGGTCAACTTATCTTTGACAAGGATGCCAAGAAAACACAGTGAGGAAAGGATTATCTCTTCAGTGTTGGGAAAACTGGATATCCACATGCAGAAGAATGAAACTGGAACTTTACCTCACATTATGTACAAAAATCAACTAAAAATAGATTAAAGACAAAAACCTAAGACTGGAGACTACAAAACTATTAGAAGAAGAAAACACAGGGGTAAGCTTCTTGACATTGACCTGGGTAATGATTTTTTTGGACACGACACTAAAAGCACAAGCAAAAAGGCAAAAATAGACAAGTGGACTGCATCAAACTGAAAAGCTTCTGCACAGCAAAGGAAACAAAAGAGTGGAAAAGGCAACCTATGGGATGAGAGAAAGTATTTGAAAACCATGCATCTGATAAGGGGTAAATAAATATCCAAAATATATAAGGAACTCATACAACTCAGCCAAATAAACAAAAAAACCCAAATAACACAATTTTAATTTTTTAATTTATTATTTTTGAGATGGAGTCTTGCTCTGTTGCCCAGGCTGGAGTACAGTGACATGATCTTGGCTCACCGGAACCTCCACCTCCCAGGTTCAAGCGATTCTCCTGTAGTTGGTTCAAGCCTTCCGAGTAGTTGGGATTACCAGTGCCTGGCTAATTTTTTTATTTTTTAAGTAGAGATAATTTCACCATATTGGCCAGGCTGGTCTTGAACTCCTGACCTCAGACTATCCACCCGCCTTGGCCTCCCAAAGTGCTGGGATTACAGGCGTGAGCCATCGTGCCTGGCCACAATTCAGTTTCTAAATGGGCAAAAGACCTGAATAGACATTTCTCAGAAGAAGACATACAGGCCAGGCATGGTGGCTCATGCCTATATCCCAGCACTGTTGAAGGCCAAGGCAGGCAGATGGATCCCTTGAGCTCAGGAGTTGGACCAGCCTGGCCAACATGGTAAAACCCTGTCTCTACTGAAAATACAAAAATTAGCCAGTGTGGTGGGACATACCTGTTTTCCCAGCTACATGGGAGGCTGAGGCAGGAGAATTGCTTGGGCCCCAAAGGTGGGGGTTGCAGTGACCTGAGATCATACCTCTGTACTCCAGCCTGGGTGACAGAGTGAGACTCCATCTCAAAAAAAAAAAAAAAAAAGAAGACATACATACAGTAGCCAGTAGGTATATGAAAGGGCACTCAACACCACCAATCATTAGGGAAATACAAATCAAACCCACAATTAGGTATCACCTCACACCTGTTAAAATGGCTATTATGAAAAAGACAAAAGAACATGTTAGTGAGGATGTGGATCTAATGTACAGCAATGTGAATGTAGTTAACAATAGTATATTAAAGACTTGAAATGTGCTAAGTTGGTAGATACAACAACAAAAAATACTCTAGAAAAAATCAAACACAAGAAACCGCAGTTAATGAACTAATTGAAGGAGGAGAGAGATGTAGGGCATATGGAAAACAAATAGCAAAATGTCAGAAGTTATTCTTTATAGGCCAGGCGCAGTGGTTCACGCCTGTAATCCGAGCACTTTGGAGGCTGAGGCAGGTGGATCACTTGAGGTCAGGAGTTCGAGACCACCCTGGCCAATATGACGAAACCCCATCTCCACAAAAATACAAAAATTAGCTGGGAGTGGTGGCATGTGCCTGTAATCCCAGCTACTCAAGAGGCTGAGGCATAAGAATCGCTTGAAACTGGGAGGCGGAGGTTGCAGTGAGCCAAGATTGCACCACTGCACTCCAGCCTGGGCAACAGAGCAAGATCCTGTCCCCCGAAACACCTGCCCCAGAAAAAGGGCTGAGGCAGGAAGATTGCTTGAGCCCAGGAGTTCACAGTTACAGTGAGCTATGGTCACACACTTCACTCTAGCCTGGGTGGCAGACCAAGACCCTGTCTCAAAAAAACCAAAACCAACCAAACAAAACAAACTAACTTTACCACAGACAAATTGGAACATTACATACAGATGGTCCCCGACTAAAATGATTTGGATAAAATTTTCAAGTTTATGATGGTGGGAAAGCAGGACACATTCAGTAGAAACCATACTTCATACTTTTGATTTTTAAAAAAATTAAACAAAAATATTTAGTGGCTGCCAGGACCCCCAGTGCAGGGCACGGTGGGCCTGGCCAGAGCCGCGGATTAGAGGCCCTGTTTTTCACTTTCAGTACAATATTCAATAAATTACATGAGATATTCAACACTTTATTATAAAATAGGCTTTGTGTTAGATGATTTTGTCCAACTCTAGGCTAATGTAAGTGTTCTGAGCTTGTTTAAGATAGGCTAGGCTAAACTGTGATGTTTAGTAGGTTCAGTATATTAAATGCATTTTCAACGTACCAAATTTTCAACTTACAATAAGCTTATCAGGATGTAATCCCATTGTTTAAGTTGAGGAGCATCTGTATTGACAAAATTCATCCAGAAGAATAACAATTATAAATAATATATGTACCTAGCAACAGAGTCCCAAAATACATGAATTGAAGGGATAAATATAAAGCTGTTAATAATAGTTGGAGACTTCAGTACCCCACATTTAATTAATTAATTAATTTATTTATTTATTGAGACGGAGTTTCGTTCTCGTTGCCCAGGCTGGAGAGCAATGGTGAGATCTCGGCTCACTGCAACCTCCACCTCCTGGGTTCAAGAGATTCTCCTGCCTCAGCCTCCAGAGTAGGTGGGATTACAGGTATGCGCCACCATACCCGGCTAATTTTGTATTTTTAGTAGAGACGGGGTTTCTCCACGTTAACCAGGCTGGTCTTGAACACCTGACCTCAGGTGATCTGCCCACCTCAGCCTCCCAAGGTGTTGGGATTACAGGCGTGAGCCACTGTGCCCGGCTCCACCCACTTTTAATAGATAGAACAATTAGAAGAGCAAGAAGAAAATAGAAGGCTTGAGCATCATTATGAATCAACTAATAGACACATTTAGAACACTCCACCCAACAACAGTAGAACACATATTCTTCTCCATTCTAGAATTAGAAATGAAGGACTAGAATGAATGGGGACGTTACTACCAACAAAAAGGATTATGAAGGAATACTACGAACACTTAAGTGCTAACAAATTAGGTAAGTTAGATGAAATGGGCAAATTCTTAGAGACACACAAATTACCAAAACTGACACAAGAAACAGAAAATATGAATAAACTTATAACAAGAGATTGAATTAGTAAACTACCCACAAAGGAAAGCCTAGTCCCAGAGGGCTTTACAGGAAAATTCTCCTGAACATTTAAAGAAGTAATATAAATTCTTTACAAACTCTTCCAAAAGACAGAAGAAGAGGGAACATTTCCTAGCTCATTCTATGAGGCCAGTATTACCCTGCTACCCAAATCAAAGATATCACAAGAAAAGCAAACTACAGATCAATGTCTAATCTAAATATAGAGGAAAAAAATCCTCAACAAAATCCAGAGCAAACCACATTCAGCAAAATGTAAAAAGAGCTATATGACATGCCTAAGTGGGATTTGTCCAGGGAATATCAGGCTGGTTTAAAATCCCAAAATCAATTAATGTAAGACACCATATCAATAGAATCTAAAAAATCCAATAGACATGGAAAAAGCATTTGACAAAATCCAACACCCTTTCACAATAAAGTCTAGGAAAGGGAAGTCAGCATCCAACAGTCTTGGAATAGCGTGGGATTTTTATTTTTATTTTTATTTTTATTTATTTTTTTATTGATCATTCTTGGGTGTTTCTCGCAGAGGGGGATTTGGCAGGGTCATAGGACAATAGTGGAGGGAAGGTCAGCAGATAAACAAGTGAACAAAGGTCTCTGGTTTTCCTAGGCAGAGGACCCTGCGGCCTTCCGCAGTGTTTGTGTCCCTGGGTACTTGAGATTAGGGAATGGTGATGACTCTTAACGAGCATGCTGCCTTCAAGCATCTGTTTAACAAAGCACATCTTGCACCACCCTTAATCCATTTAACCCTGAGTGGACACAGCACATGTTTCAGAGAGCACAGGGTTGGGGGTAAGGTCATAGATCAACAGGATCCCAAGGCAGAAGAATTTTTCTTAGTACAGAACAAAAAAAAAGTCTCCCATGTCTTCTACTTTCTACACAGACACAGCAACCATCCGATTTCTCAATCTTTTCCCCGCCTTTCCCCCCTTTCTATTCCACCAAACCGCCATTGTCATCATGGCCCGTTCTCAATGAGCTGTTGGGTACACCTCCCAGACGGGGTGGTGGCCGGGCAGAGGGGCTCCTCACTTCCCAGTAGGGGCGGCCGGGCAGAGGCGCCCCTCACCTCCCGGACGGGGCGGCTGGCCGGGCCGGGGGCTGACCCCCCCACCTCCCTCCCGGACGGGGCAGCTGGCCGGGCGGGGGGCTGACCCCCACCTCCCTCCCGGACGGGGTGGCTGCCGGGCGGAGACGCTCCTCACATCCCAGACGGGGCGGCGGGGCAGAGGCGCTCCCCACATCTCAGACGATGGGTGGCCGGGCAGAGACGCTCCTCACTTCCTAGATGGGATGGCGGCCGGGAAGAGACGCTCCTCACTTTCCAGACTGGGCAGCCAGGCAGAGGTGCTCCTCACATCCCAGATGATGGGCGGCTGGGCAGAGACGCTCCTCACTTCCCAGACGGGGTGGCGGCTGGGCAGAGGCTGCAATCTCGGCACTTTGGGGGGCCAAGGCAGGCGGCTGGGAGGTGGAGGTTGTAGGGAGCCGAGATCACGCCACTGCACTCCAGCCTGGGCAACATTGAGCACTGAGTTAACGAGACTCCGTCTGCAATCCCGGCACCTCGGGAGGCCGAGGCTGGCGGATCACTCGCGGTTAGGAGCTGGAGACCAGCCCGGCCAACACAGCGAAACCCCGTCTCCACCAAAAAAATACGAAAACCAGTCAGGCGTGGCGGCGCGCGCCTGCAATCGCAGGCACTAGGCAGGCTGAGGAAGGAGAATCAGGCAGGGAGGTTTGCAGTGAGCCGAGATGGCAGCAGCACAGTCCAGCTTCGGCTCGGCATCAGAGGGAGACCGTGGAAAGAGAGGGAGAGGGACACCGTGGGGAGAGGGAGACCGTGGGGAGAGGGAGAGGGAGGGGGGAGGGGGAGGGAGAGGGAGCGTGGGATTTTTCTAAAGGGCACCTTAAGAAAAGCCTACAGCTAACATTGCACTTAATAGTGAAAGACAGATGTTTTACCCCAGTCCTAAGATCAAGAACTTAGAAGACCATCACTTCTTTTAAACCTTGTAGTAGAGATTTTAAACAAAAACAAGAAATAAAAGTCATCTAGATTGGAAAGGAAGAAGTAAAACTATCCCTATTCCAGATGAATCCACAGGATATGCAGAAAATCCTAAGGAATCCACTAAAACGTTTTAATTCCACAAGTTTGCAGGATAAAAGATTGCTATGCAAAAATCCATTGCTTTTTTTTTTTTTTTTTTTTTTTTTTTTTCAGACAGATTCTCACTCTGTCGCCAGGCTGGAGTGCAGTGGCGTGATCTCAGCTCACTGCAACCTCCGCCTCCCAGGTTCAAGCAATTCTCCTGCCTCAGCCTCCCGAGTAGCTGGGACTACAGGCGAGCGCCACCACGCCCAGCTAATCTTTGTACTTTTAGTAGAGATGGGGTTTCACCATGTTGGCCAGAATGGTCTTGATCTCTTGACCTCATGATCCGCCCACCTCTGCCTCCCAAAGTGCTGGGATTACAGGCATCAGCTGCTGCGCCCAGCCAAATCCATTGTATTTCTACATACTAGCAATGGGCTGGGTGTGGTGGCTCACACCTATAATCCCAGCACTTTGGGAGGCCAAGGAGGAGTGCTTGAACTCAGCAGTTCACGACCAGCCTGGGCAACATAGCAAGATCCCATCTCTTAAAAAAATGTTAAAAAAAAGAAATTAAAAATAAAAAAATATATACTAGCAATGAATAATTCAAAAATAAAATTAAGAAAATAATTACATTTTAAATATCCTCAAAATAGTAAAGTACATAGGAATAAATTTAATAAGAGAGGTATAAAATTTATACTCTAAAAACTACAAAATTTCATTGAAAGAAATTTAGAAAGACCTAAATAAAACTTTCCACGTTCATGGGTGGGAATATTGTTAAGATGTTGGTACTTCTGAAATTGATCTAGAGAATCAATGCAATCCTATCAAAATAATGACTGGATCCTTTGAGGAAACTGACAAGCTGGTTCTAAAATCTGTGTGGGTACTCAATGCAGCAGCGTAGCCAAAACAATCTTGAAAACAGAACAAAGTTGGAGGACTCATACTTCTGGATTTCAAAATTTACTATAAAGCAACAGTAACTAAGAGACGGTGGTACTGGCATGAGGATAGACATATAGATCAATGGAATAAAATTGAGAGTCCAGAAATAAATTCATGTATCTATGGTCAACTGATTTTCAACAGGGCTGCAAAGACCATTCAGTGGAAAAATAATAGTCTTTTCAACAAATGGTTCTGGGATAACTGGATATCCACATGCAAAAGAATGAAGTTGTATGCCCACTTCATGTCATGTACAAAATTAAGTCAAAATAGACCAAAGACCAAAATGTAAGAGCCCGAACTGTAACTCTTTTAGAAGAAAACATAGGGCTAAGATTTTGTGAGCTTGGATTCTTAGATATGATGCCAAAAGCATAAACGACATAATAAAAAATAGATACATTCGGCTTCATGAAAATTAAAAACTTCTGTGTTTCAAAGGACACTACCAATAAAATGAAAAGACAGCCCACAAAATGGGAGAAAATATTTGCAAATCATATACCTGACAAGGAATTCATATCTAGAATATTGTGTTAGTCCTTTTTGCACTGCTATAAATAAATACCTGAGACTGGGTAATTTACAAAGACATCTATTTGGTTCACAGTTCTGCAGGCTGTACAAGCAGGCAGCCGCATCTGCTCAGCTTCTGAGGAGGCCTCAGGAAGCTTACGATCATGGCAGAAGGCAAAGAGGGAATAGGCACATCACATGGCAAGTGGGAGAGTGGGAGAGAGGCGAGGAGGTGCCAGGCTCCTTTTAACAACCAGTTCTCTAGTGAACTAACAGAGTGAGAACTCACTTATTACCATGGGGAGGGCACTGAGCCATTCATGAGGGATCTGCCCCTGTGACCCAAACATATCAAATATATAAAGAACTCTTACAATGCAATAATAAAAAGACAAATAACTGGATTTTTAAAATAGACAAAAGATCTGAAATTTCCCCAAAGAAGATATACAAACTGGCCGGGCGCGGTGGCTCACGCCTGTAATCCCAGCACTTTGGGAGGCTGAGGTGGGTGGATCACCTAAGGTCAGGAGTTCGAGACCAGCCTGGCCAAAGTGGTGAAACCCTGTCTCTACTAAAATACAAAATATTAGCCGGGCCTGGTGGTAGATGCCTGTAATCCCAGCTACTCAGGAGGCTCGGGAGGCTGAGGGAGGGGAATTGGTTGAACCCAGGAGGCAGAGGTTGCAGTGAGCAGAGATTGCACCACTGCTCTCCAGCCTGGGCAACATGAGCAAAACGCTGTCTCAAAAAAAAAATGTATATATATATATATATATATACACACATATACACACACACAAACAAACTGCCCAACGCCCATGGAAAGATGCTCAGTATCAATTGTCATCATGGAAGTCTAAATCCAAACCACATTGAGATGCCACTTGACACCCACTAGGATGGGTATAGTAAAAAAAGACAAGTCATAACAAGTGTTGGCAAGAAGTTGGAGAAGTGTTGACAAATGAAACCCTTAAATGCTATTGGTGGGAATGTAAAGTGTTGAAGCCCCTTTGGGAGATAGACTGGCAGTTCCCAAACTAAACAGTGTCACCATTTGACCCAGCAAATCCACTTAGATTATATCAAAAAAAATGAAAATATATATGCACACAAAAACTCTTACCTAAACATTCATGGTATGTTCACGGTAGCCAAAGATGGAAACAACCCAAATGTCCATCAGCTGATTACCAAATGTGGTGTATCCTACACTGGAATATTCTCCAGCCATGAAAAGGAATGAGATACCGATCCATGCTCCAACATGGATGAACTTTGGAAGCACATGCAAAGGAAAGAAGGCAGTCACAGAGGACCATGTGTACACTCCATTTATGGGTGTGTGTGTGTGTGTGTGTGTGTGTGTGTGACGGAGTTTCATTCTTTCGCCCAGGCTGGGGTGCAATGGTGCAATCTCAGCCCACTGCAACCTCCGCCCCTCGGGTTCAAGTGATTCTCCTGCCTCAGCCTCCCGAGTAGCTGGGATTATAGGCACCCACCATCACCCCCAGCTAATTTTTGTATTTTTAGTAGAGATGGGGTTTCGCCATGTTGGCCAGGCTGGTCTCGAACTCCTGAACTCGGGTGATCCACCCGCCTTGTTCTCCCAAAGTGCTGAGACTACAAGCGTGAGCCATTGCGCCCAACCGACTCCATTTATATGGAAGTCCATAATAGGCAATCTTAGAGACAGGAAGTAGATTAGTGGTGTCTAGGGCTGCAGTGGACGTGGGGGATTTGGGAATGACGACTAATGAGGACAGAGTTCCTGTTTGGGGTGATGGAAATGTTCTAGAATTGATTGTGTTGATGGTAGCTCTGCTCTGTGAATATATTAAAAACTATTGACTGCTCACTTTATGTTGATGAATTGTATATGAATTATATCCTTTTTTTTTTTTTTTTTTTTTTTTTGAGACGGAGTTTCGCTCTTGTTGCCCAGGTTGGAGTGCAATGGTGCGATCTTGGCTCACTGCAACCTCTGCTTCCCAGGTTCAAGCTCTTCTCCTGCCTCAGCCTTCCAAGTAGCTGGGATTACAGGCATGCGCCACCACGCCCAGCTAATTTTATTTGTATTTTTTAGTAGAGACGGGGTTTCTCCATGTTGGTCAGGCTGGTCTCGAACTCCCGACCTCAGGTGATCTGCCCACCTCAGCCTCCCAAAGTGCTGGGATTATAGGCGTGAGCCACAGCGCCCGGCCTGAATTATATCTTAATAAAGCTGTGACATGACCTGGAACCCCTAGGGTCCTGCTGAACCCAGTCTCCCGCTGTCTGCCACACTCAAAGCACGCCTGCCTTCCATCTAGCCGTTGCTCCTGTCTTCTTCCTACAGTGCCACCTGCCCAGAACCGCTCCACGGTCCATGGAGATCGGTTTACTTCTCTTTTCGCCTGCTTCCGCAGCCAAGACTCAACTCCCTCCCATCCATGAGTTCTCTTGGAGTATCTTTGTGTAAACAAGGTCTCAGTAACTAAATCCTGTTTCCATCTCCCTGCATCAGTGTTCTCTGGCTGGGTGGGCGGAGCTCCTTTGGCTCGGTCCTGCTGATGTCCTTAAAGGCCTCAGCCCGTGGAGTCAAAGCCTGGGGCCAGCGGCTGCAGGATTCTAAACACTGTGAGTGCTCAGTTGCGCAGCTGGGTGTGGGACTGTGTGACGGCAAGAAGCATCCAAAGGTGGACGTGGCCAGGGATGGGAGGAGCCATCGGAGAGGTGGTAAGGACAGCGACCGAGTTCCCCGAGAGAGGCGAGTCTTAGTAATTCGGGAATTCAGCCCCCACGACTGTGGTGAGTGAGGAGGAAGAATGCGGAATTGAGAGATGGAAAATGAGGCAGGCACTGGCCCCAGCCCTGGAAAGCCGTCCCTTCTCCTGTTCTGAAAGCCGACTTCTCCCACCTGGACGTGCACCCCATCTCCCCGGGAGGCCCCGGAGCCTGGCTGCAGTCCGTCTGTCTGCCTGGCTCGCCGCCATGGCTTTGCTCACCCCTCTCATCTTTGCCATGTTATCTCTACACTTAGGATTTGTGGTTTGTCTTGTACACTAATAAACGGCAACTCTATTAGGACATGAACAGTGGCTTTAAAATTTTTCTGACTCCATGACTCTCTTCATGGTATATTGCACACAGAAAGCCACTGGTAAATATCTGTTGATTGAAGCACCTCAAAAATCCAGAAATAGAGCTGTGTGCAGAGTGAGTACTTAATTCATTCAGCCATTCAGCAAGTATTTATTCAATGTCTATTATGCATGGGTGTGGTCACTGCCATGGACACAGAGACCACTATCCTGAACAAAGCAGACAAAATATTCATCCTCGCCAGGCTCACGCCCATAATTTCAGCACTTTGCGAGGCCAAGGCCAGAAGATGGCTTGAGCTCAGGAGTTTGAGACAAGCCTGGGCAACATAGAGAGACTCCGTTTCTAGAAAAAGTACAAAAATTAGCCAGGCATGGTGGTGTGCGCCTGTCATCCCATCTACTCAGGAGGCTGAGGTGGGAGGACGGCTTGAGGCCGGCAGGTCAAGGCTGCAGTGAGCTATGATCTCACCACTGCACTGCAACCTGAGAGACAGAGCCAAACCCTGTCTCAAAAAAAAAGGTTCGGCCGGGCGCGGTGGCTCACGCCTGTAATCCCAGCACTTTGGAAGGCCGAGGCGGGCGGATCACGAGGTCAGGAGATGGAGACCATCCTGGCTAACACAGTGAAACTCCATCTCTACTAAAAATACAAAAATTAGCCGGGCGTGGTGGCGGGAGCCTGTAGTCCCAGCTACTCGGGAGGCTGAGGCAGGAGAATGACGTGAACCCGGGAGGCAGAGCTTGCAGTGAGCCGAGATGATGCCACTGCACTACAGCCTGGGCGACAGAACAAGACTCCGTCTCAAAAAAAAAAAAAAAGGTTCATCATGATGGCACTTAAATTTCAGTGATGTGTATGTTTCCCCCACACATACACTAATGAAGGAGGGGAGGTTCCTGGAGAGCAGTGAAGGACTTTAAATATTCATGACTATGTCGTGTCTTACCTTAAGATGTTCGAGGCGGTTATTGAACTAGCCATTAGAGGGCACTCCAGGCACCGAGGGAGGAATAAGCCTGTGCTTGATTTTCCAGCCCCTGAAATTGGTGACCCGGGTTGGGCGCAGTGGCTCACGCCTGTAATCCCAGCACTTTGGGAGGCCAAGTGGATGGATCACCTGAGGTCAGGAGTTCAAGACCAGCCTGGCCAATATGGTGAAACCCTGTCTCTACAAAATATACAAAAAAAGTACCTGGGTGTAGTGGCGCATGCCTGTAGTCCCAGTGACTCGGGAGGGTGAGGCAGTAGAATCACTTGAATCTGGGAGGCGAAGGTTGCAGTGAGCCGAGATCGCGTCACTGTACTCCAGCCTGGGCAACAACAGTGAAACTCCGTCTCTAAATAAATAAATAAGTGATGGACATCCCATTTACCTCCTTGCCCCTTGGTTTCTATTCCCAAATCCTGGGCTTCAGTTTGATCTTGGACAAGCTTTATTCTTTGGGTCATGGGTTCCCTATCTGTAGAATGAACATTTTGGATGGATGATTTGTGAGGTCACACATGGGTCAGATTTTCTTTTTTTTTTTTTTTTTTTTGAGATGGAGTCTTGCTCTGTCGCCAGGCTGGAGTGCAAAGGCGAGATCTCGAGATCTCAGCTCTCCACAAACTCCGCCTCCTGGGTTCAAGTGTTTCTCCTGCCTCAGCCTCCCGAGTAGCTGGGATTACAGGTGCGTGCTACCACGCCTAGCTAATTTTGTGTTTTTAAGAGACAGGGTTTCACCGTGTTGGCCAGGATGGTCTCAATCTCTTGACCTCGTGATCTGCCCACCTCGGCCTCCCAAAGTCCTGGGATTACAGGCGTGAGCCTCTGCGCCCAGCCCTGGCTCAGATTTTCTAGGGTTCAAATATTCGCATGTGGGGGGATCTTTTGTCATACTAATTCATGCATTTCCTGGGTCTTTGAGATTTTTGAAATCAGATAAATCCAATGCACAGGCTCATGTCTGTAATCCCAGCACTTTGGAAGGCCGAGACAGGAGAATCACTTGAGGTCAGGAGTTCAAGACCAGCCTGATCAACATGGTGAAACCACTTCTCTATTTTAAAAGAATACAAAAAGCGGGCCGGGTGCGGTGGCTCATGCCTGTAATCCCAACACTTTGGGAGGCCGAGACAGGCAGATCACAAGGTCAGGAGTTCAAGACCAGCCTTGAACTCCTGTCAACATGGTGAGACCCCGTCTCTACTAAAAATACCAAAAACTAGCCAAAATCTCTACTAAAAATACCAAAAATTAGCCGGGTGTGGTGGTGTACACCTGTAATACCAGCAACTCAGGAGGCTGAGGCAGGAGAATTGCTTGAACCCGGGAGGTGGAGTTTGCAGTGAGCTGAGATCGCGCCATTGTACTCCAGCCTGTGCAACAAGAGCAAAACTCCATCTCAAAAAAAAAAAAAAATACAAAAAGCCAGGAGTGGTGGCTCACACCTGTAATCCCAGCACTTTGGGAGGCTGAGGCAGGTGGATCACCTGAGTTCAAGACCAGCCTGGCCAACATGGTGAAACCTCATCTCTACAAAAAATACAAAAATTAGCCAGGCGTGGTGGTGCATGTCTATAATTCCAGCTACTTGGGAGGCTGAGGCTGGAGAATACTCGGGAGATGGAGGTTGTAGTGGGCTGAGATCATGCCACTGCACTCCAGCCTGGGTGATAGAGTGAGACTCTGTTTCAAAAAAAAAAAAGTAGGCCAGGTGCGGTGGCTCACACCTGTAACCCCAGCACTTTGGGAGGCCAAGGCGGGTGGATCACGAGGTCAGGAGTTCGAGACCAGCCTGGCCAACATGGTGAAACCCCGTCTCTACTAAAAGTACAAAAATTAGCTGGGTGTGGTGGCGCACGCCTGTAATCCCAGGTACTCAGGAGGCCAAGGCAGGAGAATAGCTTGAACCCAGGAGGCGGAGGTTGCAGTGAGCCGTGATCCTGCCACTGCACTCCAGCCTGGGCTACAGAGTGAGACTCTGTCTCAAAAAAAAAAAAAAAAATGATGCACAATATATTGCCAGGCTCAACAATCCACAGCCACTCCAGGGGATCCCCAGAGCCCCAGGCCACCCGTGGTGTGGGCTTTAGCAACTTTGACCCGCACTCTGCTCTGGTGCCCTCTCCTGGTCAGACCCTTCTGCTCAGGGCATCATGCACGGCTGGGGGGCCTCAGCCCTAGAGGAGCAGTTCAGAGATTAACCCACTTCAGTGTAGAAGCTCCCCCACCTCCCAACAGAGGCACTATGTCTCTTGGTGGAAAAACAAATTTCACTGTCATTTTCTTCCAGCCCTCTCCAACCCACAGCCTAACTTGGTCTCCAGTTAAATGACTGTCTTCTGGAAGCCTGTACATAGTTTAAGATGGGTCTCTGCAGATACACTCCCAATTCCTTGGACTTTCTGCTCATTGGCAGTGAAGCTCTGGGAAGGCAGAGGAGAGGTGAGCAGTGCCTACAGGAAACCCTGCCAGGAGTTCCACAGGCTGGCTGGCTCTGCAGCTCCTCTGCACCCCAGATCATCCCAGGGCCAGGTAACAGACAACTTGGGACACTCTACACCGCAGAGCCTGCGGAAATTATTCAAACTAACCAACCCTAAGCCTACTCACCTTGCCTTGCCCATTCCTTCCAGAGAAAACCCAATAAAGCCTTTTATCCACGCCTTCCCCTCGCTCCTGCCTTCTGGCCAACCTCAATGCTTCTCTGCATGGCCCTGCATGGGGTGGCGTGCTCCCTCCTCTTGAGAACTGTAACTTTTTTTTTTCTTTTTTTTTTTGTGGTGGGGTCCTCACAGTCTCACTCTGTCACCCAGGCTGGAGTGCAGTGGCACAATCACAGTTCACTGCAGCCTCCACCTCCTGGTGCAAGTGATCCTTCTGCCTCAGCCTCCTGAGTAGCTGGGACTACAGGCACGTGCTACCACGCCTGGCTAATTTTTGTATTTTTGTAGACAGAGGGTTTTGCCATGTTGCCCAGGTTGGTCTTAAACTTCTGGGCTGTCTCAGCCTCCCAAAGTGCTGGGGGTGAGCTACCATGCCTGGCCAAGTAATTAGCTTTCTTTTCTTTTCCTTTTTGAGATGGAGTTTTGCTCTTTTGCCCAGGCTGGAGTGAAGTGGTACAATCTCAGCTTACCCCAACCTCCTCCATCCCCCGGGGTTCAAGTGAGTCTCCTGCCTCAGTTTCTCGAGTAGCTGGGATTACGGGCACCCACCACCAAGTCAGGCTAATTTTTGTATTTTCAGTAGAGACAGGGTTTTGCCATGTTGGCCAGGCTGGTCTCAAACTCATGACCTCAGGTGATCCACCCACCTTGGCCTCCCAAAGTGCTGGGATTACAGGCATGAGCCACCGTGCTCAAGTAACTAGTTTTCAATGGCAAATGTCTCCAGATCTGTAAGCCTTGCCATATCTGTATAAAAAGCAACTACCAGGTACATTTTAAAACACTGATCATCATGGCATCCTTGGAGCTGTGTTCTGGGAGAGGAGTATGCAGGAGCCCTCCTGGAGCTCACTTGGAGGGGGGCCTCTGGGCCAAGTGACTGGAGCAAGCAGAGGGGAAAGACACCCCTCTTCACTTTACCCATCATGGATGGTTAACCTCAGAGACCATTAGGCCCAGAATGAGCCCCAGAGTGACCTTAATCCCCTTCATTTGCACATGGGGTTAATGAGACTCAGAAGGGAAGGGAGACACCAACTGCAGAGACAAAGTGACCATTTGGGCTGCAAACCTGCCGTGTTGACTCTGATTAGCTCCAGTCCCAGGAATGCCTCCTGATTCCTACACTTAATCAGGAACACCATGGAACACTGGTGTTCCATGAAAGGGCCTGGACTTAATTTCCTGTCCTTAGTGTGAGAACGTGTCAACCCTGATGTTATCACACAAATTCTAGGCTATGATGCACAGCATTCCTGCCTGCTCTGGATTGCTGCCATTGTCTCTGTAGAGCAATGCACACTTTCTCCATGGTGTACAAGCCCTGGGTCTGGGAGTGTGGACACCTGTCTTGCTGTCACCCAAGACCATGCTTCTGCCTTAAATTCCCCAAATAAACCACCCTTTGCTGACACACTGGATGTGTGTGCCTTGTTCTTTGGTTTCTCAGCTCCTTCTGCGTTTGGGGCTGCTTTGCGTATGTGGCCCTTTCACAGAGCACCAGTGTTCACACAGCACATGGGAAATATGATCTCATTGCTCTCCTTGCCACCCCCCCCCCACTTTTTTTTTGAGATGAAGTCTCGCTCTGTCACCCAGGCTGGAGTGCAGTGGCGTGATCTCAGCTCACTGAAACCTCCGCCTCCCAGGTTCAAGCAATCCTGCCTCAGCCTCCCAATAGCTGGGATTAGAGAGATGCACCACCACCCCCAGCTAATTTTTGTATTTTAGTAGAAATGGGGTTTTGCCATGTTGGCCAGGCTGGTCTTGAACTCCTGACCTCAGGTGATCCACCCGCCTTGGCCTCCCAAAGTGCTGGGATTACAGGCATGAGCCACTGCAACCAGCCTCATTGCCCCTTTCTGACCTGCTCATAGCCTAAGCCCAGGCTAAAAGTGAAACAGGAAAACCAGTCCCCATTCTTCACCCCACAGAAGCCTGGGAGCTAATCCTGATGTTGTAAATGGGATATGGGGAACCTGAGGTGATGGGGAGAGAGTGTTGAACAAGCCTGACTCTGTCCAAGCCAGGCACAGGACCAAAGGACCTGAGTCGCTGACGTCAGAGAGTGCTTTACTGGGCTTCTCAGTCTTGTGTGACCCTGGGCAGGTTTTTCGTCTGGTCCTTTAGGCTCCGAATAAATGATGGCAAAAACTTGGTCTCCAAATTCTATGATGACTTCACCAGAAGATTCGTATAAGGATGTTCATAGCAGCTTCATTCATAGTATCCCCAAACTGGAAATATCCCAGGATTCCACCAATAGCAGAATGAAAAGCAATCTGTGGTCAGGCACACAATGGAACACTGCTCAGCAATAAAAGCACCGCTGGCACACACAGCCTCACGCTGCACAAAAAGAACATAGTTCCCAACGGAGAACATATTGTATGAGCCCATGAATAGGAGGTTCCAGAATAGGCAAAACTTACCCAGAGTGGGAGAAAAGCAGAACAGTGGTGGTCTTTGTGGGGACAGAAGCCTTACCCAGGCAGGAGCAGAGTCGCAGAGCACAGGAGCCATGGATATGGTCCCAGTGAGGATGCACTGCTGGCTGCATGTGCCTGGCCAGGGTGTTCATATCACTGGGGGGGACAGGCTTTGTGCTGGCTGCTCCCCGATGAGTAAATTAACATGTGGACTCACTTAGGTGGAGAAAATGTACTCAGTGAGGCTGTGAGTGCCAAGCGTGTCTTTCCCCTCTCCTGCAAATCCAAACTTACTCATTAGGGCTCTGAGTTTTTGTTCCTAGGCTTTATTTACATTTTCTTCTCCGGCTTGTGCCACGTGCAGTGAACACGTGTCACATTGCAGTTTTCTACAGGGTTCCTCCTTGGAGGTTTTCTTTTTTCTTTTTTTTTTGAGATGGAGTTTGGCTCTTGTGGCCCAGGCTGGAGTGCAATGGCATGATCTCGGCTCACCACAACCTCCACCTCCCGGGTTCAAGTGATTCTCCTGCCTCAACCTCCCGAGTAGCAGGGATTACAGGCATGCGCCACCACGCTTGGTTAATTTTTGTATTTTTAGTAGAGACAGGTTTTCACCATGTTGACCAGGCTGGTCTCAAACTCCCAACCTCAGGTGATCCACCTGCCTCAGCCTCCCAAAGTGCTGGGATTACAGGCATGAGCCACCACACCCAGCGGAGGTTTCCTCTTCCTACTCAGGTGTTCAGTACACAATGCTCTGTCCCACACCCTGGCTTCTATTCCCCTGTTGCCCAGGTGTCCTGAGGCTCTCTGGATGTGTTAGGTCATTCTTGCATTTCTATAAAGGAATACCTGAGGCTGGGCAATTTATTGGATTGGTGCAAACATAATTGCAGTTTTTGCTACTTTTTCTTAATGCAAAAGCTGCAAATTACTTTTGCACCAACCTAATATAAAGAAAAGAGGTTTAAGTGGCTCACGGTTCTGCAGGCTGTACAGGAAGCAGGGCACCAGCATTTGCTCAGCTTCTGGGGAGGTGTCAGAGCTTTTACTTGTGGTGGAAGGGGAAGTGAGAGCAGCATGTCACATGGGGAAAGCAGAAGCAGAGAAAGCATTGCACCAGTGAAGCTGCACACTTAAACAACCAGACCTCAGCAGAACTCACTATCACGAGGACAGCACCAAGCCACGAAGAATCTGCTCCCACGATCCAAGCACCTCCCTCCAAGCCCCACCTCCAACATTGGGGATTACATCTCAACGTGAGGTTTGGGCAGGGACAAACATCCAAACTCTATCATTCTGCCCCTGGCCCCTCCAAATCTTATATTCTTCTCACATTGCAAAATACAATCATGCCTTCCCAATAGTCTCCCAAAGTCTTTTTTTTTTTTAGACAGTGCCTCACTCTGTTGCCCAGGCCGGAGTGCAGTGGCACTATCTTGGCTCACTGCAACCTCTGCCTCCTGGGTTCAAGTGATTCTCATGCCTCAGCAATCCGAGTAGCTGGGATTACAGGCATGCGCCACCGTGTCTGGCTAATTTTTGTATTTTTAGTAGATGCGGGGTATCACCATGTTGGTCAGGCTGGTCTGACCAACTGGCTTCAAGTGATCCACCTGTCTTGGCCTCCCGAAGTGCTGGGATTACAGGCATGAGCCACCATGCCTGGCCCCAATAGTCTCCCAAAGTCTTAACTCATTCCAGCATTAACACAAAGTCCCATGTCCAGGTCCAGAGTTTCATCTGAGACTCATTTCCTTCCTCCATCTATAAGCCTGTAAAATCAAAACAAGTTATTTACTTCTAAGATACAATGGGGAAGTGGGCATTGGGTAAACATTCCTGTTCCAAAAGGGAGAAATTGGCCAAAAGGAAAGGGCTACAGGCTCCAATTAAGTCAGAAACTCAGTAGGGCAGTCATTAAATCTTAAAGCTCCAGGCTGGGCATGGTGGATCATGCCTGTAATCCTAGCACTTTGAGAGGCCGAGGCAGGTGGATCACTTGAGCTTGAGAGTTTGAGACCAGCCTGGACAGCATAGCTAAACTTCATCTCTACATATATATACACACACACATATATATAATATTATATATATAATATATCATATAATATTAATATTATATATTATATATAAACATACACACACATATATTATACATATTATATATAATGTATAAACATACACATATATATTATATATATAAACATACATATATATATATAATCTGGGTATGGTGGTGTGCACCTGTGGTCCCAGCTACTCAGAAGGCTGAGGTGGGAGGATCGTTCGAGCCTGGGAGGTGGAGGTTGCAGTAAGCCAAGATCACACCATTGCACTCCAGCCTGGACAACAGAACAAGACCCTGTCTCAAAATAACAAAAAACAAAAACAAAACAAAAAAAACTTAAACTCTAAAAGAATCTCCTTTGACTCCATGTCCCACATCCAGGGACACTGGCATGAGGTCTGGACTCCCAAGGCTTTGGGCAGCTCCGCCCCTGTGGCTTTGCAAGGTTCAGCTCCCGTCGCTCCTGTCACAGTTTTCTGGGCACAAGGGTACAAGCTGCCAGTGGCTCTACCATTCCAGGGCCTGGAGGACATTAGCCCCCCTTCCCAGAGCTCCACTAAACAGTGCACCAGTGGGGATTTTGTGTGTGGGGCCTCCAACCCCACATTTCCACTATTCCACCTCTTCGGAGGTTTTCTCTTTCTACTCAGGTGTTTGCCACATGGTGCTCTGTCCCACACACTAGTTTCTATTCGCTTGTTGGCCAAAGGTCCTGAGGCTTTCTGGTTGTGTTAGGCCATTCTTGCATTGCTATAAAGGAATACCTGAGGCTGGGCAATACTGTGCTAGTAGAGGTTCTCTCTGAGGGCTCCAGCCCTGCTGTAGGTTTCTGCTTGGGCACCCAGGCTTTCTCATACATCCTCTGAAATCTAGGGGGAAGCTGCCAAGCCTCATTCACTGTTGTACTCTGCCAGCCTACAAGCTTAACACCACATGGAAGCCACCAAGGCTTATGGCTTGCACCCTCTGTGGCTGTGGCCCAAGCTGTCCCTAGGGCCCTTTGAGCCATGGCTGGAGCTGGAGCCTCCCTAAGTGGCACAGGGCACACTTCAGGCTGGGCCCATAAAACCATTCTTTCTTTCTAGGCCTCTGCACCTGTGATGGGAGGAGCTTCCTTAAAGGTCTGTGAAATGCCTTTGAGGCCCTTTTCCCATTGTCTTGGCTGTTAATTAGCACTTGGCTCCCTTTCAGTTATGCAAATTTCTCTAGCAAATGATTATTCTGCAGCCTGCTTTAATTCTTCCCCTGATAGTGCTTTTACTTTTTCTGCCACATGCTCAAGCTGCAAAATTTCCAAACTTTTATGCTCTGCTTCCCTTTTGAATATAAATTTTAAATATAAGTCACAATGGGCCATCTGTGACATCATGCTGGGGCTGCTTGCCCACTTGGCTCCCTCTAGGGAAGTACTCCCAGCTGCCCACAGTCATCCTTCTCCATCCCACTGACCTTCCACCCGTGACCAATCAGGAGATGTTTCCAGTTTATTGGTGAATTTATTAGGGCTCAGAGAGGATGACCTATCCAAGGTCCCACTGCCAACTGAATGTAGGACAAGTCTCTGAACCCAGTGTGCCCCTGCCAGAAAGTAGCAGGGATCACAGAAGTCCAGCAGAGGTCTGCCGCCTTGGACCCCGCCTCTTACACATTGAGTGTGGTTTCTGCAGTGATGGTAAATAAGCCTCGAGCCCTTAATTCCTTAATTTGTTCACTAACTCTATATTTTCCATAAATGTGGCAAACATTTCTCTCAGTTGATCTTTTGTGAGTCTTCATTACAGTGGATTTTTATCTTTGATTTTTCTATTTCTCAGTTTTGACTTTCATTTTGGCAGCAAATAATTATTTTTATTGAGTCCCATTTAGGGTGACTTTTATTAAAGGAAAAATAGAAAGTGATGATCTTATCCCACAGGGCGTTGTTTCCCACAGAATTTATAGCTGGCTGTGTCATGTTAAAAATGAAAATAAGGATAGGCACGGTGGCTCACACCTGTAATCCCAGCACTTTGGGAGGCTGAGGCAGGCAGATCGCTTGAGCCCAGGAGTGTGAGACCAGCCTGGGCCACATGGGGAGACCCTGTCTCTACAAAAGATACAAAAATTAGCCAGGCATGGCAGCACACACCTGCAGTTCCAGCTACTTGGGAGGCTGAGGTGGGAGGTTTGCTTGAGGCCAGGAGGTCAAGGCTGCAGTGTTCACACCACTGCACTCCAGCCTGGGTGACAGAGTGAGACTTTGTCTCAAAAAAGAGATAAATTTTTAAAAATTAAGGTTGTGGGAAGAACACTTCCTTAAATAATACCCTTTAATGCCTATGTTCATAAAGGAATCTGTGTATGGCAGGAAAGAGACAGAGTGACAACACAGAGGTTTACAGGCTCTTTCTGTAAGTGTTGCTCACCATAAATGACCCACCCAAAGCTCATCCAGCTCCTTCTTCTCCACAATTGATCTGAAGTCACCAGGAAGGAAAATGAGCCAAAGTGCATAATGGCTACACCCTAAGAGGGGTTATCAAGTTTCTTTGGCACTGGACTACTTGAATTTGAGCCCCTACTTGTCACTGGCCATCATTTGTGGGCTGAGGGCATGTCTTAGATTCCCACACTCTACATGCAAAGAGGAAGGCAATGGAGCCCAACTCACAGAGGTTCTGTGAGTTTCATGTGGGGACAATAAAATCACTCAGAACAATATGTTGACAAAAAGAGTCAAACTCTGTAAGATATTTGAAGAGATTTATTCTGAGCCAAATATGAGTGACCATGGCCCATGACACAGCCCTCAGGAGGTCCTGAGAACATGTGTCCAAAGTGGCTGGGGTGCAGAAGCCTGGTTTTATACATTTTAGAGATGCATGAGACATCAATCAAATACATTTGAGAAATACATTTGTTTGGTCCAGAAACGGAGGACAATTTGAAGGGGGGTGGGGTTCCAGGCTATAGGTAAATTTAAACATTTTCTGGTTGACAATTGGTTGAGTTTGTCTAAAGACCTGGGATTAATAGAAAGGAAATGTTTAGGTTAAGATAAAAGATTGTGGAGACCAAGGTTCTTTTGATGTCTCATAGTGGCTGCCCTTAGAGACAATAGATGACAAATGTTTCCCATTCTGACCTTTAAAAAGCTGGTAGACTCTCAGCTAATCTCTTCAGAACTGGGAGGGCCTGAAACAAAAAGATCTAGCTATGTTAATAGAGATTCTTTACAGATGCAAATTTCTCCCCCACAAAGGATGGCTTTGCAGGGCCATTTCAAGGTATGGCAAATAAACTTGTTTGGGGGTAAAATATTTTGATTTTCTGTTTTGTCATGTGATGTTATGCCAGAGTCAGATTGGAAAGTAAGTCACGATATATAGGGTTAAATAAAACTCATCTGATGAGAATTTATGGTTTGTAGAGCATGACTCTCCAGACCCTTTAGATAGGAATTTGGGCAAGATAAGAAAAAAATCAGAGCTTAGTCCTCAAATACCTGTGCTCTGTGTTAGCTTTTTAAACATCGATTACATTTTTTAATACAACCCTGAGAGTGGGTCTTAGAGGCACAATTTGCCAAACAAAAGCCCCCTCGCTCTATTCCTTTTGCCCCAGTTCCTCATATGGAGGTGCCATTTGTGGCGTTCACTCATGTTTGTGTCAGGCCTCTGAGCTCAAGCTAAGCCATCATATCCCCTGTGACCTGCACGTATACATCCAGATGGCCTGAAGTAACTGAAGAATCACAAAAGAGATGAAAATGACCTGTTCCCGCCTTAACTGATGACATTACCTTGCGAAATTCCTTCTCCTGGCTCATCCTGGCTCAAAAGCTCCCCCACTGAGCACCTTGTGACCCCCACCCCTGCCAGCCAGAGAACAACCCCCTTTGACTAATTTTCCTTTACCTACCCAAATCCTATAAAACGGCCCCACCCCTATCTCCCTTTGCTGACTCTCTTTTCGGACTCAGCCCGACTGCACCCAGGTGATTAAAAGCTTTATTGCTCACATAAAGCCTGTTTGGTGGGCTCTTCACAAGGACGCGAGTAAAAGTTTGTCCATCTTCCTCTTTTTAGTGGTGAGGACCCACTTGAAATCACTTGACCAGGCTACTGCGGTGGGTGTGTGGAATGGGGCAGAGGATTTCTGGAACACCTTGTGGAACATGAGGATGAATGATGAAAACCTGTCCGTAGAGCACGGTTGCAGTAGGAGGGTGCCAGGCTGTAAGCAGGGGTTCATGAGCCACAACCTTCCCCTGCTAGGCCTGAGTCCTGAAGTCTCCACTCCTGCATTTGAATGATTAATACCAAGATAATCTGCTTAGCATCCCTCTTTGTCTTGGCTGCCCCCAAGGAAGACATAAAGTCCCTCCCTCCATGTCTGTAACTTTCAAGTGGTTTTCATGTAGAGGAGTTTCATGGATTAGGAAAAGGGAGGGACTGCATTCACCCCAGGCTGCCACCGTTTTCTCAGTTACGCTGCAGTTTTGAACACAGCCTAGGGGTGGAGTGTTGAAGAAGGCCCTTTAAAGAAACCTGAAGTTTTATCAAAAGCTCCAACTGTACAGGGACTTCAGGCTTCAGAATTTCTGCATTTGAGCCAGGTACAGTGGATCACGCCTGTAATCCCAGCACTTTGGGAGGCCAAGGCAGGTGGATCACTTGAGGTAAGGAGTTCAAGACCAGCCTGGCTAACATGGTGAAACCCCATCTCTACTAAAAATACAAAAATTAGCTGGGCATGGTGGCGTGTGTCTGTAATCCCAGCTACTTGGGAGGTGAGGCAGGAGAATCGCTTGAACCCAGGAGGTGGAGTTTGCAGTGAGCCAAGATTGTGCCACTGCACTCCAGCCTGGGTGACAGTGAGACTCCGTCTCAAAAAAAAAAAAAAGATTTTCTGCATTTGAATAGATAAGATCAGCTTGCCAATTTAGGAACAGAGGAAACAGATTTAATGTTAAGTGGTGAGCTGCAGAAAACCACTGTAAACAAAAAATTAAATTCTAAGCCCCCCAAACATCTGTACAGACCCCTCCCCTTAGCCGAGGGCATTTCAAAGTTAACCTGCAAAACCAGTTCAGGCCATGATGAGAAGGGGGAATCAGGTGTGCCTCATTATACCCTTCTCCCTGTTGGAATTCTGGCACAGCTGACCAGCATGAACATCAACACAGAGGCCTTAAGATTGACAGAACAGACTCTCAAGTCTGACAAGAAACATTAACACTCTATTCTCTCTGAAGCCTGCTACGTGGAGGCTTCGCCTGCCTAAAACCTTGGTCTCCACCACCTCTTATTGTAACACAGACACTCCTTTCTATTGATTCTAGAACTTTGATAATAACTCTTTCAACCAATGGCCAATCTGAGCTCAGAAGCTTCCTAAATAATATCAAATACAGTCGTCCCTTGATCTATGTGGGGACTGGTTCCAGGACCAATGGCATATAACCAGATCCCCACATACTCAACTTCCACAGTCAGCCCTGCCAAACCTCCTTGCAGGAAAAGTCAACACTCTGTAAATGTGGGCTTTGCATCCCATGAATACTGTATTTTTCATCCTCATTCGGTTGAAAAAGAGCTGCGTGTAAGTGGACTCATGCCGTTCAAACCTGTGTTGTTCGAGGGTCAACTGTGCAGCGCTATAATCACTGAGTAGCCACAGGGGAGGACAGATCTCCCTCCACAGACTGATTTTGTTTTCCTGAGAACAAGGACCCTCTCCTCCCTCCAGTCACATTGAAACTGGCTTTGCAAAAATTGTAACAGTGAGAAAATTATGGCAGAGGGGGAGATCTGATCTAGCCAACCCCACTCTTGCCTTTAGCCTTCAAGCTGCCTTTAATTATTCCTGGGCTTCGGCCAAGCTAACTTTGAGAGACATTTAGTTTATAGTTTAAATTTTAATAGCCCTTTCCCAAAACTCAATTGCCTTTGTAAAGCTAGTGAGTGACCACCAGGCTAGGAGGAAGAGAAGCCTGGATTCTGCCAAGGAGTACACATAAACAATCACTACCATTATTCCAGAGCTCACAAGACATGCAATTTCCCCACTTACTCCTGCAGATAACATCACTATTGTAGAATCTAAGATTGGCCTTTTGAGATATCTTTTCAGGATTTTTGCATGTCTGACACCAATGGCTCCACCTGGACCCACCAGGATCTGCCAACTGCTCCTGTGGCCCCACCCAGAAATGATTCAGTGCAAGAGGAAGCTTCAATCCCCTGATTTCATCTCTGAACCAACCAATCAGCACTTCCCATACCCTAGCCCCCTGCCCACCAAACTACTTTTGAAAAACCCCTACCCTATGAGCCTTCAAGGAGATTGATCTTCTGTTTGTTTGTTTGTTTTTGTTTTTTGAGACAGAGTCTCTCTCTGTCAGCCAGGCTGGAGTGCAGTGGCACCATCTCAGCTCACTGCAACCTCCACCTCCTGGGTTCAAGCAATTCTCATCCTTCAGCCTCCCGAGTAGCTGGGATTACAGGCACCCACCACCACACCCAGGTAATTTTTGTATTTTTAAAACAGAGGCGGGGTTTCACCATGTTGGACAGGCTGTTCTCGAACTCCTGACCTGCACTCAAGTGATCTGCCTGCCTTGGCCTCCCAAAGTGCTGGGATTACAGGTGTGAGCCACCATGTCCAGCCCAAGGAGATTGATTTGAGTAATAATTTTTGTCTCCCACATGGCGTGAGCAGCCTTACATCTGTTCAACTCTTTCTTTACTGCAATGCATTGGTCTCCTTTGTGCAGTGGCCAGGAAGAACCCATCAGGCAGCTACAGCATCACTGTGAGGAGAGAGGGAAGGTTCTCACTCCAGCAAAAATGGGAGTACTTGGGGGCCTCATCACACATGTTTATAAATGGTACCCTAAATGAGTGACTGAGGCAAGGCTCAATGATTTGAGGTTTAGTAAGCTAGAGCTTGAGGGCACATCTGAGGAAAAACTCAAGCCAGAGACGCACCTGTGGCTGTTTTTTTGTGGAGAAGTTTTCAGGAGCTTCTGTACATATAAATTTCCTTAAAGTGGGGGAATGCATGTAGGAAAAGGGGCAGGTAGGTGGCAAGGCAAATGTTACATTCTTGTGAGACTTTAGTTAGTGTCCAGTAAACCTACATTTTACATCAGATAAGGTGAATGTTTGAAGGAAGAGGGGAGTAAAGGAGGTCTCAATTATGCTGATGTCTCTTGGTAGGGGAAGGAATGGTTGATCTCATGCCGACTTTGTTCTGCCCCTCGGAAGATAAGCTTGTAATGGACATTGTCAGCGTGGAATGCAACAACAGACTTTAGTTTTAGGAGCTGGACTTGGATTGCACATCTCAAGTCCTTATTTATGGGAAGAAAGACATCTTGAAAGGTGTGTGAAAGGAAAATAAATATTGAGACTCCCAAACTCACTCAGCCAGAGGGAAAAGTCAAGCTGGGAACCAGCGCATGCAAACCTGCCTCCCATTTTGGGTCACAAATAAGATGGCTGCAAAGATGAAAAGCTACATACCTCCCTCACATTTTAGGGTAAAGATCCTTATGGGCCTCAAGATCTTTACTCTAAAATGTTTCTCTTGCAGTTCACCATGGCAATGTAAATTGATAGCTTATCTTCACAGGTGCTGGGACATACGACAGAGCTCAGATTCATGCTTCTGCCCATGTGAGACAAATGCATATCTTACTGTTTCCTCTGCCCTATGGTCTATGGCATCTCATGTAAAAATTCAGATTCACTGAGCCAGGCAAAGGCATGAATGACTGTTTTTCCCTACCCCGCTCTCACATGAAAGTTGTGTATTTCTCAATATTCCGCCCATTCCCCTTTAAATATTGAAGCCACCAAAATTATCTTCAGAGAAAGGCATAGACCTGTCTCTGGGAGTGCATCCTTAACTTTGGCAAATAGGCCTCCCAAAATGATTGAGACTTGCCTGGGTTATTTTCCTTGATTGACAGTAAGTCAAGTCAATTGACATAAGAGTTTACTTATGAGTGCTTTGTGGGGGTTGTCATCTGGAGATGCCTGAGGCCCTTCCATGGGGGTCTAGCTAATGCCTAATGCTTTGACACAAGGTTGTGAAGTAACAGCAATTCATTTGGAAGAGGGTGTTGCCAGTGACTCAGCCTCCAGGCTTAACTTTCCCTTTGGCAGAAGGAGTTGAGTGGTCCTGAGATTTTTTATTTCCTTGCATAAAGACCTACTAAAAGCAAAAGTGTTTGCAGCACCGCCATTCACTTGGCAATTCAGGCAAAGTGGCTGTGGAGAGGTGTCTGGGGATGAGACTTATCGTGGTGCCCACACTCCCAGGGAGCTCTTCTTTAGCGTTTCCACTCTGACCCTGGCTGATCACCTCTCACGGAGAAAAGTGCAGGGGTTGCCAGGCATTTGAAGAGCACAGTTCTAAAGTTCCTGGTTGCTTCTTTGGCAGAGCACCTGGGTACCACAGCTGTTTGCTGACAGCGAAGTTCCCTTCATTTTGAAAATCTGAGGATGCTGTCTCAGGGTTAGTAGGGGCCGTGCTGACAGGCAGGAGATCGGAACTCAATTTGTGTATTTCTGCATTAAATGGGGATGTGCACTTCACCTGGATCCCTGTATGACTTGTCTGACGTCACCTGAGTAAAATCCCCGTAGTTAGAAGGATGGAGAGGCCCTGCATTCCCGTTCATCCTGAAAGTGAAAATCAAGTGCACTTTCCCCCTTTTGTTCCAGGGGAAGTTCTGTCAACCCTGGCCTGCTTTGGGACACCAGTGGACCTCCCCAGAGCTGGTGGTGAAAATTCCTGGAGGTCAGGATGCTCTTGCTGGTCATTGGAGAAAACCACAGGAGTAGCAGACTCCTCTGTCTCCTCACCAGGCCAGACCACGCTCAGTCTCTGGGGTCTTTCCCCAAGATCCTTCCAAGCACATTCCCTTGGCTGAGGTTTTGCTGGAGACTGGGGCTCCCTGGGCAGCCACGAGGCCCACAGCAGCTGGGGCTATCCATGGGAAAGGCCCAGCTCCTGTCCACAGCCACAGTCCCTGAACCCAGCGACCCCATGACACTGCAGGACCCTTTCTCCCACTAGGGCCCTACATCCACCCTTCCTTGGGGGCAGGAGGCTGGAGATATCTAAGGTCCAGGGGATCCTGGGTGAGGATGGGAAAGTTAATCACCTTATCTAGTGTGTTAGTCCATATTGCTTCACTATAAAGAAATACCTGAGGCTGGGGGAATTTATATAGAAGAGGGTTATTTGGCTCACAGTTCTGCAGGATGTACAAGAAGCATGGCACTAGCACCTGCTTCTGGTGAGGCCTCAGGGAGCTTCCAATCATGGCCAAAGGCAAAGGGGAGCCACTGTGTCACATGTGAGAGAGAGAGCAAGAGATGACAGGCTGTCTTAAACCACCAGCTCTCATGTGAACTAATAGAGTGAGAACTCACTCATCAGTTCAGGAAGGGCACCAAGCCACTCATGAGAGATCTACCCCCATGACGCAAAAACCTCCCACCAGATCCTACCTTAAGCACTGGAGATCACACTGCAACACGTGATTTGGAGGGGACAGACATCCAAACCATATTCACCAGTCAAGAGTACCTGACGAGCCCTTAGAGCCCATTTTTATTCCCAAGTAAGTGATTGGCTGGATGACTTCCCTTACCTACTTTGTCCAGAGGCTGTTCACCTGGGAGACCTGCTGGTATATGGGCCACGGAGATTTGCACCCCCTTCCCCGGATTCTCAAGTGCCACTAGAAGTCTCCAGAACTGTGAATTTATTCTAGCACGCCCTGCACTTCACAAGAAAAAGAGATCTCTCCCTGGGCTCCTGCCGGCTCCTCCAGGATACAGCACTGGAGAAGGCAACTTGGTGTTTCCTATCTCCGCCACTCTGGATTTGGGAATCCAAACCCAACTCCCTTTCTATCACTGACAGCGATTGAGGCCAATGCCTACTCCTTTGGGATGATGCTCGCCTGTCTCAGGACCGACTGACCCATGTTCAACTGCTTTTCACATGGAATCCTTCTCCACTTTGGCCTTCAAAACGCTCATTTGAATATTTACTACTACCACCAAGATCTGCCCCTGCCATGGTGCCACCTGGGCCCACCCCTAGGCTTGCAGGCACACCACAGTGGCCCCTTCTGCCAGTCCCAGCCAGTGTGTGTGTGCATGACCCTGCGTGTGCATGTCTGCATGTTAAGAGGGTAGATACAATGTCAAGCATTCTTAAAAAGATTTTTGAAAGATATTTTTTAAAAGTCAAAGAACTGTAGAATGTTTTTAAAGTATGTATTTGTGCATTTTTTGATGTGTTAAATGGGACGATATCAGAATCATATAAACAAAATTGCGCCAGGCGCGGTGACTCGCCTGTAATCCCAGCACTTTGGGAGGGCGAGGCGGGCGGATCACAATGTCAGGAGATCGAGACAGTCCCGGCTGACACGGTGAAACCCCGTCTCTACTAAAAATACAGAAAAATTAGCCGGGCATGTTGGTGGGCGCCTGTAGTCCCAGCTACTCGGGAGGCTGAGGCAGGAGAATGGCATGAACCCAGGAGGCGGAGCTTGCAGTGAGCAGAGATCGTGCCATTGCACTCCAGCCTGGATGACAGAGCAAGACTCCGTCTCTAAATAAATAAATAAATAAATAAATAAATAAATAAATAAATATAAAAAATAAATAAAAATGCTAACATTCCACATCTCTGGAAAGGTCTATAGAATTCTGGGAGGTAAACTTTGTCTTCCAAACATCTGTCCATTAATTGTTTGTTTACTTATTTTTTTGAGACAGATTCTCTGTCACCCAGGCTAGAGTGCAGTGGTGTGTTAATGGCTCATGGCAGCCTTGGTCTCCAGGGCATAAGTGATCCTCCTGCCTCAGCCTCCTGAGTAGCTGGAACTATAGGTGTACATCACCATTCCTGGCTATTTATTATTATTATTATTAGTAGTAGTAGTAGTAGTAGTAGAAACAGGGTCTCATTATCTTGCCCAGGCTGGGCGTGATACTCCTGAGCTCAAGCAATCCTTCCATCTCAGCCTCCCAAAGTGCTGGGATTACAGGCATGAGCTACTGCACCCGGTCTGTTCATTCATTGTTTTGTTGTTGTTGTTATTGTTCTGTTTTTATTTGTTTGTTTTTCTCACTATTGAAGATAGAAATTTTTTAAATTAATTGTTATTAGAAAAATAGGCATTTGCATTATCTGTGTTAAAGAAAGTTCCCCCAGATAGTGTTCCATGGAGCCAGTGCCTAGAAGACCACATCTTCTATCTTGTCCCCTTTACGTTTAATACAGTGATGAAACAATCCACTAACAACGGGCAAGTCCTCAATTTTCAGAGGTATTTATAACCGCACACAAGCACGGGATTGATTTTTCTGATGCCAATTTGCCTGTTATTCCCCTCTCAGTTGGATCTGTTTTCTTTTTTTCTTTTTTTTTTTTTTTTGGAGACGGAGTTTTGCTCTGTCACCCAGGCTAGAGTGCAATGGTGTGATCTTGGCTCACTGCAACCTCTACCTCCCGGGTTCCAGCAATCCTCCTGCCTCAGCCTCCTGAGTAGCTGGGATTACAGGCATGCACCAACAAAACCCGACTAATTTTTGTATTATTAGTAGAGACAGGGTTTCACCATGTTGGCCAGGCTGGTCTCAAACTCCTGACCTTAGGTGATCCGCCCGCTTTGGCCTCCCAAAGTGCTGGGATTACAGGTGTGAGCCACCTCACCCAGCCAAATCTGTTTTCTTTTTCTTTTTTCTTTTTTTTTTGGAGATGGGGTCTCACTCTGTCGCCCAGGCTGGAGTGCAGTGGCGCGTGCAGTGGCGCAATCTCGGCTCACTGCAACCTCTGCCTCCCAGGTTCAAGCGATTCTCCTGCCTCAGCCTCCCACGCCTGCCACCATGCCCGGCTAATTTTTGTATTTTTAGTAGAGACGGGGTTTCACTATATTGGCCAGACTAATCTCGAACCTCTGTCCTTGTGATCTGCCCACTTCGGCCCCCCAAAGTGCTGGGGTTACAGGCGTGAGCCACCGTGCCTGGCCTCTGTTTTCTTCTGTAGTTTCACTACCATCCTTTGTGGTGAGTGGGGTGAGTGTTAGCCAAGGGTGGAACCTAGTTTTGTTTTGTTTCTCTCGCATCTGAACAAGATTTGGTCTCGATTTCAGAATGACCACGTTGCAGAGCAGGCCCCCCAAATGTAAAACTAGGGGGAAGAGAAATCACAAGTCCACTAAGGCTGGGCAGTGGTCTTAGGTTCAGAATATGGTGTCTTAAATATTCCTGCAGACCTTGGTCCTTTACTGTTGCATCTGAGTGAGGCTCCTACGATTGTTGCTACTGATAAAATAAAACGTACATTTGATGTATATAGTCAGATTGCCCTACAGAATGACTTTACAGATTTGCTGTCCAGTCAGCATGGTGTGAGAGTGCCTGAGACTCCATCCCCTTCTCAAGGCCTGTGGTGTCACTGGGAATAGAAGTTATGGCTCTGAAATTTAAACCCAACAGAAGCTTCCTAAGGCTGCTGTAACAAAATCCCACAAACTGTGTGGCTTCAAACAAACAGAAGCTTATTCTCTCACAATTCTGGAGGCCTGCAGTCCAAGATCAAGGTGTCGGTGGGGGTATTTTTTCTAGAGGCTGTGAGGGAGGGTCTGTTCTGTGCCTCTCTCCTAGTTTCTGGTGGGTGCCAGCAATATTTGGCGTTCCTTGTCATGCAGACACATCTCTCCAATCTCTGCCTCCATCTTCACAAGGCATCTCCCTCTGTGTCTCGTCTCAAATCTCCTTCTCCTTTCTTTCACAAGGATGCCAGTTAGGGGACTTATGGCCCACCTTAAGTCCAGTATGACATCATTTGAGATCCTTAGCTTAGTTACATCTGCAAAGACGTTTCATTTCCAAACGAAGTCACATTCTGAGGATCTGGTAGACAGTACCTGGAGGAACACTACTCAATCCACTACAGATCTATCTCTTGCTTACAGATTTTCTGGCTCTCTGATTGCTGCTTTGCTATTAAGGACTTTGACATTGGGTATATCCAATAGCCTTCCTGATCTTTAGTTTTCTCACTAGTTCAAGGAGGTATAATCTTTGTCTGGTCTGTTGTTCTTTCCTAAAAGCCCTGTAAATGCAAAGTGACCCACAAACACAGAAGGAGATAAGAAACCAAAGAACAAGGCAGACAAATCCAGTTTGTCAGTAAAGGGTGATTTATTAGGGAACTTACACACAGAAGTGTAGTCTTCTATGGCCACGAGACAGGCAGATCTGTGTACTGCAACCCCTGAGACCCATGGCTTATGTATCGGGAGGGAAGTCTACATGCTCCGGAAGGAATGTGTAGATAGCTGAAAGAATGCTGAGGGTGTCATGGCCTATGATGTGTGCAACAACATCAAGGGTTGATTAGGAGGGAAGGCAAAACTTACAGTAAACAGAGATTTCTACATAAAGAATAATACATCAACTAGACATCTTGGAGGCATTCCCAGACTCGAGGTTAGTCAGGAGTCACATGGTGGATTAGCATCTGAAATAGAGTTACCCTTGTCCCCACAGCTGCTGTGGTTTTACAACAGCAGATCAGAAAAAAGGTCCCCTTCAAACCTCGTATTGAAATTTAGATCCCCAATGCGGCAATTTTGGGAGATAGGCCCTGGTGGGAGGGGTTTCAGTCATGGGGGTGGATCCCTCATGAATGAATTAATGTCCTCCCATTAGTTCACAAGAGAGCTGGTTGTTAAAAGGAGCCTGGGCCAGTGTGATGGTTCGCATCTCTAATCCCAACACTTTAGGATGCCAAGACAGGAGGATTGCTTGATGCCAAGACAGGAGGATTGCTTGAGGCCAAGTATTCAAGACCAGCCTGGGCAACACAGACATTGCAACATCCCTGTCTTTACCAAAAAGGAAAAAATTAGCCAGCCATGGTGGCATGCACCTATGGGCCTAGTTACTCAAGAGGCTGACGTGGGAAGATAGCTTGAGCCCAGGAGTTCAAGGTTACAGTGTCCAGCCTGGGTGACAGAATAAGACCACGTCTCAAAAAACAAAGAAACAAACAAACCAGCCTGGGACCTCCTCCCTGCTTTGCTTCCTCTTCAGCATGTGTGATCTCTTTGCACATGCCGATTCCCCTTTCACATTCCACCTTGAGCTGAAGCAGCCTGAGACCCTCACCAGAGGCCCAATCTTGAACTTTCCAGCCACCAGAATTGCAAGCTAAATAAACCTCTTTTCTTCATAAACTACCCAGTCTCCAGTATTCTGTTAGAGTAACACTAAACCTCTGCCTCACTTGTTCAACCTTTCATTAAATATATTTGTGTTGAACACCTTTTTGACACCCAGTTCTGTACATCTTTTGACCTGATATGATCTTTTGGAGTAAAGAATAGAGGAATTGGGGTGACATCAGCAAGATGGCAGAATAGGAAGCCCCCACCCTTGTTTCCTTCACAGTGACACCAAATTAACAACAATATATAGACCAAAATACCTTTATGAGAACTCTAGAAACCAGTGAGGAAGTTGCAGTACCCCAAGGCAAGATCAAGCCAAGAACAGTGCATTGAAATCAGTAAGAAGAGCCATTTCACTTTATCTGCAATTGTCCCTGTCCCAAGCTAGCACAGCTCGGCTTTTCTCATGGCTTCTCCCTTAGGTTAGAGGGAGGGGAGAGAAGAGTGCCCAGCGTTCCAGCTTCTCAGAAGGCTGCCCAGAAAACTAGTTTCTGTCTTACTTGACTCAGGGCACTAATGGAACCAGAATAGTTTGGATGCCTGGAGGATGCTGAAAGCAAGGGAGAATGGGGTGGCTTACTGTGCCACCAGAAGGCCTGAAGTGCGGCACACAGAGGATGGCATGACTCAGGGTAACTGGGAGGTGCTCAACTCATAGGTCTTCCCTTGGCAGGGAGGTAGAAGAGTGGGCTGTTTGGCTGGCTGTCCAGCTTTTCAGAGAGCTGCTCCAAGGACTGGTGAATGTCTCATCTGATCTAGGGGAGCTGACAGGGAACCAGCATACTTTGGATGGGGCCTCTGAAAACAAAGGAGAGGAGAGTGGCTTGCTGCTGTGGCACCAGGGAACCTGCAGTTCTAGAGACAGACACCAGAGGGAGCCAAAGATTATGATCTTCTGAAAAAGAAACTGGCAAACCTCTCTAACTGGAAAATTACAGGCAAAGCTCAGAGGAATTGCGTCCTCCTAAAAAGATTTCAGAGGCCCCCAGAATCTCTAGGTGTGGCTGATTGGTGAACAGAATTCCCCCGTACAAACCCAATCCATAAAGACTGAGAGAGAAGGCTATTTTTTTTCAAATGCGTACAACTCAACAAAAAAAATATCACAAGCCACACAATAAAGCAGGGAAATATAACCAAATCAAAGGAACAAAATAAATCTCTAGAAACTGCCTCCGAAGAGATGGAGATCTATAAACTATCGGATTAATAATTCAAAATAATTGTCTTAAAGAAACACAGTGGCTTCTTTTCCGACAAAACACCAAATGGCGGATGACGCCGGTGCAGCGGGGGGGCCCGGAGGCCCTGGTGGCCCTGAGATGGGGAACCGCGGTGGCTTCCGCGGAGGTTTCGGCAGTGGCATCCGGGGCCAGGGTCGCGGCCGTGGACGGGGCCGGGGCCAAGGCCGCGGAGCTCGCGGAGGCAAGGCCGAGGATAAGGAGTGGATGCCCGTCACCAAGTTGGGCCGCTTGGTCAAGGACATGAAGATCAAGTCCCTGGAGGAGATCTATCTCTTCTCCCTGCCCAATTAAGGAATCAGAGATCATTGATTTCTTCCTGGGGGCCTCTCTCAAGGATGAGGTTTTGAAGATTATGCCAGTGCAGAAGCAGACCCGTGCCGGCCAGCGCACCAGGTTCAAGGCATTTGTTGCTATCGGGGACTACAACGGCCACGTCGGTCTGGGTGTTAAGTGCTCCAAGGAGGTGGCCACCGCCATCCGTGGGGCCATCATCCTGGCCAAGCTCTCCATCGTCCCCGTGCGCAGAGGCTACTGGGGGAACAAGATCGGCAAGCCCCACACTGTCCCTTGCAAGGTGACAGGCTGCTGCGGCTCTGTGCTGGTACGCCTCATCCCTGCACCCAGGGGCACTGGCATCGTCTCCGCACCTGTGCCTAAGAAGCTGCTCATGATGGCTGGTATCGATGACTGCTACACCTCAGCCCGGGGCTGCACTGCCACCCTGGGCAACTTCACCAAGGCCACCTTTGATGCCATTTCTAAGACCTACAGCTACCTAACCCCCGACCTCTGGAAGGAGACTGTATTTACCAAGTCTCCCTATCAGGAATTCACTGACCACCTCGTCAAGACCCACACCAGAGTCTCCGTGCAGCGGACTCAGGCTCCAGCTGTGGCTACAACATAGGGTTTTTATACAAGAAAAATAAAGTGAATTAAGCGTGAAAACAAAACAAAAAAAAGAAACACAGTGACCTTCAAGAGGACACAGATAATTAAATGAAATTTTTAAAAATGCAACAACAAGATGAGAAAATCAACAAAGAGATAGAATGATAAAAAAAAGAAAGAAGCGGAAATTTTTGAGCTGAAGAATATAGCAACTGAATTGAAAAATTCACTAAAAGAGTTCAAAAGCAGACCTGATCAAACAAAACAGTGGACTAAACAACAGGTCATTTGAATCTTTGAGTCAGGGAGCAAAAAGAAGAAAAAATGAAGAAAAGTGAGGATAGCCTAAGAGATTAATGGGACATCATCAAGCAGATCAACATACACATTAAAGGCATTCCAGAAAGAGAAGAAAGAGAACTTATTTAAAGAAATAATGGCTGAAAACGTCCCAAATCTGACAAAGGAAGTGGACATCCAAATTCAACAATCTCAAAACAAATATTAGTAAATTAGTAAGATTATTAGTAAGATGAACTCAAAGAGGCCCATACAGAGAGACATGTTATAATCAAACTATTGTCTTTAAAAGAGCAAGGGCAGTGACTCATGATGTACAAGGGAGCTCCCATTATAGTATAAGTAGATTTCTCCACAGAAATTGTATAGGCAAGAAAGGGGTGGGATGATATGTTCAACATGTTCAGAGAAGAAAAGCTATCAACCAAGAATACTATGACTGGCAAGACTGTCCTTCAAAACTGAAGGAGAAATACGCATCTAACAGCAGAGCACCCAAATGTATGAAGCAACATTGACAGAATTAATTGAGAGACAGAAAGTGGCATGGTGGTTGCAAGGGACTGGGCGGAGGAATGAATGGGGAGTTACTGTTTAATGGGTACAGAGTTTCAGTTTTGTAAGACGAAAAAAATTCTGGAGATGAATGATTGTGATGGTGGCACAATAATGTGAATGTACTTAATGCCATTGAACTGTATGCTTAAAAATGGTTAAAATGGTAAATTCTGTTACATTTGTTTTACCATAAGTTAAAAAAAAATTTTAAATTAATAGACATGGTAAAAGCAAGAAAATATCACACATAATCAGGACAAAAATCCATCAATATAATAAGATTCATAAGTGACATAAATGATGCAATTAACAGACGTGATATAGAAAATAGATATCATAAATATGGTTCACGTGCTCAAGAATGTAGAAGATGAGGAGATAAATAGAAAATATTTTTAAAGAAACATTAGATGGAATTAACAGCAGAGTAGGTATTTGTATTAGTTCATTCTCACATTGCTATAAAGAACTACCTAAGACTGGGTAATTTATAAAGAAAAGAAGTTTAGGCCAAGTGCAGTGGTTCACGCCTGTGATCCTAACACTTTGGGAGGCTGAGGTGAGTGGATCACCTGAGGTCAGGAGTTCGAGACCAGTCTGGCCAACATGGTGAAACTCCATCTCTACCAAAAATACAAAAATTAGCCAGGCATGGTGGCAGATGCCTGTAATCCCAGCTACTCGGGAGGCTGAGGCAGGAGAATCACTTGAACCCAGAGGCGGAGGTTGCAGTGAGCTGAGATCGCTCCAGTCCACTCCAGCCTGGGCGACAAGAGCAAAACTCCATCTCAAAAAAAAAAAAGAAAAGAAAAGTGGTTTAATTGACTCACAGTTCCACAGACTGTATAGGAAGCATGTCTGGGGAGGCCTCAGGAAACTTACAATCATGGCAGAAGGTGAAGGGAAAGCAGGCACTCCTACATGGTGGGAGCAGAAGGAAGAGCACGAAGCAGGAGGTGCCACACACTTTGAAACAACCAGATCTCATGAGAACTCACTATCACGCGAACAGCAAGGGGGAGTCTGCCCCCATGACCCAATCACTTCCCCCCAGGCCCCTCCTCCAACATTGGGGATTACAATTCAACATGAGATTTGGGCAAGGACAAAAATGTAAACCATATTATTCTGTCCCTGGCCCCTCCCAAATCTCATGTCCTTCTCATATTTCAAAATACAATCATGCCTTCCCAACAGTCCCCCAAAGTCTTAACTCATTCCAGCATTAACTCAAAAGTCCACAATCCAAAGTCTTATCTGAGATAAGGCAAGTTCTTCTGCCTATGAACCTGTAAAATCAAAACAAGTTAGTTACTTCCAAGATACAGTGGGGGTACAGGCATTGGCTAAATACTCTCTCCCATTCCAAATGGGAGAAATTGGCCAAAACAAAAGGGCTACAGGCCCCATGAAAGTCTGAAACCCAACAGGGCAGTCATTAAATCTTAAAGCTCCAAAATAATCTCCTTTGACTCCATGTCTCATATTCAGGGAACACCAATGCAAAAGGTGGGCTCCCAGGGCCTTGGGCAGCTCTACCTCTGTGGCTCTGCAGGGTACAGCCCCCTCAGCTGCTTTCATGGGCTGGAGTTGAGTACCTGTGGCACTCCAGGTGCATAGTGGAAGCTGATGGTAAATCTACCATTCTGGGGAGTGGTCCTCTTCTCACAGCTCCACTAAGCAGTGCCCCAGTGGGGACTCTGTGTGGCAGCTCCAACCCCATATTTCCCCTCCATATTGCCCTAGTAGAGGTCCTCCATCAGGGCTCCTTCCCTGCAGCAGACTTCTTCCTGGACATCCAGGCATTTCCATATATCTTCTCTGAAATCTAGGCAGAGGCTCCCAAGCCTCCACTCTTCCTCTCTGTGTACCCGCCAGCTTAACACCACATGGAAGCTGCTAAGGCTTATGGCTTGCATCCTCTGGAGCAGTGGCCTGAGATGTATCTGGGTCCCTTTTAGCCATGGCTGGAGCTGGCATAGCTGGGATGCAGGGAACAGTGTCCCTAAGTTGTGTAGGGCAGTTGAGCCCCGGGCCTGGCCCAGGAAATTCTTCCCTTCTAGGCCTCCATGCCTGTGATGGGTGAGACTGTCATGAAAGTCTCCGAAATCCCTTCTGGGCATTTACCCCATTGTCTTGGCTATTATTATGGTTCCTCTTATGCAAATTTCTGTAGCTGGGTTGAATTCCTCCCTGAAAATGGGTTTTTCTTTTCTACCACATGGCTGGGCTGAAAACTTTCCAATCTTTTACACTCTGCTTCCCTCTTAAAGATAAGTTCCAGTTTCAGCTCATTTATTTGCTCACAAATATAAGCATAGGCTGCTAGAAGTAGCCAGGCCAAGTCTTGAATGTTTTGCAGCTTAGAAATTTCTTCTGCCAGATACCCTATATCAACACTCTCAAGTTCAAAGTTCCACAGATCTCTAGGGGAGGGGCACAATGCCTCCAACCTCTTTGCTAACACATAACAAAAGTGACATTTGCTTCAGTTCCCAATAAGTTCCTCATCTCCATCTGAGACCATCTCAGCCTGGACTTCATTAACCATATCACTATCGGCATTTTGGTCACAACAATTTAACAAGTCTCTAGGAAGTTCCAAACTTTCCTTTATCTTCCTGTCTTCTTCTGAGATCTCCAAACTGTTCCAACTTCTACCCGTTACCCATTTCCAAAGTCACTTCCACATTTTCAGGTATCTTTTTTTTTTTTTTTTTTAATTGATCATTCTTGGGTGTTTCTCACAGAGGGGGATTTGGCAGGGTCATAGGACAATAGTGGAAGGAGGGTCAGCAGATAAACAAGTGAACAAAGGTCTCTGGTTTTCCTATGCAGAGGACCCTGCGGCCTTCCGCAGTGTTTGTGTCCCTGGGTACTTGAGATTAGGGAGTGGTGATGACTCTTAACGAGCATGCTGCCTTCAAGCATCTGTTTAACAAAGCACATCTTGCATCACCCTTAATCCATTTAACCCTGAGTGGACACAGCACATGTTTCAGAGAGCACAGGGTTGCGGGTAGGGTCACCGATCAACAGGATCACAAGGCAGAAGAATTTTTCTTAGTACAGAACAAAATGAAAAGTCTCCTGTGTCTACCTCTTTCTACACAGACATGGCAACCATCCGATTTCTCAATCCTTTCCCCGCCTTTCCCCCCTTTCTATTCCACAAAACCGCCATTGTCATCATGGCCCGTTCTCAATGAGCTGTTGGGCACACCTCCCAGACGGGGTGGTGGCCGGGCAGAGGGGCTCCTCACTTCCCAGTAGGGGCGGCCGGGCAGAGGCGCCCCTCACCTCCCAGACCGGGCGGCTGGCCGGGCGGGGGGCTGACACCCCCACCTCCCTCCCGGACGGGGCGGCTGGCCGGGCGGGGGGCTGACCCCCCCCACCTCCCTCCCGGACGGGGCGGCTGGCCTGGCGGGGGCTGACCCCCACCTCCCTCCCGGATGGGGTGGCTGCCGGGCAGAGACGCTCCTCACTTCCCAGACGGGGTGGCTGCCAGGCGGAGGGGCTCCTCACTTCTCATATGGGGCGGTTGCCAGGCGGAGGGTCTCCTCACTTCTCAGACGGGGTGGCTGGGCAGAGATGCTCCTCACCTCCCAGACGGGGTCGCGGCCGGGTAGAGGCGCTCCTCACATCCCAGACGGGGCGGCGGGTCAGAGGCCCTCCCCACATCTCAGACGATGGGCGGCCAGGCAGAGACGCTCCTCACTTCCTAGATGGGATGGCGGCTGGGAAGAGGCGCTCCTCACTTCCTAGATGGGATGGCGGCCGGGAAGAGACGCTCCTCACTTTCCAGACTGGGTAGCCAGGCAGAGGGGCTCCTCACGTCCCAGACGATGGGCGGCCAGGCAGAGACGCTCCTCACTTCCCAGACGGGGTGGAGGCCGGACAGAGGCTGCAATCTTGGCACTTTGGGAGGCCAAGGCAGGCGGCTGGGAGGTGGAGGTTGTAGCAAGCCGAGATCACGCCACTGCACTCCAGCCTGGGCACCATTGAGCACTGAGTGAACCAGACTCTGTCTGCAATCCCGGCACCTCGGGAGGCCGAGGCTGGCGGATCACTCGCAGTTAGGAGCTGGAGACCAGCCCGGCCACCACAGCGAAACCCCGTCTCCACCAAAAAAATACGAAAACCAGTCAGGCGTGGTGGTGCGCGCCTGCAATCGCAGGCACTCGGCAGGCTGAGGCAGGAGAATCAGGCAGGGAGGCTGCAGTGAGCAGGGATGGCAGCAGTACAGTCCAGCTTCGGCTCGGCATCAGTGGGAGACCGTGGAAAGAGAGGGAGAGGGAGACCGTGGGGAGAGGGAGAGGTAGAGGGAGAGGGAGACCTCAGGTATCTTTATAGCAATACTTCACTCCCAGTATCAATTTTCTGTATTTGTCCATTCTCACATTGCTATAAAGAACTACCTGAAACTGGGTAATTCATAAAGAAAGGATGTTTAATTGACTCACAGTTTCACAGGCTGTGCAGGAAGCATGGCTGGGGAAGCCTCAGAATACTTACAATCATGGCAGAAAGCAAAGGGGAAGCAGGTGCATGCCCGGGGCAGGAGGAAAGTGTGAAGGGGAAGGTGCTACACACTTTGAAACAACCATATCTCATGAAAACTCACTATCACAAGAACAGCAAGAGGGAGGTCCACCCCCATGATCCAATCACCTGCCACCAGGCCCCTCTTCCAACATTGGGGATTACAATTTGACATGACATTTGGGCAGGGACACAAATCCAAACCATATAAGTATTAAAGAAAAAAGACCAGAGAAGAAAAGATCAGAGAAAGAATGAAGTACAGATGGAAAAAATAATCAAGGATTTTTGTGATAATATCAAGTAATCTGATGTACATGACATTGGAATTTTAGAATGAGAAAGTGTAAAGAAAAATATGAAGAATAATCTTATGAAAATTTCCAAAATTGCTGAAAATTATAAACCAACAGATCCAAGAATCTCAATAAACCTTAAACATAGGAAACATAAAGAAATACACACATTACGTTTTTTGTATTTTATAATGATAAAAAAGTAAAAAAGAAAAAACCACATCACTGCACATCATATCAGAATTCCTTTAAATATAAATGGTCTAAAGACTGTGAACAAAAGCAGATATCATCAGAATTAATAAGAAAAGCAAGATGTAAAATATGCTGTCTATAAGAAACAAGAAACCAAGTTTAAATTTAAAGACACAGGTAGTTAAGAGTAACAAAATGAAAAAAGATATACCACAAAGTCACTAAATAAAACAAACATGGAATAGCCATATTAATATCAGACAAAGTAAACTTCAAAATGACTATGACGTATGTTAAAGAGAAAAATTTCATAATGCTACATGCAAAAGGAAGATAAGACATTCTTAAATGTCTATACAACTAAATAACATAATTTCAAAATACATGAAGCAAACCTGATAGAACTACAAGGAGAAACAGACAAATCCACAATTACAGTAACAGATTTCAATATTCCTCTCTCAGTAATTGATGACCAAGTAGATATAAAACCCAGGGGAGATACTTAAGACTTGGCAGTGCTATTAATCACATTGACCTAATTAATATTTTTAAGACTCCACCCAACAGCAATTAGAATTCTTTTTAACCGTTCCTTCTTTTCTGTGGTTCCCATACAGATAGATCCTCCGAATGAGGAACAATGTATTCTTCTTTTCTCCTAATTCTCCTAAAAAATCCACTTGGGAGATACCTGCTGCAAAACTTAAAGGCAACCATATTCTGTACTTAGATGAAGTGTTTGTCAAGCTCCCTGGAAAAGAGAATCAAAGGACCCTGACTTGTTTACTCTGCCTTCTGGAAGAAAAAAGTGATGAGAGAGAGTGGCAATCTCACACCATGCTGAAAAGCGCCCCCCAACTAACTCAGATCCATGCGTCCCTTTGGGCCCTGAGGAATAATACTGCTGGTTTAATTCAAGATATAAAACCAATAAAAATGGTTTACCTAAAGGATATGCCACAATGGCCGTATGTGAAACAATATCCTTTGTCCTGAGCTCGGTTTGAGAGAATCAAACCCATTATAAAAGAATTAGAAAAACAAGGGATACTTCTATAAAAGGTAGCCTCACCTTGTCATACTCCCATACTTCCAGTAAGCAAGGAAAGTAAATTTGGTAAAGATGGTTGACCATTGTGTAGATTTGTACAAGATCTTTGAGAAGTAAATGAATTTGTAGTTCCTAATCCTGCAACTATTTTGACTTTGTTTCTGTTGTCTGTAATGTGTTCTGCTTTTTCTTCCTGTTCCTGTCCAAACCCTTGTTTGCTTTTACCTACAAAGGAGTTCAATACTTAACTTAGTAAAGAATTTCTCAAGGATTTCAGGACTCTCCTACTCTTTTCTCTAGCAATTTACAGGAAATATTAGGGAAATTTGTCCCACCAGAGAAATTTATAATTATCCTGTCAACGAAAAGAGTCAAACTCTGTAAAATATTTGAAGAGATTTATTCTGAGCCAAACATGAGGACCAATGACATGTGACATAGCCCTAGGAGATCCTAAGAACATGCACCCAAGGTGATTGGGCCATAACTTGGTTTCATACATTCTAGGGAGACAAGACAACAATCAATACATGTAAGATGGCTGGGCATGGTGGCTCACACCTGTAATCCCAGCATTTTGGGAGGCCGAGGCGGGTGGATCAAAAGGTCAGGAGTTCAAGACCAGCTTGAACAACATGGTGAAACCTCATCTCTACTAAAAATACAAAAATTATCCAGGTGTGGTGGCGTGCACCTGTAATCCCAGCTATTAAGGAGGCTGAGGCAGGAGAATTGCTTGAACCCAGGAAGCAGAGGTTATGGTAAGCCGAGATCACGCCACTGCACTCCAGCCTGGGTGACAGAGCAAGACTCTGTCTCAAAATAATAATAATACATGTAAGATATACATTGGTTTGGTGCCGAAAGGTGAGACAACTCAAAGAGGGGGCTTCCAGGTCATAGGTGAATTCAGAGATTTTCTAATTGGCAACTGGTTGAAAGAGTTATTATCTAAAGACCTGGAATCCATAGAAGAGAATATCTGGGTTAAGATAAGGGGTTTGGGAAATCAAGGTTCTTATTATGCAGATGATGCCTTCAGGTAGCAGACTTCAGAGAGAATAGATTGTACATGTTTTTTTATCAGACTTAGAAAGGTGCCAGACTCTTAGTTAATTCTCTCCTGCATCAGGAAAAATACCTGGAAAGGGAAGGGGATTCTCTACTGAATGTAGATTTTCTCCACAAGATAAAGCTGTGCAGGGCCATTTCAAAATATGTCAAAGAAATATATTTTGGGGTAAAATATTTCTATTTCTTTTGGGGCCTGCTATCTGTCATGTTGGTATCTTATTGCTGCAAAGGGTCTATTTAAATCCAAAAATTAGTCAAGCATGGTGGCATGCACCTGTAATCCCAGCTACTCAGGAGGCTGAGGTGGGAGAATCACTTGAACCTGGGAGGCAGATGGAGGTTGCAGTGAGCCAAGATTGTGCCACTGCACTCCAGCCTCGGGGACAGAGTGAGACTCTGTCTCAAAAAAAGAAAAAATGAGTCTATTTCATCAGTGTTAAGGTCTCTTGTTTTAATATTAATGGTGGTCAGTTGTGCCTGAGTTCCAAGGGAGGAAGGTATAATGAGGCATATCAAACCACCCATTCCCATCATGGCCAGAAGTAGTGTTTCAGTTTATTTTGGAATCCCCTTGGCCAAGAAGAGGGGTCCATTCAGTTGGTTAAGGGGCTTAGAATTTTATTTTTGGTTTACAATCCAATATGTAGATGATTTGCTGATAGCCTAAGAAACTAAAGAGCAATGCCAAACTGATACTTTTGGCTTTGTTAGAATTCCTCACTTCAGAGAGGCTTAAGGCCTTACTAGACAAATTGTAATATTGCCAAACTGAGGTAAAATATTTAGGACATTTGTCACTGAAGAACACAAAAGTGTTATAATCTAGGAGTTAGCTAATTTTTCACATGAAATGGTCTACAACAGGAAAAATAACTTAAAGACAATTTTAGAGATGGGTAGGATATTTTCCACAGTGGACTCCAAGGTCAAACGACAAAACTACAACAAATTTAAAGATCTCAATTTACTTTATTATGAGCCTAGAATTGGGCAACACTCCATTCCAGAAAACAGAATAAGTGTTCCCACGAGCTGAGCAGAAGGGGTTGGCTTTACAGACAGAAGGGATGAAGAAAGCAGAAGCAAAGAACAAAGAGCATATCCCTGGTTTCAAAGCTACTTTTCTGGTAAGGTGGGCACAGGAAGACAGAACAATAGAGAATAACTGACTAGGTTATTCTCAGGTTGCTTCAGGCTGCTGCTTTTGTGTGAGGATTAAAGCAGAGAGAATTCATTATCATGCTGCTTAAAAATGGAAACTGGCCTGTTTGGGAAATCTCTCTCCTGTCAGATAACAACTTAGTTTTGGTTTTGTAACCTGGAACTTTAGCATAGGTGACTCTATTTTGATTTTTAGTCTGGTCCTCTGGGGTCTAGTGCAGGAGCTTCATCCAAAACAATGATCTCCCATAATTTTACTTTACTTAACACCAGCTTTTACAGGGCAGGCAAAAACCTCTGATGGAGCATTACATGACAATATTCCAGAATCTCTGACTTAATCCTTAGAACCTGAAAAGGCTTTTTTGTTTTGTTTTGTTTTTGAGACAGAATCTTGCTCTGTGGCCCAGGCTGGAGTGCAATGGCATGATCTCGGCTCACTGCAACCTCCTCCTCCTGGGTTCAAGTGGTTCTCATGTCTCAGCCATCTAAATAGCTGGGACTATGGGCACAGGCCACCACAGTTGGCTCATTTTTATATTTTGTAGAGACGGGGTTTCACCATGTTGACCAGAGTGGTCTCAAACTCCTGGTCTCAAATGATCCGCCCACCTCGGCCTCCCAAAGTGCTGGGATTACAGGCATGAGCCACCGTGCCTAGCCTGAAGAGCCTTTTGAACAACTGAAATTGGCTATAGTCTCTCTCCATGCTTCAAGAATTCCAAACTTTGAAAAAACCTTTCCAAGTGATTTGCCATGAAAGGCACTGCTGGTAGTGTTCCTGGACCAAACCAAGGGTCTGGCTGCTTACTTTCATGGCCCAATAATAAGATGCAGATGAACTGGGAAAGAAGAGAGTTTATTTCTGTAACCGGGTACAGGGAAAAGGTTAGGAAAATATCACCAAACCAACCCAAAATTGCAAAGTTTTCTAGAGCTTATATACCTTCTAAGTTATATATGTCTGCGTGTAAGTGTGCATTCATCTAAATACATAAGTGATTAATTTCTAGTCTATAACTAAGGTCTGAATCATGAAGACCTTATTCTAGAGCCTCAGTAAATTTACTTAATCTAAATGGGTCCAGGTGTCAGGCGTGATTACCCTTATCTTGTCTCCTGTTAAATCATGGAGGTTTGGGAGATCCTTCAGACCCCCAACAAAACTTGTTTAATCTGGCCGGGCACGGTGGCTCACGCCTATAATCCCAGCACTTTAGGAGGCTGAGGCAGGTGGATCACCTGAGGTCGGGAGTTCAAGACTAGCCTGGCCAACATGGTGAAACCCCATCTCTACTAAAAATACAAAAAATTAGCTGGGCATGGTGGCCGGCGCCTGTAATCCCAGCTACTTGGGAGGCTGAGGCAGGAGAATCTCTTGAACTCGGGAAGTGGAGGTTGCAGTGAGCCGAGATCGTGCCATTGCACTCCAGCCTGGGTAACAAGAGCAAAATTCTGTCTCAAAAATAACAAAAACAAAACAAAAAACCCAACTTGTTTAATCTTGGCCGGGCATGGCAGCTTACACCTATTGTATGCCCGGTACTTTGGGAGGCGGAGGTGGGTGGATCATCTGAGGTCAGGAGTTTGTGACCAGCCTGGCCAATATAGTGAAACCCCGTCTCTACCAAAAATACAAAAATTAGCTGGGCGTGGTGGCACATGCCTACAGTCCCAGCTACTCAGGAAGCTGAGGCAAGAGAATCGCTTGAACCCAGGAGGCGGAGGTGCAGTGAGCTGAGATTGTGCCACTGCACTCCAGCCTGGGCAACACAGTGAGACTCCATTTAAAAAATAAAAAATAAAACTTGTTTAATTCTAAACAGGTCCTGTTAAGAATTCCTTCATTATCCTGTCATGCTTCAAGGCCCAGAAAAGGCCTAAGCAAGACTCTTGGTGGGCTTCTGTTATATTCCAGCCTTTGTATAGGGGCCCTGGGTCTTTCAGCTTTTAATATTTAACCTAACCACTCAGTGCCGAAGCAGTTGGCATGGAGGCCTGCCTGTTCAGCTGTTAGTGAGACCTGGCCTGCCACAGTAGAATTTAATTCAAAAGTTGGTATTAGACGATAGACCAGTAGCATACTTCTCAGTTCTTCTGGGTACCTGGATGCCTTCGAGCTATGGCAGGAGCTGCTACACTTATTATAGGGGCTCAAGCCCTTACTTTGGGTCTTAATAAGAGAGATGAAAAAAACAAACTGCTTTTCCTACTCACACCACTCAACACAACACTTCACTTCTGACACCAGATGTCTGTGGGCTTGTCCTCACACACTAAGCAGTTCTACAGTGGATACCAAGTGGGAGTCCTCCCATTCAATTCAATTCTGACACTCTACCTGGGCATAGTGTCAGATCCCACAGGTTAAGGCTTAGTTCTATTTTCACAAGACTGGCCTATTTTCAGACACCAATTGCAAGTAGCAGGTTGTCACCTATGCATCTAACTGAGCAGCTATAAATTGGGGTTCCCACAACCCCGTTCTAATTTGTTAGGAAGTTCACAGAACTCAAGGAAACATTTACTTATGTTTACCAGCTTATTATATTAGTAAGGAATATTACAGAGGATGTAGATGAATAGCCAGGCAGAAGTGATCCATAGGGCAAGGTATGGAAGGTAAGGGGCAATAAGCTTCCATGTCCTGTCCTGCAGCACACCCCCATGGCATCCTGTAAGCATGCCACCCTACAGACAGCTCCATCTATTCAGCAATTCAGAAGCTCTCTGAACCCCATCTTTTTGGAATGTTCTGGAGGCTCATTATGTAGGCATGATTGATCAATCATTGGCCATTGGTAATCAACTCAAGCTTCAGGCCCTCTCTACTCTCCAGTGTTAGAAGGTGGGGCTGAAAGTGCCAAACCTCTAATTGTATGGTTGGTTTCCGTGTCAACCAGCCCCATCCTAAGGCTATCTGGGAACCCCCAGCCACTAATCATCTCACTAGCATACAAAAAGACACTTATCACTCCAGACATCCCAAGAGTTTAGGAGCTGGTATGCCAGGAACCAGGAACAAAAATCAAAATCACAATATCAAAGCATCTGAAGGAAATCAAATGATTTTACCATAAAATATATTTTCTCGACATAGCTCAAGGCAGATATTCAGAAGGGTTGGAAATACAAAAATAACTAAAAAGCTGCCTTTTGTGGGGGAGATTTGCATCTGTAGAGAAATCTGCACTGATGAAGCCAGGCTGTCTCTGAGGCCTTCCCTCATCCAGATCTGGGAAAGATTAAGCGAGAGTCTGACACCTTTAAAGTCTAACAGAAACATTCACCACCTATTCTCTCTCGAGGGCCGCTACCTGTGAGGCTTCATCTACATAACAAGACCCCCTTTGCTAGCCAGCCCTCCTCTTCTTCCCCTCCATAACCTCTGTTGCCGCCATAAACTGATCTAACACTGTAATCTGGTTTTGGCCCTGCTGTGAGCCCCCATTGTTAATGTAACCTCAAGATAGTACATAAGCTTCAGAACCCCACTGGGGAGTGGGGGTAATCACTGCGATTTTCCTTCTGTGGATATTAGTACATTTCTATGTCATTTCTCCTATTAATTTACCTATTGTGAGTTGATTTTTCAGCAGAATTTTCCCTTGCCCCCTAAGTTTTGGTGCTGTGAGCAGGATACTATTGACAGAAAGGTTACATAACAGGCACTATAACTTAAAGAAATTTAAAGTTAGTTTTATCCCGAGTGAAGTTTGAGGACTAATTCTCTGGGAAATACAGACTCAGAACAAACCAAAAATGTCTCCCCAAGTGGGCTACACGAGATAGTATTTATACATTCTGTTACATGGAAATGGAGAAGCAAAGGTGACATTCCTACAATTCTGATTGGTGCTCAGTGACGTTGTACATAAGATAAAGCAAATACGTGGTTAACATATATAGGGTGTGAAAATAAGTAATTCAAAATCTAAGCTTTTGGAACCTTAAAATATTTTGAGCCTTAAGGGAATGTGATTATGGGACCTGAGTCACATAAACTGGCAGCTGTAACCTAGGAAGCTGTAACTTTTGTTTCCCTGATTATACATTAGTCTTTTTTCTTACCTAAATTATTTTGTAAAATGTTGTAAATGAATGAAGGATGCCAGGGAAGACCCCTTCCCTCTCAACTATTGATCTTCATCATAGATTAACTTCCCTCTTTCCTCTCTCACACAAAGATTTCATGAGGATCACATTGTCTAAAATGGAATGTTAAACACACTTTTTGTGTGTTTAACATCTAACAATGGAAAGGAGGTGAAAACATGCTGCAGCTAATTAAACTGTAACTAATAAACCAGCCCTGTGTAGAAAATGTTATAATCCTACTAGATTTTTTTTTGTTTTCTGTCAATATAAGTGAGACCTTAACTTGTCTTTTTTTTTTTGAGATGGAGTCTCGCTCTGTTGCCCAGGCTGCAGTGCAGTGGTGCTATCTCGGCTCACTGCAACCTCCGCACCCTGGGTCCAAGCAATTCCCCTGCCTCAGCCTCCTGAGTAGCTGGGACTACAGGCGTGTACGCCAGCACGCCTGGCTAATTTTTTGTATTTTAGTAGAGATGGGGTTTCACCATGTTGACCAGGATGGTCTCGATCTCCCGACCTTGTGATCTGCCTGCCTCGGCCTCCCAAAGTGCTGGGATTACAGATGTGAGCCACCGCACCTGGCCGAGACCTTAACTTTTAATTTCGGAGCACTGGAGTCTGTGTTTACTGGATGGCAATTGCCAGTTTTTCACTTGAATAAACTCCTTAAAACTGGATGCTGATCCTTTCAATTATTTCAGGTTGACAAGGGTAAAAGGTTAACGAGCATGTAGGCATCTTAGGGGATGACTGATTCTATACTGTCTTTGTGCTTCGTGGGATAGGCAAGGTTGTAATCAATAATTCAGTGAAGTATTTGACAAACTCAAGCCTTGCAGGCGAGAGTTCAGCTTTAGTCCATAGGCCCAGTTTCTATTACCCATATGTCCAACTTGCAGCCATCTTGGGCCACTTTTAAGATTTTCCTTTTTCTGACAAAACCAAAGCTCTGCTCTTCTGAAGCCACAGTTTAGGGAACCCAGGACCTGACCAGCCTGTGGAAGGATAAGACATTCTTACCACCCAGGCTCCCTGCCTCTCTTTTTGCAGAATCCAGTCAAGCAGAAGGTAAAAGTCAGTGTCTCTATTTTCCTCTGCAAAATCTTGATTAATGGGAGAAAAGGATTCGTGTCTAGTCTTGGGTGTAGCGACTCTTGTGTACTTTTTGGTAAAAGTATTCATATTGTTTGCTCTCCTCCTCAGACGGATCTTTTAAATTAGAAACATTTCTAATTTTTTTTAAAAAAGGATTTTAGAGATCCCTTATTCTAAACAATTGCCTTATTTGTATTTATGAGAAAATTAAATTAAAAGAAAGACAGCATAGTGGTGTCATGACTAGATTTAGAAACTCTCTTGAGAAAATTAACAATCAAAAATTTGACCTACCCAGGCATGGTGGCTCATGCCTGTAATCCCAGCATTTGGGAGGCCAAGGCAGGTGGATCACTTGAGGCCAGGAGTTCGAGACCAGCCTGGCCAACACTGCGAAACCCTGTCTCTACTAAAAATACAAAAATTAGCTGGGCGTGGTGGCGTGCACCTGTAGTTCCAGCTACTCGGGAGACTGCGGGACGAGAATCACTTGGACCCAAGAGGCAGGGGTTGCAGTGAGCCAAGATGGTGCCACTGCATTCCAGCCTGGGTGACAGAGTGAGATACCATCTAAAAAAAAAATTGACCTAAAACGAAGTTAAAATCCTTTGTATGCTCAAACTGCCTGCTTTGGATCCCCTGTAGGATTTACAATGACCGCATTCTATCTTCCAGTTTAGGAGTTAAAATTCCACACTTTTACCACCATAGCCTGGATTCAGTGTTCAATTCCCAGTCAGGGCATCAGTCTCATTTGGTTTGACATTTGTGTGACTTTTGACTTCTGGGAGCGACCAATTTTTATTGAAGAGGGTACCTTTAGTAAAAGAGTTCAAAAGCCAGGAGTATTAGCTACTTGTTCTGAATAAAGTCTGATAATAAGAGATTTGCAAATATTTTCCTAGAGCTCTGTGGTCAGAAGTGGGCTTAATTAAAAGCTGATATTCAAGCTACATACATTTTTTTTCTAAAGGCCTTTCTGCTTTTTGGATCCTGTTTTGGGGATTTTTTTTTCTAGTCAACTGAAACCCTGTGTGTGTGTGTGTGTGTGTGTGTGTTTGTGTGTGTGTTATGTTCTGTATGTGTGTTTCTTTTTTTTCTTTTTTTTCTTCTTTTTTGAAACCCCTTTTTGAGTTATGTGCTTGGTCTCTCTGTTTGCTTCCTTCCTTGAGAATTGTTCTCCCATTTACTTCTTTTTTTTTTTTTTTTTTTTTTTTTTGATGGCATCTCGCTCTCTTGTCCAGGTTGGAGTGCAGTGGTACAACCTCTACCTCCCTGGTTCAAGCTATTCTCTTGCCTCAGCCTCCCAAGTAACTGGGATTACAGACATGCACCACCACGCCTGGCTAATTTTTGTATTTTTAGTAGAGACGGGGTTCACCATGTTGGCCAGGCTGGTTTCGAACTCCTGACCTCAGGTGATCGGCCCACCTCAGCCTCCCAAAGTGCTAGGATTACAGGCATGAGCCACTGTGCCCAGCCTCTCCCATTTACTTCTAATCCTCCCTGCTTCTCCTTGTTTTGTCATCTTCAGTGCCACATAAAGCCATCTAGAAGGGACTTCTAATGACTCTGAGACCCTTGAGGAAAACAGAAAAAGGCTCCACTCACCCCCTTTCTAAAGTCTTCTGTTTTCCTTGAGAAATTCTTCCTCCAAAGAGTTGCAGGCAGGTTCCCCTCCATCTAAAGCTCTGCTCCCTCTTGCATTGCACTGCATGATCTCTTCGGCTTTGTGGGGGTAGCAGGGATTACTCTGTGCTATGAGAGAACACAACCTTTGTGTGTGTGAGAAAGCTGGCTGGTCACTGGTGAGGGCTGCAGTTTTGGAGATGGCTGACTGCAGCTGTTTGCAAGGGGCTACTCATTTCTTTGGGTGTTTAGATAAGAAAGGTGCAGTGTGGACACTTGGAGGCTGTGGAAACACTCACCACCAAGGCATAGGACTCTCAAGAGAATGAGCTCAGCACAGAATGGGCTGATTGGCATTGGGTTTCTCTTGCAGTAAGGTGCACTGTGGAAGCATCGTACAAGACTTGGTCCTGGCCGGGTGCAGTGGCTCGCGCCTGTAATCCCAGCACTTTGGGAGGCCGAGGGGGGCGGATCACCTGAGGTCGGGAGTTTGAGACCAGCCTGACCAACATGAAGAAACCCCGTCTCTACTAAAAATACAAAATTAGCTGGGCATGGTGGTGCATGCCTGTAATCCCAGCTACTCGGGAGGCTGAGGCAAGAAAATCAGTTGAACCCGGGAGGCGTATGTTAAGGTGATCGCACCATTGCACTCCAGCCTGGGCAACAAGAGCGAAACTCCGTGTCAAAAAAAAAAAAAAAAAAAAGACTTGGTCCTATGGAGTGTCCCTCTTTAGGGGGACCTGGGATTCAATGTAAAAATAAGATCCTTGGCTGGGCGTGGTGGCTCATGCCTGTAATCTCAACATTTTGGGAGGCCGAGGCAGGCGGATCACTTGAGGTCAGGAGTTTGAGACCTGCCTGGCCAACATGGTGAAACCCCATCTCAACAAACAATACCAAAATTAGCCAGGCATGGTGGCAGGCACCTGTAATCCCAGCTACTCAGGAGGCTGAGGCAGGAGAATCACTTGAACTTGGGAGGCATAGGTTGCAGTGAGCCGAGATCAAGCCACTGCACGCCAGCCTAGGTGATAAGAGTGAGTGAGATTCCGTCACAAAAAAAAAAAAAGAGATCCTTTATTTTTGGGGATCTAGATGCTCTGCCTTCCAGCTGTGCTTGCTTTTCACATATTTATTTATTCATTTTATTTTATTTTTTAAATTGAGATGGAGTCTTGCTCTGTCGCTCAGGCTGGAGTGCAATGGTGCAATCTCAGCTCATTGCAACCTCTGCCACCCGGGTTCAAGCGATTCTCGTGCCTTAGCCTCCTGAGTAGCTAGGACTACAGGTGTGCATCACCACGCCTGGCTAATTTTTTGTACTGTTTTGTATTTTACAAATAAAATGGTCCTACTATGATTTGTCTTTGGTAGAAAAGGGGGACTAGAGACAGAAAAATTATGTTTCAGAAGAAAACCACAGTACACCTGCTATTATTATTATTGGGCTGAATCCTGAAATCTTTCCAGCTACAAGTCTCCAGATTAGTGTTTTTCCATTTTTCTCCCATTTTTCTGACTTGGACTCACTGGAAATTAAAACTGTTTTTCTTGAAGCCCTGCATACTGAAGCTAGACAACTTGATATAAACTTTGGGATAAATCACCAGAGCAACTTAATGTAAATAGCCTTCATGCCTGCTGGTGTATGGGCTACTCAGAAAGGTTACTTGAACACCTGATTTGAACTACAGTCCACAAAAAATCTGTCAGCATGCCACCACAGGCCGGGCGCAGTGGCTCAAGCCTGTAACCCCTGCACTTTAGGAGGCTGAGGCAGGTGGATCACCTGAGGTCAGGAGTTTGACACCAGCCCTGACAACATGGTGAAAACCTGGTCTCTACTAAAAATACCAAAATTAGCCAGGCATGGTGGTGCACACTTATAATCCCAGCTACTCAGGAGGCTGAGGCCGAAGAATTGCTTGAACTCGGGAGGTGGAGGTTGCAGTGAGCCAAGATTGTGCCACTGCACTCCAGACCTATCCCATCTGCAATGTCACCTCCTAAAACTAGACAAAGCTGTTTAACCAAACTGACTTATTCTCGGTATGAAGAGTGATTTAAAAGAATATGGGAAAATGTATATAATTTGCTCTTTTCTGCTTATCTCAATTTGTTTTTCCCCTCCTTTGCCTATTTCTTATCTAACAACCTCTAACTCAAATCTTTTCAAAGCTATCAACTTGCCTTTTTTTTTTCTTTGAGACACTGTCTTGCTCTGTCACCCAGGTTGGAGTGCAGAGACACGATCTTGGCTCACTGAAACCTCCACTTCCTGGGCTCAAGCAATCCTCCCACCTCAGCCTCCCAAGTAGCTGGACTACAGGCGCATGCACCACCACGCTTGGCTAATTTTTGTATTTTTTGTAGAGACAGGGTTTCGCCATATTGGCCAGGCTGGTCTCAAACTCCTGAGCTCAGGAAATCCGCCTGCCTCAGCCTCCCAAAGTGTGTGATTACAGGCGTAAGCCATTGTACCTGGCTTCAACTTGCCTTTCCATATGTGAAATTTTCTGAAGGTAAAAGTCTCAAACTGGGGACTGAAGAAAATAAAAATATTTCACCCCAAAATATACTTCGTTTTTTTTTTTTTTTGAGATGGAGTCTCGCTCTGTTGCCCAGGCTGGAGTGCTGTGGTGCAATCTTGGCCCACTGCAAACTCCGCCTCCCGGGTTCACGCCATTCTCCTGCCTCAGCCTCCCAAGTAGCTGGGACTACAAGCACCCACCACCACGCCCGGCTTATTTATTTATTTATTTATTTATTTATTTGTTTGTTTATTTATTTAGTATTTTTAGTGGAGGCAGGGTTTCACTGTGTTACCCAGGATGGTCTCGATCTCCTGACCTCGTGATCCACTCGCCTCAGCCTCCCAAAGTGCTGGGATTACAGGCGTGAGCCACCGCGCCCAGCCTATACTTCCTTGATATAGTTTAAGATGGCTATTCAGAAGGGCTGGAAATACAAAAATAACTAAAAAGCTGCCTTTTGTGGGGGAGATTTGCATCTGTAGAGAAATCTGCACTGACGAAGCCGGGCCGTCTCTGAGGCCTTCCCTCATCCAGACCTGGGAAAGATTAACTGAGAGTCTGACACCTTTAAAGTCTAAAAGAAACATTCACCACCTATTCTCTCTCAAGGGCCGCTACCTGTGAGGCTTCATCTACATAACAAGACCCCCTTTGCTAGCCAGGCCTCCTCTTCTTCCCCTCCATAACTGCCATAATCTGATCTACCACTGTAATCTGGTTTGGGTCATGCTCTGAGCCCTGATTCTTTCTGTAACCTCAAGAGGGTAAGTAAGCTTCTGAATCCCATTGAGGGGTTGGGATAATCACTGCGATTTTCCTTTGGTGCACATTAGTAAATTTCTATGTTATTCCTCATATTAATCTGCCTTTTGTGAGTTGGTTTTTCAGCAAACATTCAGAGGGTGAAGGAGAAGTTTTCCCTTGGCCCCTAGAGTCATTTGACTTATTTTTATGTCCCCCATACTGTGATAGCTATCTTACCAGTGCATAAGACCCGACACTTGTAGGTGTGCCATGGGACCAGCTGTGAACAAGCATTATTATCCGATGCCTATATTGTGCTTGGGAGATGCAATCTCCTAAACTCTGCTATCTCAACAGACTTTGATCAAATAGATGATCATGGTTGTACAATGTTGATTTAGTCTGGATATTTGTCCTTGCCCAAATCTCAGATTGAATTGTAATCCCCGATGCTGGAGGTGGGGCCTGGTGGAAGGTGTTTGGATCTTGGGGCTGGATCCCTCATGGCATGGTGCTGTCTTCCTGATAGTGAGTTCTTGCGAGATCTGGTCACTTAAAAGTGTGTGGTACCTCCCCCAACCCCCCTCCACTGCTCACCCGCGCCACCACCTGCCTCACTTGCTCCTGCTTATGCCATGTGATGTGCCTGTTTCCCCTTCGCCTTCTACCATGATTGAAAGCTTCCCGAGGCTTCACCAGAAACCAGGCAGATGCCAGTACCATGCTTCCTGTAAAGCCTGCAGAACCATGAGCCAATTAAACCTCTTTTCTTTATAAATTACCCATTCTCCAGTATTTCTTTATAGCAGAGTAAGAACAGCCTAACACAAATGGTAATAAAAGAAGACACTGGGCTCCAATGTGATTTATCTGACTTTTCTGTTAAAAATTCAGCTTTGACCTGTTAAATAAAATTTATAGGATGCAATTAGTCTGGAGTGAGCTTCTGCACTAGGCCGAACAGACCAAACCAAAATAGGGTTCTTCATGCTGAAGTTCCACACCAACAAGCCAAAACTAAATTGTTTATCTGACCTTCCAGGGAATCAGGACACACAGGGATAATAGCCAAATCCCCAAACAGGCCAGTTTTAGCCAGCATGATAGGACATCCCCTCTGCTTTAAACTTTGCAGATGCTCCCAATAAACCCATCCTAAATTAAAAATATTACAAATTAAGTCATTTTAAGTTGGGGACCATCATACAAGGAAAGTCACTTTGAAACCACTCATCTGCTTTTTGTTCTCTGTTTCTGCTTTCCACAGCCCTTTTCTGCCTATCAAGCCAAACCTCCTCGTTCAGCTCATCGGAACACTCATTCTGTTTTACAAGAATGAGTTATTGCCCAATTCTTGAGTCACAAATAAAAGCCGATTAAGATTTTTAAACTTGTGCTTTTTGTCTTTTGACAGATCACATTTGCCGATGGGTCACATACAGGATGCAAATAGCCAACTTAGGCTTCCTATGCTGTGGTAGCTGCTCATGAAATTGTGGGAGCTTATTTTGCCTGGAATCAATTCAGCACAATTCAAGTTAATGAATAGCTTACATTTACTAGGGCTTGGCTCAGGACTTCAAACGAATGGACGTACTGATAGTAAATGTCTGTTTAGTGTCAGTCATGCAACAGGGAAGATTCTGAAAAATAGGAGATTCTTGACTTTGACAGGAAGTAAACTATCTCAGAAAATTAAGAGCTGAGGCCAGGCATGCTGGCTCACACCTGTAACCCTAGCACTTTGGAGACCAAGGTAGGAGGATCGCTTGAGCCCATTTCAAGTCTACAGTGAGTCGTGTTCATGCCAATGCACTCCTGCCTGTGCAACAGAGCAAAGAGACCCTGTCTTAAAGAAAAAAAAAAAAAAGAAAGAAAAGCAAAAGAAAAGAAAATTAAGACCTGAGTGTTTAGAGGCATTACACTGTAGCATTCACATGGGCAAAACAATGCCATTTCTAAAGGAAATAATTTTACTGAAGAGCTGCAAAGGCCACTCTTCAAATATGGCAGACCCAAACTTAGAAGTCCCACTTTTTTTTTCTTTCTTTTTTTCAGACAGGGTCTTGCTGTGTCACCCAGGCTGAAGTGCAGTGGTGTGATCTCGGCTCACTGCAACCTCCGCCTCCCGGGTCCAAGAGATTCTCCTGCCTCAGCCTCCCAAGTAGCTGGGACCACAGGCATGCGCCACCAAGCCCGGCTAATTTTTGTAGTTTTGGTAGAGATGGGGTTTAGCCATGTTGCTCAGGCTGGTCTCGAACTCCTGGACTCAAGTGATCTGCCTGCCCCCACCTCCCAAAGTGCTGGAATTACAGGTGTGGCCCTCCACGCCCGGCCAGAAGTCCCACTTTTAACATAAGTAATTTTTATTTACTTTCAAAACTATGCATCACAAAAGGAAATTGACAAATGGAATAAGAAAGGGGCTAAAAAAATCTGACTGGACTATGGGAATTAGCTAACAAAATAATATTGTACCTTGGTTCCCATTTGCTTGATTAGTAATGTTGTGTCATCAACAAAACCATCCCCCAGTGAAAAGTGATCTTAAAGGCACTCCACTTCACTATGCCTGCTGAGCAGGTAGCATCATCCAAAACATGTTGATGTGCGGGTTGTTGACAGGATTCTTTTAAGCCCACTCCCCAGGTACATACAGAAGGTTCTCTTCCACCAGCTTCACCAGGGACCTCACAGCAGCTGGATTCTGTAGAACTAAGGCCTGTGGAAGGCAAAAGATTTTTGTCACGTTATGTTTTCTAGGATGTCCACATAGCCCATAGTCTATTGTGGTTCAGGAATGATGCAAATCATGCTGTCATACTCCCTGTTACCCTCAGTCCTCTGGACAAATAGAGCAGATGAATTCGACTCTAAAACCTCATTTAGAAATCTGCTGGCCTAAAATGGCCTCATGCTTTAGTGCTAGCCTTGTTAAAAATGAGAGCAACCCTGCAAGCAAGCACATATTGCTCCCTTTGAAATTATGTTTGGCAGTCCTAGGAATTGGGTCTGAGACCATGTCCTGGGCCCAATTTAACTGAATCCTCTCATAATTGTGTTCTGTACTTAAAAGGGCTTCTCTCTTCCCTGGAGACGTAAAACCAGAAGGATTCAGAAGGATCTGCCAAAGGAAATCTGGACCCCATAAACGATCAGGTAATTTCATGTACATAAGGGTGTTCTAGAGGAAAGATGGCTGTCACCACCCTGCGAGGGACCCTTTCACATGTTCTGATATGATTATCAAAGTGAAATAAAAATCCAGCTGGATTCATGCTTTCAACTGGACTTGGATTCCCACAAGGACTTGAAACTTAAATCTTCTAGAATAAATGATATTGGTACTGAATTCAACTGAAAAGAACTATTTTTGTGAACTTATTATTACTATTATCATAAACAGCCCTGCTGGCCTATTCACAGCAGTGATGATTTCAATTACTTTAAGACTCATAATTTACTAGAAACAAACATGTTATTTGTAACACTACTTTTCTTTCTGTACTCCCAGTAATGGTCCCCACAATTATTTACTTCCCATCTGCTCTATATTGTGTTTTCAGGATAGATATGGCCCAAATTTATAAGACTAACAATCTGATTGTCGTCAGAGTGAAGGTGGGACCATTTTTTTTTTTTTTTTTTTTGAGACGGGGTTTTGCTCTTGTCACCCAGGCTGCAGTGCAATGGCACGATCTCGGCTCACTGCAACCTCCACCTTGCGGGTTCAAGCGATTCTTCTGCCTCAGCCTCCCAAGTAACTGGGATTTCAGGCACCCTCCACCATGCCTGGCTAATTTTTTTTTTTTTTTTGAGATGGAGTCTTGCTCTGTCACCCAGGCTAGAGTGCAGTGGCCTGATCTCGGCTCACTGCAACCCACACCTCCCAGGTTCAAGCAATTCTCCTGCTTCAGCCTCCCGAGTAGCTGGGATTACAGGTGCCTGCCATTGCACCTGGCTAATTTTTGTATTTTTAGTAGAGACAGGGTTTGACCATGTTGGCCAGGATGGTCTCGATCTCTTGACCTCATGATCCACCCGCCTCTGTCTCCCAAAGTGCTGGGATTACAGGAGTGAACGCCTGGCTAATTTATGTATTTTTAGTAGAGACAGGGTTTCACCACGTTGGCCAGGCTGGTCTCGAACTCCTGACCTCAGGTGATCCACCTGCCTAGGCCTCCCAAAGTGCATTTTTGGGAACACTAACATAACTAATATGCATCAAAATACTCAAGCCCTAAGTTTGACACAAAGTGTCTGAGGCTAAGTAGTTTGCATAACCAGAATTGCATCCCCTAGGCGCTCGCATTATGAAATCTGATTATTAAGGGGCTTATCTGAGGCCATACAAGGACAAAAGGAAACATTAAATACAGTCCTTGGAGGAATAGAAATAGACAAGCGTAGCTAATGCTTGTTGATACTGATACTTTCAATAATAAACTTAATGCTTTGAGACAATTACAAAAACACATAATACAATTGCAATGGAAACGGCCAAAAATTCAGAATTGGACTGTTGAGAAGTAATGTAATGCCCAAACAAAAATTCACCACAAGGATCTCAGAGGGACTTGGCAATAAAGCAGCTTAGCAATTAGCTAGAAAAAAGCTCTGAGATTTCATCACTCGTTCAGCATGACATACTGCTATCATAATAAAACTATTGATTGGACTGATGTGGAAAATGGCCGATGGGTGGGTTTGTCCTCAAGACTTAACATAATAAGAGCCACGGACATGGCCGGGCATGGTGGCTCACACCTGTAATCCCAGCACTTCGGGAGGCCGAGGCGGGCAGATCACCTGAGGTCGGGAGATTGAGACCAGCCTGACCAACATGGCGAAACCCCGTCTCTACTAAAAGTACAAAATTAGCCGGGCGTGGTGGTGCATGCCTCTAGTTCCAGCTACTCAGGAGGCTGAGGCAGGAGAATTGCTTGAACCCAGGAGGCAAAGGTTGTGGTGAGCCGAGATTATGCCATTGTACTCCAGCCTAGGCAACAAGAGCAAAATTCCATCTCAAAGAAAAAAAAAAGAAAAAGAAAAGTCTTAAACTTTTAGATAGGTGCTGCAGGTAAGCCACTCCTTAGTCTTAGATTGGGTAAGACTTTGTAAGCAACTACAAAATGATACTCAAATAGTTAACTACATGAAAGGGCAAGTGATAAAGACAGCACGGCAGTTTGTAACATTAATGTGTGCCGAAGGAGAATTTTTGCACATTGCTAATCAAGTTTGCTTTAACCATTCACCATTAGTATGATGTGTTTAGAGGTTTTTCCCCGAGGTACATATTCTACTGACTGTTAAATTCATCCCACTGAGATCCTGATCATTGCTTTTACAACAGGCTGAATGTTTATGTACACCCAAAATTCATATGTTGAAATCCTAACTAACCCCAAGGTGATGGTATCAGGAGGTGGGGTCTTTGGGAGTGATTAGGTCATAAAGACAGAGAACTCGTGAATGGGATTAGTGCCCTTGTAGAAGAGAACCCAGAGACACCCTTCACTCCTTCCAGCATGTGAAGTGAAAGTGAGAAGATGGAAGTCTATGAGGAAACAGGCCCTCACCAGACATCAGATCTGCAGGAGCCTTGTTCTTGGAGTTCCAGCCTCCAGAACTATAATAAATTTTTGTTGTTTATAAGCCAGTCAGTCTATGATGTTTTGTTCTAACAGCCTGATCAGCTTTGCTGTTTTACTGTGGGCTCGCTGAATATTTTAATGGCTGCAAACTGCCCAAAGAAAGGTAAAAAAAAAAAAAGCAATGGAGATCATTAGTAAATTATAGCGTTACTGGCCGGGCGCGGTGGCTCACGCCTGTAATCCCAGCACTTTGGGAGGCCAAGGCGGGTGGATCACGAGGTCAGGAGATCGAGACCATCCTGGCTAACATGGTGAAACCCCGTCTCTACTAAAAGTACAAAAAATTGGCCAGGAGTGCTGGTGGGCACCTGTAGTCCCAGCTACTCAGGAGGCTGAGGCAGGAGAATGGTGTGAACCCAGGAGGCAGAGCTTGCAGTGAGCTGAGATTGTGCCACTGCACTCCAGCCTGGGAGACAGTGAGACTCCATCTCAAAATAAATAAATAAATAAATAAGTAAATAAATAAATTATAGTGTTATAAAATAATAATACCCAGCACTTTGGGAGGCTGAGACGGGATGACCACGAGGTCAGGAGATCGAGACCATCCTGGCTAACACAGTGAAACCCCGTCTCTACTAAAAATACAGAAAAAGTAGCCCGGCATGGTCGTGGGCGCCTGTAGTCCCAGCTACTCGGGAGGCTGAGGCAGGAGAATGGTGTGAACCCGGGAGGCGGAGCTTGCAGTGAACTGAGATCGAGCCACTGCACTCCAGCCTGGGCGACAGAGTGAGATTCCTTCTCAAAAATATAATAATAACAATAATGATAACAAAGGGCGGGAAACTGTAAAGGTAAATAAAAATAAGATGGCATTCGTTTTGTTTCCAAAAGGAAAAGAGACCCCTTCTCCCCCTCCCCTTTCTATTTCCTTGAGAAAGCCTGTATTTGTAAATCCTTCCTCTGTTCCTTCAGATACTTATGCAAGTCTTTTTAAAGTTTAAATAAATCTTTTACCAGAATTAAAACCCAAAACTGTTTTTCTGAAAAGGCTGGGAGCCCCCTCTCGTAAGTGTAACATCAAGGACGACATGTTGCTGTCACCAACGGTGTGTCAAGGCGTGCCTAGGTGCCTTGCACAACCTGCTTTTTTTGTTGAGACGGAGTCTCACACTGTCGCCTGTGCTGGAGCACAGTGGTGTGATCTCGGCTCACTGCAACCTCCGCCTCCCGGGTTCAAGTGATTCTCCTGCCTCAGCTTCCCAAGTAGCTGGGATTACAGGTGCCCACCACCACACCTGGCTAATTTTTTGTATTTTTAGTAGGGACAGGGTTTCACTATGTTGGCCAGGCTGGTCTTGAACTCCTGACCTCGTGATCTGCCCACCTCGGCCTCCCAAAGTGCTGGGATTACAGATGTGAGCCACTGCGCCCGGCCAACAACTGCATTTCCTAGAGATTCAAGTTGCTTTATTTTCCCTACAGAAAAAGGCACTAATTAGCACAGATGACCACCCCAATCACCAGGTGAATTAGGTACGCTGTAAGTGCATGTATAGCAAACGACGCTGTGGAGCTCTCTCTCACCTGAGTTCAAGTCCTCACACATGACAGCATGTGTGTAACGGGTTGTAGCTGCTTGACTACATAAATAGGGGGATTTCTGACTGTCTTTATGATTGCGTTAGCTGATAATGCATCCATGTGTTTAATGCTTATTCAATCACAGAACTAGTATTTTCTTTATTTTCTACATTTGTGGAGAGAATATTCTGGGTTGGCAGGAGATTTTATTTAAAATAGTTTTTTTTCCTCGATAGCACAAGGTCTGTCTTCCAAGTTGCCGTAGGCAACAATTTTAGCAAACGTTCTGCTGTGACATAAAATGCTTTTCCTTACTGCCCAGCCCCCAACTGGTGATACTTTACCTGTCTGATACAGCATCACTCCATTTCAAAGAACCCATTTCTGTGTGTGTTAGAGTAGGGTGGGTGATGGTGTACTAAGTCGACCTAGATGTCGCATCCCCTTCATGCAGTAAAAGTTTATTCCTTGCTCGCGGCGTGGTTTGATGAGAGCCAGTGGAGTTGAGGGCTTATTCCTGATCCAAGCAGTCAAGGGCCTTCAGGTCGCAGGTTCCTCTTGTCTTGCAGTACTGCCATCTGCAACATGAGGGAGGCCTCAGAAACAGGAACCACACGGCAAGTCACCAAACCTCTAACCCAATCTTGGAACCTACCAATCTTGGAACCTGCAGTGGGTCACAGAAGGGAAACCAGCCAGACGTCAGCATGCTGCTGAGACCTCGGTCAATGAGTCACACCTGGGCTCTTGTGAATTACAGAATCAATGTTGGAAGCCCAGGAAGCCAACTAATCAGGTTTGGAACCCAGAAGCCTGGTCGTCTTGGAGTCTGGAGAGGCTTGAAGGCTCCACTGAGCCAGGGATTTGGCACCAGAACTCTTGGGGTCAAGTCCTGGCCTACCTCTGACTAGTTGTTTCCACTGAGACACATTATTTCTCTCAGCTTCAGCGTCCTCCTCTGTGAAAATGTGTGTTCTACATACTGCTTGAGATGATTTCAAGGCTTAAGGGAGATAATGTTTGAGGAAATGTTTTGAAAGCTACAAGGCACAAGACAAACACCACTTAATATTACTCATCTTGTCTCTGCAGAGACATCCCTCACTGGGCCAACTTCTTCCCATCTGTGCAAAGAGTGGGGAGAGGTAGACACTGAACTGTTGTTCCTTCCAGTGCTGCCGGGTGGGATTCTAGCCATGTAACACCCTCCCTCTCTGAGTCTCTGGGCCCCCTCATCCTGAGCCTCCAAAGTCTGGAAGGTTTCATAGCTCATGTGTCCACCAGATGACAGTGGAAGGGCTCAGAAAGATGCTTCCAGAAAGTCCTTCTCCACAAACACTACACAAAGTTAAGACCCTGTTCCCACCCTTGGCTCAGACCCTAAAAGAGAGAGTCACTCTCATTTGTCTTTACCCCACTCAACCCCACCCTGGCTTTGGGATTTCTCTACATTCTGTATTTTGTCCCCAGCCTGTTAACTATAGCTTCACTGCTGAGCCATCTGTTCTAGACCACGTTGCTGCCTCTGCCCACCACACACTTCCCTGGAGCTGGACCTGATCAGCCAGAAGAAGCATCTGAAAAGGAGCATCTCAATTTCAGCACAGTCGACCTTAACAAAATAACTTCAGGAAGTGCACCAGCTTGGGAACCAGGACTTCGGGGTTCCCCTGCTTCTGTCATCAGCAGCTGCACAGGCTTATCTGAGACTTTCTCTCTCTGGGTGTGCACCTATAAAATGCCAGGATTGGATGCAGTGACTACTGCTGTGGTTCTGAGATGGGGAGCTGGGGAGCTGGGGAGCAGGGCTGGGAGGAGAATCAGTTGGGTGAACTCCTGGCTGGCTGAGCCCTGCAGAAGTGGTCCTGGGCTTCTCCTTCCTTCAAGGCTTGACCAAGTTCTCTCTGCTTATGTATCCATTCTGTCCTCTTGCTGGGACAGGTGCTTGTTGACTGCCTGTTGACAGGATCATGGGAAGCAGTTTCTCAGAGAGGAGACAAGAGGAGCGGAACCCCAAGTCCTAGTGGAAGAGCCTGCAAAGGTGCCCATATCCACTTGGCCTTGGCCTGAGGCCTCTTGCAGCCACTGAATGGGGACCTCTGACGTTCACTTCCTTGGATCTCTTGAATTCCAATCTCCCTCTTCCCATCTGTGCATTCCAGCAATGGATCTCATTGGTTCACCTGCTCCCACCATGAAGTCATCTGAGGGTTAAATTCTGTTTCAATAATATACTGGGAAGCTGACATTCACATACACACATTTTATTTTTCATAAAATAAAGGATAATGTGCCCACCCATACCCTGTAAGTTTCATAGCCTAGAAGTCAGTTTCATAGCCTAGAAGTCTTCCTAGTAGTCAGATTTTCTGTCCCCCAGAGGGAGAACTCCCGCACCCCCAGTTCCCAGGGGGCCTGGTGTTTGAGGAGCTGCATCAAGCTGCATCTTCTTACAAGCCCAGGGGAGAAAGGATGTGTTTAAGGGTAGAAGTTGTTCATTTTGTTTTCCTTTGCAAGATTTTGATAGAATCTAGTATAAAGGCTGTCTGGCTTAGCTCAGAATGCAAGAAAAGGTGTTATTCTTTCGCATTTGGGCACTTCACAGAGGGCATGGGCACTCCCCCATCTAAACAGGCTTGAAAAAGGACACAGACCCAAGAGAGGCCCTTGCGGAGGCCCAGCAAAGAGTGGTTCAGGATGCACAGACAGGCTCTCTGGGGCTGTGGGCCAGGAGTGGGAAAGCCACCTTAGTCCTGCTGGAGCAGATTTGGGAAGGGTCATGGGAACAAGTTTCTCTGCTCTGGGGTCTGGGCCACAGTCTACCATGTCCCATCTCTCTGGTTCTGCCCAGTGTTCCTTCCTTCCTGTCATCCCCAGCACCTCATCAGTGCTCCCCGCTCCTGAACACCATGGTCAATCATCCTGGGGCTTCTCACATCTGTGAAAGAACAGGTCTCTCGACCACCTAGGGGTAGACTTCCAGGATGGTGCCTGCTTAACTTTCCTACAATCCAGGGTCATCGGGGAAATGAGCCAGGTGGGGAGGGTGGAGTCTCACTTGCAGCCAGAAACCCTGGGATGTAGCCTATCTGTGACAAGGGCAGATCGGCAACCATCTGCAACCAGAAACAGGCCGGGTGTTCTATCCACTGCCCCCAGATGCTGCCTCCCAGGTTCCAAGAGCCACCTTGAGTCCCAGCTCAGCTGCCACCCAGACACCGAGCATTCGACCAGGGCAGTGCAGTACATGGCGGTGCCTTGGAATCCCTGGCATCACCCTCCCCCGACCTGCCCCTCTTCTTCATCCCCACCTGACATCTCTCCTGTCCTTCAATACCTCCTGGGGCTGTTACTCTTCCTGGAGAAGGGGCTCTCGGTCCCCTTCCAGAAGCCTCTCATCCTCCTCCTTCTCCATGCAGCCCACTGTGGCAGCCAACCCAGCACCCACGCCACCCCCAACCACAGCGGCCCCTGTGGCCCCCACGGCAGCTCCAGCAGCCACCATCCCAGCCTCTGCAGCCAGTGCAGCTGCTGCCATGCCAGCACCCACCACGCCCCCTGCCAGGCCCATGAGCCCGGCCCCCACAGCACCCCCCACAGCAGCTAGGTGGCCACAGAAGCGCATCGTGTAGGAGTCCATGAAGGCCTTGGCCGTGGCCTGCAGCTCAGCTTCCAGTGCCTCCAAGGTCTGATCTCTCCCCTTGCAGAGTAAGGCCACACCATGGCGGGCCAGAATGGCATCTTTCTGGGTGGAGAGGAGGTTCCGCATGGTGTCTGGCAGGACCCGCAGCGCAGAGAATATGCGCTTGGTGGCTACGTCCTGTGACAGGGAGGGGAAAAGAAGGTGCCCTGACCAGGAGTCCCAGGTATCCTCTCCCTGATCTGGACCCTGCCCGGCCCACACCTGCCTCCCGTGCAGCCCCGGGGCTCACCTGCTGCCTCACATACTCCTCGAACTCCCTCTTGGCAGCTTCCACCTTCCTCAGGTCGTGCAGCTGAGCAGCCATCTGTCCACGGGAAAACCCAGGCTGCCTCCTTCCTTCCTTCTCAGCCAGGGGCGCTGCTTGTTTCCTCATCTCCACTCCCAGGGCACACAGACCCCCACCCCGGAGGCCTCGGCACAGCCCCCACCTCCCTGCCTCCCCTGTCTCCCTGCCAGAATGCTGGATCCCCCAGCGCTCATACCTCATCCGGAGAGGTGAAACCGGGCCCTGTCCTCCCCATCCATCCTGAGAGGTTCTGCGGAGATACCATCGCTGGGGTCAGGGAGAGCAGGGGCCCAGCCGAGTCGCCTGGGTCTCCAGGGAGTTTTCACACCTTGATTTCCTGAGCTAGCTGCTGCCCCGTGAGTAGGCGTCTGTCCCCCCTGGCCACGGCGCGCCCCTCGTTCCAGTACCCCTGGCAGCGGCTCTTAGCGTGCTGGGGGGCCGCACTCAGCACATCTGAGACGTAGGCCCCCAGAAGGTGGCGGAAGTCATCATCTGTGTCTGAGGGAGAGATGTGCATGCTGAGAGACTGCGGGCTTTGGGAGGAGAAGGGGTGTCAGAGGCCAGGAGAGGTGGGTGCTTCAAGGGGCTCGGTTGCCGGAGGGGAGCTGGGAGCAGCGCAAGAGAGGTTCAGCTCTCAGAGACACTCACCACCAGGGCTTGCATGGCCTTGGTTCATCCGCCGCCTCCCTGGGGCAGGCAAGAGGCAGCAACGGGCTCGCTTCCCTTGCAGCAGCTCCTGCACCTTGGGGTATCTGCCAGACAATCTCTGTGAGGCAGCGAGAGGAGTGCTCTGAGCTAGGAGGTCCAGCCTCCCATGTCTTCCCCACCTCTGCCCTGTCCATGGCCCCTCCACCCCATCCCCTTGCACCACTCACCTGGAAGATGTTGCCTACATGCCCCTGCCCTGCCTTGTTGGGGTGGGATGAGTCACGAACTAAGAGGTCCAGATGCTGAAAGAGAAGGGGTCCTGACACCAGCAAATGGGGGTGGCGGGGCCTGGGGCCAATGAATCCAGAGATAGGTGTCTCACCTGGATTGGCACCATCCCATAATGCTTGCCCATCACCTCGGCCACGTGGACAAACATCTGGGGGTGGGACACAGAAAGCGTCAGGGCTGGGCCACTTTGAGGACTATGGTGCACCCCAAGCCTGTCTCCCCACCTCCCTACGCCTGCTGTAGGAGCTAGGCTCCCCCTTTTGCAGCCTGGGGTTCTCCTGCCTCTCCCCAGACCACACATCTCTTGCTTTACTCTCCACCCTCCCCCTTCAACCCTGTTCAAGTGTCATAAAACCCTAGGCCAGACCAGGAGGGCACCTAGTTCCTTTGGGTCCAGCCCTAGTGGGGAGGGTGGGGGTGGGGGATGCCCCAACATCAGAGGTCTCTTTACCTCCAGATAGTCCAGGTCTGTATCCTTCAGCTCCTGGGAGGTGCTGAGGATCTGGAATCAGAGAGAACAACATGTATGAGAGATTACAGAGGCCGGGTGACTTCACTGGGGAAGGCCCTGGTGAGTAGGGAGCTCGCAGGCAGCCTGTGGGCCTCAGAGTATGGGAGAGGCCAGTATGGGGGCCTCGAAGGCTGCAGGGCTGGGCTGGCCTCAAGGCCGGAGACAAGCCTGGAGGGTAATGTGATCCATCAGGTCTTCAGCTGCCCCTGGGACCATCAGCCCACTTTTAGGAATAACCCACGTTCCCACCTTCACCAACTAGGAGCACCTTCCCCCTTCTAAGGCAGCCCCAGAACCTATCAGGACCCCAGACACCAAAGCCTGTGAGATGCTCTGGCCTTGAGGAAGCTGAGCTGGAGAAGGGTGTGTGGGGTGGGGATGCCAACATCAGCGCCCCCCATCACCTGGTAGGAGCTCAGCATCGTGGTGAGAGCACAGAGCTTGATCCTTGTTTCCCTGCTCAGCTCAGGGCTCATGGCATCCCCTGTGTCCACCAGGAACACCGCCACCTATGCAGGGGGTAGGGAAAGACCCAAGGGGCCAGGCCTGCCTTGTTCTCCCACATTCTTCCCAACCCTGCCCCGTCCCATCCCCATCTTCTATCCTCACCCCAGAGACGCCCTTCTTGATTCCCCTTCCCATCCCTGACCTCCTTCTGCCACTTCCCCCCTCACCTTCTTCCCTTCTTTCCCCAGCAAGAAGGGGTGGCTCCACATCCATATGCCCCTGGCGAGGCCATTGGCGCCCCACCTGCAGCCCTGCAGGGATGCCTCTCCTCCTCTTGGCCGGCCGCCCTCACCAGACTCCTGCAGGGGAGAGAAGGGAGAGCATCAGTTGGTCGGTTCCTTGTCCCCACAGACCGGAATACCAGACCCAGCTTCCCCCAGGCAGGAACCCCCATCCTTGCTCCCCGCCTCCCTCCTGCCCCGCCCCGCCCTCACCAGGCCCGGCAAGCCCTGAAGCAAATGGTTGAGGAGGAAGGACTTCCCTGAGTGCTGCTCCCCCAGGACAGCGAGGAGGCAGACTGGGGTGTCCCTGGCCAGAGGGTGCTTCAGGCAGCGGTTGATGGCCCCCATCCTAAGGATGAGGCCCCCAGAGGCATTGATGCGAACCAGCAGCAGCGGCTCCGCCCTCACAGGACACGTCTCCTGGGCCAGGAGAAGAGAGGGGCCCCTGAGCATCCAGGACCAGCTCCTGACCCTGGAATGTGTTCAGCCTGGAGCTCTGTGTCCTGATGTTCTAGAATAGGGCCAAAGCCACCCCCTCCTCTTGGGTCTGACTGATTAGGCCCAGTCCCCAGACCTGCAGTGCAGGGGGCAGCGGCCGCTGCGGCAGGAGCTTCATCTTCTCGCCCAGGCTCCGGAGGCCCCTCTTCTGCTTGCATATCTTCCGGCACTCAGGACAGCAGGGCGGCTCACAGCCCGGGAGACGGTGTGTGCTGAAGCACCGTATGCAGAAGTCGTGGCCACAGTCCAGCGAGATGGGGTCGCGCAACCTCTCCAGGCAGATGGAGCAGGTAGGGAGCTCCCGGGGCGCCATGGGCTGGGGCCCCAGGCCTAGCTCCAACTTGGGGAAAGGTGTATGGGACCTGTGGGGCAAAACAGGCCATTGAAAAGCAGGATGTCTATTGGGGGCAGGGGGTACCGGCCAGGGTTGTGGTGGAAGACTGATGGCTTGGGAGTGGAGGTCCCTTTGTGCCAACCCAATTTCCATCAGTGCCTCCATGGACAGGCGGAGCTGCTCCCAGAGAGGCCAAGCTCTGCCCGTTCCTCACTGACATGTGTCCTAGGACCTGGGGGCCTCAGAGTGGGGGCAGCAGAGCAATGGTGAGAGAGTCTGAGAGGGAGAAAATCTGAGTGGAATGGACTCCACCACATCCCAGCCATGCAAATGCAAGCAAGTTCCTTCCCCTCTCTGGGCCTCAATTTCCTAACTGTCCCAATGGAGAGGATAGCAATACCCCTCATGGGGCCGTTGGGGTGGCCATCCGAGAGGAGGCGTGTGCAGCTGTCTGCACAGTGCCTGGTGCAAATGCTTGGGAAGAGCCTCTCCCGGCGTTCTACAGCGGGGCTCCCTCCATGAGGTGCTGACTTCAGCCAGGCCCCCAGGGATGATACCCTCCACAACCCCATGCTACAGGGACAGTGAGGAGAAGCCATCAGCCTGTGCTGCAGTTGGGCAGATGGCTCTGGATCTTAGAAGATTCCTTCCGCTCTCTGCTCTGAGCTGGCATCTGCCTCCCTGCAGCACCCACCTGCTTCTTCCTGTCCCTCCCTCCACAGCCTGGCGGATCCAGCCTCAGGCGGACAGCCCTCCCGGCTGGGCTGCCGGGCTCTGTGTTCCAGGACCGGCCATTTCAACTGACCTGCCTGGCCTCACTGCACCCATCCCAGCCTGGAAGGCCCTGCTACTTACCAACTGTTGCCGCTGTTTCCCATGAAGCTCTGTTTTCTCTCCTTGGAGAAAAAAAAAAAAAAAAAAGATTTAGAACATAATCCAGACTTCTATCTTCACCCTGGATTTCCAGGGACCCCTCATCCTCCCCACCCCCGGCCCATCCCCCAGCCCAAGGAGGGCCCTTCCCACCCCACTCTCCTTCCCGATCTTAGGACTGAAGACTTGCCCGTTTGCCAAGCCGATGACAAAAGGAAGTGACTGACAAGGCGGGCCTTGGCATGGGAGGCTGGGATGGGGAGAGGGTCCGGATGCAGAGGGGGAGGCCCCGAGACCTTCAACCAGAGGTAAGGATGCCTTTTCTCCCGGAAAGGCTAGCAGGCTGCGGTAGGTAGAAGGTGAGGTCGGGGGATGGTATCCCCGAGGAGCTGACTCCCGGTCAGAGCTGGAAAAGAAATGTGACAGTCAGGAAAGAGGAGGCTGCTGCTGGACTCACCCCAGGGGGAGGAGACACGGCTGCGGGTAGCAGGGCTCCGAGGAGGGAGGGATGGAGCCCGGCTCAGAATCCCTGGCAGAGGCTGGGATGCAGGCAAGCCGAGGTGGTGAGTCGCCATGGAGACAGAAGGGAAAGATAAGGACAGGGAGGGGGAGGGGGACAGAGAGGGAGAAGGCGTGCGGTGCACCCGCAAACATGGAGGCGCCTCCGGCAGAACCATGGGCCAGCACTGCCTCTACTGGGCCAGCTGAGGTCTCCCCAGGGCCACAGGACAGGGTGGGCAAAGAGAAGAGGTGTGAGAAACAGGAGAGGGTAAGACCAGAGCTGACCCAGAGACAAGGAGTTATTCATCCATTCATCCAATGAACAGTTACTGAGTACCTACTATGTACAGAGCCCCCAAATGCAGACCCTACTTCACATGGCCCTGCACATCCTCCTGCTCTCTCTCAGGTTTATGTCATCGACGCCCAACCCAGCTGCAGCCTTCTTCAGCACTCATGGGCCCTCCGTGTCCTCTGGTGTATTTCCCTCCCAATAGCTTTCACTCTGCCTCAAACTTGAGCAGGATGAAATCTATCAAAACTATGAGCCACCTCTGGACCTTCTAATGGCCTCTTGACTGGGCTCCTTGCCTCCCTTCCACTCCCCAGTGCACAGCCAGCATAGGCTCCCCAAGCACAGATGACCTCACACTGCGCAAACACCTTTTGTGTCTCCCTACTACCATCAGATCAAAATCCAAACTCTCCGGCCTGCGGACTGGGCTGAACCTTCCTTCCACCCTTCTCTCGCCCCACTCTTCCCTGCCTCTGCACCCTGGCTTGGCTGCTCTGCTCCTTCTCATCCCTCCTGGGACACCCTCTTAGGCCCAGTGCAGGTGCTGTGGCCTCCCTAGAGCCTCCTTTCCTCACCCCTCCCAACTGGGTGCGGTCTTGTTCTTGGACAGTTGAGGGCTGGGATATGTGATAGGCTTGGCGCAGCCCAGGCTTCAGAGCCAGGCAGATCTGGGCTTGATTCTCGGCTCAGGGGCTCTGGGACTCCACTGCACCTCTCTGTGCTCTGAGGAGCCACCATTACCTATGTAAAGCCACTAGTCCAGGCACGGGAGTCATTCGTACATCCTATGAGCTAGGATGCAGAAGGGTTGGGGTGAGGTGGGATTCAGAACCTAGAAAAGTTCAGCAGAGACCACCTTCAGCAGGTGGAGACACCCCTGAAGCTGGGGCTGGATCTTGTTCATTTTGGTGTCTGGAGGGCCTGAGATTGTGGGGCTGAATCAATCAGATTCAGAGAAGCAGTGCCATAGACTCTGCCTCCTCCTGCCCCAGGTGGGACAAGCCCCTGTGTGTTGGCAGCAAAGCCTCACACTCAGGGGATGAGGAAGCAAGCCTGAGCCGTGCCACAGCTCTGCCTTCAGGGCAGAAGGGAGGGTTTTCTCAACCCCTGTAGCCTTTCATCCTTGCAGGAGAGAAAGCGTGGGCGCTGGACTCAGATTCAAGCTCTAAACCTGCCTCCATCCCAGCATGAAATGCTGGTGAGTCACTGCCCTCTCTGAGCTTCCATTTGCTCATCACCAGGCAAAGATGTGAGGAAGCAGATGGGACAATCAGTCTTCACTTAATGATACTTACTGAGCACCAGGTACTGTGTCTCACACTGCAGTACAGCTGGAAACAAGAGAGACAAAGCTCCATCCTCCCCAAGATCCCAACTGGACAATTAAAAGGCATTGCTATGATCTGGGTGAGAACCTGGATGCGGGGAGGGTGAGGAGGGGTGTCAGGCTGTCCTGATAAGCAAGGAGGTAGAAAAAGGTTGTCAAGGCAGGGCAAACCACAGGTACAGGGCCCAGAGGAGAGGGGACACAGAACCCATTCTGGGGAACAAAGGAGGTCCGGCTGGCCTGGCAGGAATATTTGATGCAAAGATGGGTGCACCAAGGTGAAGGGCAGAGCAGGCCTGGGTCATGCAGGCCCTCAGGGGCCAAAGGAGGGGATAGGGACTTCACCAGTCAGTATCTCAGGAGGGATCCCGCAGGGCAAACATGTATGGTAGAAGCCTCACTCTTAGGGCTGGCTATATAATTTTATTTATTAATTATTGTTATTATTATTATTATTTGAGATGGAGTTTCGCTCTTGCTCAGGCTGGAGTGCAATGGCATGATCTCGGCTCACTGCAACCTCCGCCTCCCAGGTTCACGCGATTCTCCTGCCTCAGCCTCCTGAGTAGCTGGGATTAGAGGCATGTGCCATGACATCTGGCTAATTTTTGAATTTTTAGTAGAGACGGGGTTTCTCCATGTTAGTTAGGCTGGTCTTGAACTCCCGACCTCAGGTGATCTGCCTGCCTTGGCCTCCCAAAGTGCTGGGATTACAGGTGTCAGCCACCACGCCTGGCCAATTTTGTTGTTGTTGTTGTTGTTGTTGAGATAGGGTTTTACTCTGTCACCCAGGCTGGAGTACAGTGGTGTGATCTCAGCTCACTGCAACCTCTGCCTCCTGGGTTCAAGCAATTCTCCAGACTCAGCCTCTCCAGTAGCTGGGACCCCAGGTGCACACCACCATGCCCAGATACTTTTTGTATTTTTTTGTAGAGACGGGGTTTCATCATGTTGCCCAGGCTGTTCTTAAACTCCTGAGCTCAAAGTGATCTGCTTATCTCGGCCTCCCAAAGTCCTAGGATTACAGGCATAAGCCATGGTGCCTGGCCAGGCTAGCTATACAATTTGTGGATTTGGTGAAAAATGTAACTGCAAAGCCCCCACCAGAGGCAAGAAAGTCCATTGCCTCTTCTAATGGCACATTGCCTCCACACATGGCCAACAGGCAGCCCCTCCAGATTGCCACAGTCATTTTAGGACACGCTCAATACCTGGATTGGGGGTCGGGGAGAAGCCTATGCTAAGTTTCAGCCCAGGGAGGGGAGAGCCACCACTCTGTCACACCCTAAGATGCCAGGGGCCAATCCAGCAGTCCCCAGTCCTCCTTGAGCCTGCATTCAGGCCTCCAGATGAAGGGGGGCAGCCATGGTGGGGCAGAGGTGGGGACACTGGGAGCCTGGGAGTGGGCAGCCAAGAGCCTGTGCTGGGGAGGCAGTGGGACATGGGACACACACAAACCAGCTTCCGAATTCCCAGTGAAGGCGCCATTTTCCCATCAGACTTCACTCACAAAGCACAAATTCAATGCTAAAATGATTGTTTCAAGATGGTGACCAGAGCACTGAAGCCCAAGCACACAGCCCTTCTGAGCTCTCGCCTTGAGTGGCTGCACTGGATGCATACCTGGGAAGCTGGCCCCTCCCACTCTGGCTGCTGTATGGACAACAGACTAGAGGGGCAAGCGGGGAGGCTGAGGGTGCTGCTGGGGAAGTCAAGGCCACAAGTGGAAATACAGATCCACTTGGGATCATACCCGGGCACCTAAAAGAGGGCATTCCCCAAGGCACGGTACAGGCCGACCAGGTGGATAGGAGACGGGAGGAACACCAGGCCTGCTCCTGGATAAAGGATGGGATAAAGGATGGGCCCTGCTCCTTTGCAGCCAGAGGCCTCTGATGCTATCTAGGGCCCCAAGGGGAACCCCTGGCCCAGGGAGGCCAGGTGTGGTGGTCCTGGGTCCATGTCTATGGGCAGCCCCGCTTTATCCATTATGCTCCATGAGTCTCTTGAGTCTACGGTCTATGAGAATGTTTGAAACCTAATGGAAAAATGAGACTCTCCAAACCACAAAAAGAAAATTTCAAAATCAAAAGTAACACCCACTTAGTTTAATGTCCCAGTACCCCTTACATGATGTTAGCTGGTAAACCCAGCTCGAGTTATCATCTGTAAAGTCAGATTCAAGTCATGAGTGCACTGATTCAACAAATGTTTACTGAGCACCTACTAAGTGCTGGGCACAGTGCTAGGTTCTGAGGAGTCAGGGTGACCAAAACAGAGAAAGTAATGGCAGTAAAGTGTTGAGACATCGACCGGGCATGGTGGCTCACACCTGTAATCTCAGCACTTTGAGAGGCCGAGGTGGGTGGATTGCTTCAGCTCAGGAGTTCGAGAACAGTCTGGGCAACTTGGTGAAACCCTGTCTGTACATACACACACACACACACACACACACACACACACACACACACACACAATTAGTCAGGCATGGTGGTGCACAGCTGCTCAGGAGGCTGAAATGGGAGGATCACTTGAGCCTAGGAAGTGGAGGTTGCAGTGAGCCGAGATTGCACCACTGTACCCAGTATGGGTGACAGAGTGAGACCCTGTCTCAAAAAAAAAAAAAGTGTTCAGACATCAAAATAAATAATGTGTCTTATCAAAAGATGATCCTATCCTTTGAAAAATATTAATGGCAAAAAATTTCAACTCAACCTGGGCTGTGGATACCACGTGTTTTAATGTGTTTGCTCTGATTAGAGAGAGTCCTCCTGACAGTCAAAGGGCCCAGGGCCTGCAAAGTTCTTGAGCCTGGCAGCTAAGGCCCTCATAGGAGGATGACTACCCCACGTGGACCTCAGCGAATCTGAAAAGGAATGGAAGAAACTCCACTCTGCCTAGTTCCTTGCTTTCTAACCATGGTGAGGCTACCACACAGGTTTCTCATGGTGCCCCTAACTGGCCTCTGACCTTCCCCAGGGACTCAACGGGACAGGAAGAGCCACACTAAGCCAGGCCTGGTCCTGCAAGGTGGACAGGCCCTCAGGGTGCTGCTGGGGGCTGAGCAGTGACTTGAGTGAGAATGGAGTCCACAGAGAGGGTTGGGGTGGGAGGGGAGGTCCTGGGTTTCGGGGGTGGAGCTTGAACTGTGGGAGGGAGCGAATTGCAGGCCCTAGAGACAGACTTATTTCTCATTTCATCCGTTGTCCATTCATTCACCAACAAATATTGGCCAAGTTGGTGTGAGGTGCTTCTACCCAGCAAAGAAATGCCAGGAATATGGCCATCACTCACCCAGACAGGATCACTACCTTCGAGACCTTGCACAGACTCAAGGAGTATGGACCTGGGAGTCCCAGCGCACGCTGGGCTGGCCCTGCACCATCAACTAGCTCCATGCCATCCACCCTGTCAGATCTCTGCCCAAATCCAGCCCTTGGCCTCCAGATCCTGAAGCTGAAAGCTCCCAGCACCTGCTCTCCCTCTGCCTCTTCCATCCTTGTGAACAAGCGGCCCAGCTCAGGCCACTAACCTGACTTCCTGACCTCTGGCTCTAGCTTCCAGGCTGGGAGTTGGAGTGGAGGTGGACTCATTTTTGGAATAACCAGCCTCAGGAGTCAAAAATACAGTTTTACAGACTGGAACCCTGTTTGGGGAGGTTTCTGAGTCCCTTGATGTACGCAAGAGCCAGCTTCACACACAAACGCACACGCACACACACATGCATGCATGCACACACCTGGTCAGCCCTCCCCCAACATACTATTCCATGTAAATCCTCACACATACCATACACATATGGTCAAAATACTCCATGTATCCCACACTCTGTGCTCACACATTGTGCCACATGCACATCCATGACTCCACCTTGCCCGATATAGACCCACAGTGCTCACACACACACACAAACATGCATACACAGTTACACCCTCACAACCGCACTTGCACATCCACATCCATTCACATGCTCACTCCTTCATACTCACACACAAATATGTGTGTACCTTCAGGCCTCATGCTCATGGACATTTACACACGGGCTCACTCTTACTGCCTTACACGCACACGCACACATCATACATCCTTACCCAACAGGCGCTGTTCCAAGCACTTTATGTGATAAGCTCACCCCGAGTAACACAACCTATGAGGGAGGTACTATATCACTTCCATTGTATAGATGAGGGAACTGAAGCACAGAGAGGTTAAGTCACTTGTCTAACACCACACAGCTATTAATGGCAGAGCTGGAATCCAAACCCAAGCCATCAGGCTCCCCAATCCAAGCTCTTAGCCACTACATTCCATGGTCTGTTTGGTGGCAGAAATAAAGTTAGTTATTACAATAAGCCTTGGAAAGAGTTTGTAGTTTTGCTGTGTCTCAGTTTGCCATCACTTTCCTCAGAAGGGGATAAAAATCAGTCCAGCCTCTGTCTATGCAGAATATTGGAAACAGGCAACTGAGTTCTGACTGGTTCTGACCGCAGCTTGCTGTGTGACCTCAGGCAAGTCCTTGATCTTCTCTGGGCCTGTTTCCTGATGTGTGAATGTCGGCGGGGGGCCAATGAGATCAGAGGTCCCTTTGGGTGGAACGCCCCCAGTCCTCTCCCACCTCTTAGCCTGGGAGCTGGCCTTCATGAAGCCTGGCACTGTGGGCATTGCCCTGGTAAGCACTGGGTCTTAGCCTGTTTCTGCTGCAATAACACAATACCACAGACTGGGTAATTTATAATGAGCAGAAATGTATTTGGCTCAAGGTTCTGGAGGCTGGGAAGTCTAAGAACAAAGGACTGCATCTGATGAGGGTCTTACTGCTGTGTCATCACATGGCAGAAGCCATTACAGGGACAAGAGAGAGAGGAAAGGGGACCAAACTCATCCTTTTATAAAAGAACTCATTCCCGAGGTGACAGCATTAATCCATTCCTGAGGTGACCTTTAATCACCTCTTAAAGGTCCCATCTCTCAAACCATTGCATTGAGGATTAAGTTTCCAGCACTTGAACTTTGGAAGACACAGTCACCATCTTGTTTATCTTCTGCCCACTCACCCACCCATGCATTCATTCATTCTCCATTCCTCCAACCATCTATCCATGCATGCACTGATTATCTACCTATTTATCCATCAAGATAAATGCATTATCTACCTATTTATCCATCCACTCACTCAATCACCCATGCACTCATTATCCATCCATTAATTCATCTATGTATCCACCATTCATTTCTTTCTTTTTTTCTTTTTTTTTTTTTTTTTCAGACAGAGTCTTGCTCTATCACCCAGGCGGGAGTGCAGTGGCACAATCTCGGCTCACTGCAACCTCCATCTCCTGGGTTCAGGCAATTCTCCTGCCTCAGCCTCCCGGGTACCTGGGATTACAACTGTGCGCCACCACACCCGGCTAATTTTTTTGTATTTTTAGTAGAAACTTTTGTATTTTTAGTAGAGATGGGTTTTCACCATGTTGGCCAGGCTGGTCTTGAACTTCTGACCTCAAGTCATCTGCCCACCTCCACCTCCCAAAGTGCTGGGATTATAGATATGAGCCACCACACCTGACCTCATTTCTTATATTCTTTCATCCATCCATTCTCCAACTACCAATCCACGCATGCACACATGCATGATTTGCTCCATCCATCCACCCACACATACACACATCTTTTCATCCATCACTCCTCCACTATCTGTGTATCTACTCATCCACCATCTACTCTTACACTTATCCATCCATGCATGGATTCATCCATCTGTCCATGTTACAAACATTTATTGAGCAATACACCAGACATCATACTAGGCTCTGGGAGTAGACTGATGAGCCCTCAGGGTGCTTCCAGTCTACTGGGGAGACAGAAAGGAAAATAAACAAGTACGGGGTGGTAAGTTCTCTGATTAGGTAGAGTGAGGGGAGATGCACGAGGAACAAGCAAAGGCACCTTGCTCAGACCTGGGCACCTAGGAAGGCTTCCCACAAAAGCTGCATCTGAAGGATGAATATGAGGTGGACAGGCAAAGGAATGGGGACAGGCAAACAACATGTGCGGCAAAGAGACCAGCCCATGCAAAGACACAGAGCTGCAAGATAAACAGCTCACCTGGAATGCAGCATGTGAAGCGAGGAGAGGTAAGGGTGATGGGCCAGTCACAGAGAGGTGTGTAAGCCCTCCCTTGGTGTCATCCCTTAGTCCATGCCTGTACGTTGCTTTCTTGCAGGGCTTGGGACACCTGCTGTCCTGCTGAACCAATGGCCTCTGGGTGCTGCTGGCTGTAGTGAGCTGGTGTCCATGCCAACATGGCTGCCTTCCCCATCCGGGTCCTGACCCTGGCCCCAAGGTGCAGCAGCATCTGCTCCCTGTGGCTGCCCTCCTCCTGTCCCCCAGGCCCAGTGGCCCTCCTTGCTCTCGCCACAGCTGTGTCTGTGCCAGGTCCCCTTGTGTGAGCATCAAAGGCCAGGCCTTCCTATCAGCAGCTGGAAGGAAGTCAGAGCTCCCCAGCTTTACTTCTGAAGCCCCCCATCATCAATCTGGTACTAGGCATCCTGAAACAACTAATAATAGTACAATTATCCAACATTTGCTTAGCAATTTAGGGCTCACAATGTGTTGTTATGTGCCCTACTACCTCAACTGATTCTCATAATACAGTGACTATTAGCCCTGCTTTCTGAATGAGGAAACTGAGGTTTAGAGAGCTAAGGAAACCTTCCAATGACAGCCCTGGAAGAAATAAAATGCCCTGACTCCCAATCCCGGGCCGTCCCCTCCTTTCTGGCCTGCTGTGTGCTGTGGTCTCCCAACATTCACACCTCCACACCTTTGCCCCAGCCACTCTCCTTGCCTTGAACACCCTTGCCAGTCTCTGCCTGCCTTCATGAAACCCATCACCCAGGCCCAGGTTGGCTCAGAGTTTCTACAGGGAACCCTTCCTCATCCTTCTCTCTCCTCCCCTTTGCTCTTCAAACTTATGAAATGCCTCCGATGTACCAAGCATGTACCCAGAGTGATGCTGGATGCAGAGACTACAACAAATAACAAGATGTGGTCTGTTAAATAAGATTTATAGGAGGTTATTGGTCTGGATTGAGCTCCTGGATAAGCTCCAACAGATCAAACCAAAAAGGATTCACTCATGCTGAAGTTCCATGCTACAAAGCCAAAACTAAATTGTTTATCTGATCTTCCAAGAAATCAGGACACAAAGAGATAATAGCCAAATCCCCAAACAGGCCACTTTTAGCCAGCATGATAGGAAGTCCCCTCTGCTTTAACTTTTACAAGGAAAGTAACTTTGAAATCAGTCTGCTTTTTGTTCTGTCTGCTTACTTCAGCCCTTTTTGCCTGTAAAGCCAATCTCCTCTGTTCAGCTCGTCAAATAATCATTCTGTTTTATAAGAATGAGGTGTTGCCCAATTCTAAAATTTCAAATAAAAGCCAATTAGGTCTTTAAACTAAATTTATTGTCATTTTGTCTTTTGACAGGTCCCTGCCCTGAGGAGCTCAAAGACTATGTGCAAACAAGGAAGCAGCTGCCTTGCAGCACATCCCTTGCTGTATAGGAGCTGCCCAGGGAAATGTGGGAGCCTGGAGGAAGCCCCTCACTCAGACTTGGGAGTCAGCAAGGCTCAGTCTTGCAGGATAAGGGAGTTAGCAGGGTAAACGTTGTTGAGGGCTGGGACTCCAGACACAGGGGACAGCACGTGCAAAGGCCTGGCAGTGAGTTGGCAGGGCAGGTTCAGTGTGGGTGCGGCTGGAGCACAGGGTGAGGGCTGGCAAGAAGGAAGGATAGAGGCAGGGTAAGGGGACCAAGGTCAGTCAGCAGGGAACAGATGATGGAGGGCCATGTGGCAGATTTTTGGATTTTTGCTGCATGTCAGTGGAGCCATAAACTATTTTAAGCAGGGATACATGTGAACAGATTTGTGTTCTTGAACCATTATTCTGAGCGTCCACCGGGACAGACTGGAGGAGACACCTTGCTACTTTCAACAGCCACTTTGCATTAGGCGCTTTTGAGTACTGACAACATCCTCGAGCTAGGCCTCTAGTGACAGACATCTAGAGCATTGCTAACATTTTGCTATAACAAATAGCACTGTAGCACATATTACTATTCTTACCCCGTTTCCACTTGGGTAAGTATAATTTAAGGATATCTTCACCAACACAGAGCAAAATCATACATATTGATCTTTGCTGATTTTGGCTACAAATGTTAAAGGATGATTTTTGTCTCTTATGCAGGGAGTTTTTCAGTTATCTATCTGCCATGTCAAAAACAGCTTTACTTTATTTTTATTTTATTTATTTATTTATTTTTTATTTTTATTTTTTGAGATGGAGTCTCGCTCTGTCACCCAGGCTGGAGTGCAGTGGCAGGATCTTGGCTCACTGCAACCTCCGCCTCCCGGATTCAAGTGATTCTCCTGCCTTAGCCTCCTGAGTAGCTGGGATTACAGGCGCGCACCACCACGCCCAGCTAATTTTTGTATTTTTAGTAGACATGGGGTTTCACCACGTTGGACAGGCTGGTCTCGAACTCCTGATCTCGTGATCCACCCGCCTCAGCCTCCCAAAGTGCTGGGATTACAGGTGTGAACCACCGCACCCGGCCAATTTTATTTTATTTTTTTGAGATGGAGTCTTGCTCTGTCGCCAGGCTGGAGTGCAGTGGCACTATCTTGGCTTACTGCAACCTCTGATTCGCAGGTTCAAGCAATTCTCCTGCCTCAGCCTCCCAAATAGCTGGGATTACAGGTGCCTGCCACCAAGCCCAAATAACTGGAGCCCCATCTTTTTAACCCTCACAACCCTTGAGGTGGATATAAGCCGCCCACTACCCCACACACACACAATTTTATAGATGAGAAAACAGAGAATTGGAGAAGTTAAATTACTTCCCCAAACCTCATACCAATATCTCATTTGAAGCTTTAACAGTGAAAACAGTCAGGCCTGGGGTAGCCCAACAAACATTTGCTGGATTTATTGAAAAAAGTGGGAAAGACAAAATTCAAATATGGGCTGCCTCTCCAGAGCTATGAAGCATGGGGCACAAGGGGTGGGGTGAGGGTGGGAGGGTGAGGACAGGAAGGAAGGTGGGCTTCAGAGGCAGGTTCGAAGCAGGACATACAAGTTGGGAGGCACTAGCTGATGAGGACAACAGGGGAGAAGGAAGTCATAAGAGTCAAGTTAGAAGACACCTTGAGCACCCTTCTGGATGTCCACACTGGCTAGCAGTCCCTGGCTGCTGGCAGCCAACCTACCATTAGGTATCATCTCCCCTGCTCCAAGTCAGAATCGAGACCAGGCTCCAGACCCCTCTCCTCTGCTGTACCACCCCCATTCCAACTTGCATACTGCCCATTAGGACCCTGGGACTGGAGTATCCAGGCAGTCAGCCAGGAAGTTGACAGATGTGGCCAGCTGGCCCTTGTGGAGCAAACTTCCCTCCACAGACTATGCCCAACTGGATCCAGGACCCATAGACCCCTCTGGAGTAAGAGGCAGCCCCATGCAGCTGGTTTGATAGGCAGACAATGGAGCCAGAGGCCTGCTGCAGTCCAGGCCTCTGCATGTAAGCCTCTGTTGGCCCACTGACCTATGCCATCCTTCAACCTGACTGGCAAGGTTATGTGCGTTCTGGGCAGCACCCAGGCTGTGGCACCAAACAGGCCTTGGTTCAAATACTGGTTCCACTCAACTCACTAGGCAAAGTCACTTCTCTCACTCAAGCTCAGTTTCCTCAGTGGTAAAACTGAAGATACAATTACTCCCATGTAGGGTCAGTGCAGAAAGCCTGGTGAATAGTAGGTGCTCAATAAATGCTAGCCTGGTTTTTTGTTTTTTTGTTTTTTTTTTTGAGACGGAGCTTGCTCTGTTGCCAGGCTAGAGTGCAGTGGCACCATCTTGGCTCACTGCAACCTCCGACCCTCTGGTTCAAATGATTCTCCTGCCTCAGCCTCCCAAGTAGCTGGGATTACAGGCACACACCACCACACCCAGCTAATTTTTGTGTTTTTAGTGGAGACGGGGTTTTACTATGTTGGCCAGGATGGTCTCGAACTCCTGACCTTGTGATCCGCCCGCCTCGGCCTCCCAAAGTGTTGGGATTACAGGCATGAGCCACCGGGCCCGGCCAATGCTACCCTGTTAATCAGCCTTGGAAGCAAGTCTGGGCCACTTACCTCAGTGTGCCCAGATGTCCCCAAGCATCAGTCCTGCCCCATCTTGGATCTCAGACCAACCCCCACAAGACCTCGCCTCTTTTTCTTTGTCAAAGGAAAATCCAAGAGATTCTTACAGAAGAAGGGCTTTTTACACAGTAGGCCTGAGAACAGACATCCAATGGATAAAGAAGTACAGTTTTCCATTAGTTTATTACAATGATAATAATGATCATGTCTATTTACTGGGCTCCTACTATATGCTGAGTCCTTGTAACAACAGAATCTCCCATCCTCCCCACATTTCTCTAAAGGTGAAAATATTGGCTCCATTTTACAGATGAGGAAACTGAGGCTATCCAAGTGACCTGCAGCCAAGCCTATCTCCTATCTAGTCTCTACCATTTGTTTCTCTCTGTCTCTTTCTCTTGCAGACACATGGTATTTCTTCTTCCTCTCTCTCTAACCCCATTTGCTCTCCCTATCACAACACCATAATCCAGGGCCGGGCAGAGCAAAGCAGCCACAGCAGTCATGTCCTTAGCAATCCATAATACAGCATGTTTGCTGACAAAATGAATGTGGAGTACAGTTAGGCAACAGGAAATTAACAGCTGACCCCAGAGGTCAGGAAAGAGGGTGTACAAAAACTGAAATGTGCTTCTGCTTCCTGACAATGAGTCTGATGCCAGAAAGAGCAGAGGTTCCCCACCCACATCAGGCAGCCCTGGACTGCTTGACCCTGACTGATGACCCAGTGCCAAAGAGGAGGGTGGTGACCCATGGAGCCCAGGCCACCCCACCCCACCCACAGGAGCCATCAGGGACAGATGATGGTGTCTGAGAACACTCAGGCCATCAGTCCCTCCCCTGCCTCCCACCAATCCATTTTCCACCTGGCAGCCAGCCCAATTTTTTACAGATGCAAATAAAAATGTGTCACTCCTCACAGGAAGCCTGCTGTGGTGCTAGGAATCTGGGTGGTAGTTCCCAGGTACACATTTGTAAATACTGGTCTACGTCACTCTATGTAACTTAGGCCTCATAATTCTTTTTAAGGAACTTCCACTTGTGGGAAGATGGAGTAGGTATATTTTTTCCTGTACTTCCTGCTAAGTACAACTAAAAACCTGGGACATCACGTACAAGACAAACATGAGAAGACTCTGAAAGGTGGAGAAAAGAAGGCAGGCGGGCCAGGGACATCAGGACTGAGGACAGTGGCGACTCTCCTAGGCTTTCTTTTTGTCTCATTATCCCAGAATGGGTACTGGAGAAGCTGGCAGTCTGGAAATGCCAACAGCCACTACAAAAAAAAACCCTCAACAAAACCTGCTATCTGTAGCCAAAGGACCAGGAAAAGGGCGGCCTGGCAAGACAGAAAATTCCTAGGCAATAAATACCCTACTGCAGCCAAACGCCACAGGAAAGTATGCAGCTCCACCCACCCATGCCACAAAGGCTGAATGGGGAGACTAGACCTCCTCCTGACTAGGCAGTAACGAGGGGTCCCAACATCCCCAGCTGGGTGGTAACAGAGAAGGCCAAGTAGGAGCCAGGACTTGCATCCCAGCCATTACAGGTGCTCTCCCTGACCTTGCAGTGTTAGTGGAGACCACGTGGGGAGCTGAAACTTGCACCCTGTCCAACAGTAACAGGGAATCCCCCTCTTAAGTGTCAACAGAAGCAAACTGAGGAACCTGGACTTCTACCCCCACCTGGCGGTACTGAGGCAGTGCCACCCCTTTCCCGGCCAGAGGGGTGTCAGAGGCCAGCTAAAACAAGTTTAGGCTGGGTGTGGTGGCCAACACCTGTAATCCCAACACTTAGGGAAGTCAAGGTGGGTGAATCACTTGAGGCCAGGAGTTCCGGACCAGCCTGGGCAACATGGTGAAAGCCCATCTCTACTATCAGGTTGATGCAAAAGTAAGTGTTTTTGCCATTAATGGCAAAGTCACAATTACTTTTGCACCAACCTAATAAAAATACAAAATTTAGCCAGGCATGGTAGCATGTCCCTGTAGTCCCAACTACTTGGGAGGCTGAGGCAGGAGAATCGTTTGAACCTGGGAGGTGGAGGTTGCAGTGAGCCAAGATTACGCCACTGCACTCCAGCCTGGGTGACAGAGCAAGACTCAGTCTCAAAAAAACAAACAAACAAACAAACAAAAAACAGGTTTAAATAAGACCCAGCGTTTCATAACATAATACAAAATGTCCACGTTTCAATCAAAAAGTATTAATCATATAAAGAACCAGCAAATCTCAAACTGAATGACAAAGGATAACTGATAGATGCCAACACTGAGATGACTGGGATGTCAGGATTAGCTGACAAAGGTTTAAAATGGCTGTGATAAAATGCTTCAATGAGCAACTGCAAACACACTTGAAACAAATGAAAACATAGAAAGCCTCAGCAAAAAAAAAAAAAGAAAGAAAAGTAAAAGAAAAAAAAAAGAAGGAGCTATAAAGAACCAAATGGAAACTTTAAAACCAAAAAATACAATAATCAAAATAAAAACCTCAGTGGATGGGCTCAAGAGCAGAATGGAGAGGACAGAGGGAACAATCAGTGAATTCCAAGACAAAACAATAGAGCTACCTAATCTGACAAAAGAGAGAAAAAAGACTGGAAAAAATATGAACAGACTCATGGACCTGGGGAACTATCGTACAACAAAGATCTAACATTTGTGTCACTGGAGTCCTTAGAGGAAAGAAGGAGTGTGAGGCAAAAAGAAGTACTCAAATCAATAATGGCTGAAAACTCCCCAAATTTGACAAGAGACATAAGCCAACAACAGATTAAAAAGGTGAGCAAGCCGGGCTCGGTGGCTCACGCCTGTAATCCCAGCACTTTGGGAGGCCGAGGCAGACGGATCATGAGGTCAGGAGATCGAGACCATCCTGGCTAACACGGTGAAACCCCAACATGGTGAAACCCCGTCTCTACTAAAAATACAAAAAATTAGCTGGGCGTGATGGCAGGTGCCTGTAGTCCTGGCTACTCAGGAGGCTGAGGCAGGAGAATGGTGTGAACCCGGGAGGCAGAGCTTGCAGTGAGCCGAGACTGTGCCACTACACTTCCAGCCTGGGTGACAAAGCAAGACTCTGTCTCAAAAAAAAAAAAAAAAAAAGGAGTGACCAAATCCTAATCAGGATAACTCCCAAAAATTCATGGCAAAACACATTATAAATTTCTGAAAACTAAAAACTAAGAAAATAATATATAAAGCACCTAGGCAAAAATGCTTTATTTACAGGGGGAAAGCAATTTAAATGACAACAAACATCTCTTGAAAAACCATGGAGGCCTAAAAGATGTATCACAATATTTCTCAGGAAAAAAAAAAAATCTCCAGCCCCACGTGATTTCCCTGAAGAATTCTACCAAACTTTTACAAAAGAATTAACACAGGGCCAGGCTCAGTGGCTCATGCCGATAATCCCAGCACTTTGGGAGGCCAAGGACGGAGGATTGCTTGAGCCCAGGAGGGTGAGGCTGCAGGAAGCCATGATCACACCACTGCACTCCAGTCTGGGTGACAGAGTAAGATCCTATTTCAAAAAAACAAACAAAAAAAAGAATTAAAACTAGTTATATAAAATATCTTCCAGAAAACGGAAGGAAAGAGAAGGAAATACTTCCCAATTCATTACAAAGCTATTATGACCCTGTATCAAAACCAAAGATGGTACTTAAAAAAAAGTTCAGACTAATATTCCTCATGAATAGGTGCAAAAATTCTTAACAGAATATTACCAAATAGAATTCAGCAATATAAAAATAATTCTACACTATGACCAAGTGTAATTTATTCTAGAAATGAGAGATTGGTTCGATATTTGAAAATCAATCAATATAACCCACCAAGTGAATAGGCTAAAGAAGAAAACCCATAGGATTATATCAATCAATGTGGAAAAAGTATTTGAAAAAATTCAACACCCCATGAATGATAAATTGTCAGAAAAGTAGGAATACAGGGGAAATTTCTCAACTTGATAAAGAGCATCTACAAAAAACCTACAGGTAACATTATTCCTAACAGTGAAAGACTGAATGCTTGCTTTCTTTTTTTTTGAGACAGGGTCTGACTCTGTCACCGTGGCTGGAGTGTAGTGGTGCAATCACAGCTCACTGCAGCCTCAATCTCCTGGGCTCAAGTGATCCTCCCACCTCAGCCTCCCAAAGTGTTGGGATTACAGGCGTGAGCCACCGCACCTGGCCTTGGATGCTTTTTTGCTAAAATCAGGAACGAGGCAATATCTGCTCTCATCATTCTTATTCAACACAGGATTAGAAATTCTAGCCAGTGCAGTAAGACCAGAAAAGGAGATAACAGATATACAAATAGGAAAGGATGAAATAAACTTTCCCCTATTTGCAGATGACCTAATTATCTATGTAGAAAATCCTAAGGAATCTACAAAAAGAAGGGGGAAAAAAAGAACTTGACTTCTATAAATATTAACTCAAAGTGGATCACCAACTTAAATGTAAAATTATAAAACTAGAAAAAAATAGAAGATCTTTGGGACCTAGGACTAGGCAAAAAGTTGCTAGATATAATACCAAAAACACAATCCATTAAAGTTGATTAATTCAACTTAATCAAAATTTAAAATGTTTGCTCTATAAAAGACTGGCCCTGTTAAGAGGATAAAAAGACAAGCCACAGAATGGGTAAAAATATTTGCAAACCACATAGCTGACAATGCACTAGTATCTAGAATACATAAAGGTCTCTCAAAACTCCAGCAGTAAAAAAGCAAATTGTCCAATTAGAACATGGGTTGGGGGAGCGGGTGCAGTGGCTCATGCCTGTAATCCCAGCACGTTGGGAGGCTGAGGCCAGAGGATTGCTTGAGTCCAGGAGTTAGAGACCAGCCTGGGCAACATGGCAAAACCACGTCTCTAAAAAATATACAAAAATTAGACAAGCATGGTGGCACACGCCTGTAGTCCCAGCTACTTGGGAGGCTGAGGTGGGAGGATGGCCTGAACCTAGGAGGTTGAGGCTGCAGTGAGCTGAGATTGCATCACTACACCCAGCCTGGGTGACAGAGCAAGCCCCTGTCTCAAAAATAAAAGAACATGGGCAAAAGACATGAACAGATTTTTCACTGAAAAAGATATACAGATGGCAAACAAGCACATGAAAAGATGTTCAACATCGTTTGCTATTAAATAATTCAAATTAAAATCACAAGACATCATTACATACATATAAGACTAAAAGTAAAAAATAACGACAATACTAAATGCTGGCAAAGATATGGAACAGCAATCATTCATTGCTGGTAGGAATATAAAATGGTACAGATACTTCAGAAGATAGTTTGGCAGTTTTTCACAAAACTAAACATAGTCTTACCATATGATCCAGCAATCATGCTCCTTGGTATTTACCCAAGTGAGTTGAAAATGTATGTCCACACAAAACCTGTACACAGATGTTTATAGCAGCTTTATTCATAATCACCCAAACCTGGAAGCAACCAACATGTCCTTTATTAAGTGAATGGATAAATAAACTGTGGTACATCCAGACAATTGCATATTATTCAGTGTTGAAAAGAAGTAAGCTAACACACCGTGAGAAGACATGCAGGAAACTTAAATGCATATTGCTAAGTGAAAGAAGCCAATCTGAAAAGGCTACAAATTATTATATGATTACAGCTATATGACATTCTGGAAAAGATAAAATTATGGAGACACTAAAAAGTTCAGTAGTTGCCAGGGGGTTAGGGGGAGGAAGAGATGGTTGGCAGAGCACAGAGGATTTTTAGGGAAATATATAATACAGGATCAATTTAAGAGATTCAATATCCAACTAATAAAATTATCACAAACAGAACAGAGAAAAGGGAGGAAAGAAATAGCCAAAGAAGTAATAGAAAAGAATTTTCTCAGAACTGAAGGAAACAAACCTCCACTCGCTGGCCAGCACAATGAAAGACTCAACCCCAGGACTCATCAAACACAGGGCTAGGGACTGCTGTTTCTCCATAAACGGCCTCCAAGTACCCCTCTTATCCCAATTATACACATGCATTTGTTTATTTAAACACAAAAAGACCTCTAATCTGTATGCTTTCTCCCCAGTTATGTAGCATCTACACATCAAAGTAAAATCAGGAACCTAAGTTACATTATCTCAATATACCCTAATCCCAAAGGCCCTTGGGATCAAGTTCAAATGTTTTAGCCTACATTCAACACCCTCCCCATCTCTAATCTGCCTCTTCTCTCTGCCACATCCTGAGCTCCATCAACTGATCTTGTCCCAAACTATAAAAAGGTGGGGAGAGACACTAAATCCCTCCTAAAACCTTCCCCCATGTTACAGAAATAAGACAGAGTGTTCCCCACCACAAAATGTCTGTGTCTGCCCTTGGACACAGAGTTTGCCATTACCATCTCCACACTACGGCCTTCTGGACATGCCCTGTTCCAAACTTTGGCCCCACTCCTGCTACCTTCCTGCTTCATTTTTCATAGTACTTATCATTTCACTTTACTTTTCTTTCTCTTCTGTAGCTCCAGGAGGGCTGGAGATTCTGTCTTGTGCACGGTTGCCTATAAAGGGTTAAAGAGTGCCTGGTGCTTCTAAGATGCTTGTTATGGGATGAATCGTGTACCCCAACATTCACACTGAAGCTGTACCATGCACTACCTTGGAATGCAACTATATTTGGAGATACAGCCTTTAAAGAGGTAGTTAAGGTAAAATGAGGTTACGAGGATGGGCCTGATTCCAATCTGACCTCATATTCCACAGCACCCACTCGGAACACCACATCTGTGTCCTGCCAAATGATGACTGTGCGAGCCCCTGCCCCCTCTCCTCTCCAACTCGGGTAGCCCTAGGCTTCACCCGTCTTCCAAACAGTCGTTCTCACTTTGCTGCAGCAGCGGCCTCTGGGAAAGGGCCCTTGGGTTTGGGCAGCTCAGCCTGTCAACCCAAGTCTGTCCTTCTGGCACACAGCTCCTCTTTCTTGGAGCCCCTTTGCTTGGCCTGGGTTGGGGGGACCCACCATCTCTTCTCCCTAGGTGCTCTCTGCTTTGATGAGTTTCCTTCAAAAACTCTCCTCAGGCTTCTCTAGCTCCGGATACAGGAGGGTGGATAAAGGAGCAGTCTAGCTGCCTGCCAGCAAGACACACAGGGAGGTGTCTGCACCTGCAGAGAGAATAGGGGTCTTGTCCTTAGCTGTTGTCCAAAACAACAGAAAATGCTCCACTCCACAGGCTGCTGTGCTTTTAGAGGAAACCAAAGTAAGACCTTGAGTCAGTCAGGGTCCTCTCAGGAAACAAAGGGTGAACTCAGCTGTTTGGGTTTTTTTTTTTTAATTCAGAGAATTTAATGAAGGGACTATTTACTTGGGTGTGAACATTAAGAAAACCAACATGGGGCATTGAGGCATCCTGGGGCTAGCAAGGATGACAGCCCTCATCATCCCAGCCTAAGGGGCAAGGGGAGGAAACAGGGTTACTGGAGACAGTGAGGGAGGTTATGGCAGGAGATGTCATCAGGAGGTGGGGGGGAGGGGCGGGAGGGACAGCGGGCACAGCTACGGCCAAAACTGCAGTGCTCATCAGGACAGGAGCTGGGAGAAATACTTCAACCTCTCTCTTCTCCCATCTCCTGCTGGTGTCTCCCATTAGTCAAACCCAGCTGGAAGCCAGGGGCCATGGAAACCCAGCGATGTCCTCCCTACAGGGCAGCCCCCACACCAGGCACAGAGGAGGATGTGGGTGGATCAGGGAACGCAGAGAACAACCAGCACAGGCCTAACCCAGGGGCGGAAGCCATACCAACTTGAGCAAATGTCTTACCAAAATGACATCGAGGAAGCACAGGGGGTCATCTGTTTTTACTGAGCCATCTGGGTTTGACAATATTACAGCATACATTACAATGACTATTACAGAGGGTATTTAGTGGAGACTTTTTTGTACACTTGCAGCCACTTCTCCTCCTAGTCTCACACTCGTTTTCTGTATTATAGTCAGGGATGCCTCTCTCCCTGAATCAGTCCAGTTTCCATCAAGTAACACTCAGGTTAGGACAATTTGAGTAGCATTTAATAAAAGGACTATTTGCTGAGGTGTAAGCAGGAGATGGCCCCCTATCTCTGGGCTGGTAACACCAGGGCTGTCAACACCCCTAGACCTGAAGCGGGCAGAGGAGGAAGGAGTCACCCACAGTGAGTCAGGAGGCTGTATGGAGATGGCTACCTGGCAGGACTTGAGACTGTTGGCTGAGAAACAAAACCAGTGTGTGGGGACTCTACAAGGAGGGGAATGAATATTCCTACTTCATTCTCCTTCCCGCTGAATCCTGATAAGCTCCTCATTGGCTGGACCCAATCAGAAACCAGAGGGTGAGGCTGGCCTTCCGGGGCCCAGGGCAGTAGGGAGAAAGGTGGGGAGGCAAATGAAAGGTGTCCAACTGCACTCCCCTTGCCAAGGGATGCATAAAATTACCCAAGCAAGGCCAATGGGATGGACCCTCCTCACTCCTGGAATCTGGCAGACAGACAAAGCCATAGCCATGTGCATTGAGCAGCATCAACCCAACATTGTCCCACCACAGGACCCCCACTGAGGGCCTGCTTTCCAGAGCCCAGGGCAGCCTCAGCTCCCACCCACCCCTAGTCTAGACTCCCAGCAAAGCCTCCCAACAAAGTCAGAGTTAGTGTCTGTTGTTGGCAATGACAGAATCTAGACACAAACATCTTTATGCATGTGAGTTGGGGGTCTCTTTCAAAAACATCAGCAGGCAGAGCAAACTGATCACTGGGAGGGCTGAGAACCAAGCTCAGGGCTTTGCAGCCTAAGCCTAAGCCAGTGTCACTCAGCACTGTGCTTGCCAAGCCACCACCAACCACCCAGAGAAACTAGGACCCAGACAGCACTGGGGTCACCATCGCCCCAGGAATGGATTCTTCCTGCTTCTGCTTCTCAAATCACTTTCTCCCAAAATGAAGCCCAGGACCGTGCATTTTATCAGCTAAACCAAGGCCATGTGCCTTCAATCAAACTGCAAGGAACCCTGGAAATGTGAACACCCAGCATTCTAGTTAGGAGAGGAACACCCCAAATGTGGGAAGAGGTTTCCCATGCTGGGCAGCCAACAAGTAATGTCCCCCAGCTGTATCTGTAGCCTCTTCAACATGTCAGAGTATTTCCTCCAGACAACACCTTAGAAGGATTACCGACTCTGGGCATGTTATTACCAAATTTCTTTACCACAAAAGTTAAACTAATTTCCAGCCACATCCAGTGAACACAGTGCCTGCTTTGCTGCACCCACACACATTATTGCATTTTTTAAGTAAAAACTAATTGGCAAAATGTAATTGATACCTCGTATCTTAATTCTCTCTTTTCTAGGGGGAGAAGGAGTTTCTATGTTTGCTCATTAGTGGTATTCTCCAAAAGTCTTCAATACTTGACTTTGGACCATTTTAGTATTTGTTTTGATAACTGATTTTTTTTCATTATTTTCCCTTTTATAGACTTGTGTTAAAATTAGCTGGCATTTGCTGAAAGAAGAGATCAGGATTAGATTCAGCTGTGTGTAACAGAAAAAAAAACAACAGACACTTAAAATACATAGAAGTTTCTTTCTCTCCTGCATAAAAAAGGCCTAGAGGAGGGCAGTCCAGGGCTGTTTTTGTACCGACTCCACAAAGTCGTGAGAGGCTTTGCCAGTTCCTCCTCTGCCATTCCCTGATGAGGCCTCATCTTCCTCATCCCCACTGTCCAAGGTGGCAGCTAGAGCTCCAGCCATCACATCCAGCAGGACAGAGGGCAGGATGAAGAGGGACAAGCCACCTACCTTTACAACATACCTGTTGGCATCTTGTTGGCCAAAATTCAGATGTGTGACCTCACCTAGCTACAAGGGAGGCTGGACAATGAGCCCAGATAAAAATCAGGATCTTACTACTGAGGACTAAGGGAAGAACGAGTATTGAGAGCCAGCCAACTGTCTCTTCCACAGGCAAGCATACAAGCTGTGTTGAAGACAACCCATTCATATGAGAATCATGATGTTTATGATGACGATGACGATAGCTAATATTTACTAAATAGCTGCCATTTGTAGGCACTGTTTTAGGAACTTGATATGTATTACTTAATCCTTACCACACCCCTATGAAGTAGATACTATGACTATCCTCATTTTACAGAGGAGGAAACCAAGGCACAGAGAGACTAGGTAATTTTTGCAAGGTCACCCAGCTAACAGGCAACAGAATCTAGATTTGAACTGAGGTAGCCTGACACAAGACACAACTATGAATAGAGGCAATCACAGAACCAAGTCAGGGAGGCCAACTGGGGCTTTGCCAAGGGGCTTATCTATTGACTCAGGAGTGGAGAGATGGGACCTAAGCCAGAGCTGCCTCATCACTTTGCCTTTGAATATTTCATCTGTTCATCCATTCAACACAAATGTCCTTTTGTAATACACCTTACATTTGCAATTCACTGTCCAAAACCTGTGCTTGCCACTCCTTGTGGGGCAGATACTGTATCCTCAGCAGCCAGCATAGCCTATAGCACACAGCGCTCAAAAGATATCTGTGAGCCAGGTGTGCTGGCCCTGTAGTCCCAGCTTCTTGGGAGACTAAGGTGGGAAGAACATTTGAGGCCAGTTCAAGACCAGCCTGGGCAACATAGGGAGACCCCCCCCATCTCTACAAAAAAATTAAAAAATTAGCTGGGTGTGGTGGCACACCTGTAGTCCTAGCTCCTTAGGAGGCTGAGGTGGGAGGATCACTTGAGCCCAGGAGCTTGAGGCTGCAGTGAGCTATGATTGCACTTGGGCAACAGGGCAAGGCCCTGACTCTAGTATCTTATCTATATATAGATATAAATACGTAAGTGACTGTGCATGTACATATCAAGCCTACTCTGTGCCAGGCTCTGTGATGGGCACTGAGCATGCAGAAATGAGACACACACCCTGCTCACTGGCCCTTATGGCCAACAAAAGGAGGCAGATGAGCGGGCACCACAAGGAGCAGCACAAAAGAGTGGGGACCTCCATGGTGAAAAGTCTGGAGTGGCTGCACTGTAGTTTATGAGTCACAGCAATAAGGGACAAGGTCCTCAAGGTAGGCCAGAGACAGACTTGAAATTCCTTTCATGTCCAAGGTGAGAAACCTAGCCTCAGCCCTGAGGCAATAGGGAGCCATGAGGCTTTAAGCAGGGTGACATAATCTGAGAGGCCATCTAGAACAACTCTCCTGGTAGTGTGCCAAGGATAGGAGGAGAGAGCCCAGAAGTAGGGAGATTCAGATGAATCTGGGAGGTGTGGGAGCCAAAGTGAAGGGTTTGGAAGAAGAAAGGAGGGGTGGAGTGAGGAGAAACAAAAGAGGTCCCATACCTATTGCATGTGAGCCAGATGGGCCAGGGAACTGTGGGAGGGGAAAAGAGTGGGCCTGAGGTGGCCAGAGTGAGGGGGGCTGGGGAGGGGGACTGGAGAGGGGCCCTGGCCTGAGCTGGGGCAGACAGAGCAGTTGGACGCCAGCAGCCTTGTGCTCATGGCTCAGAAATGTCCCAGGCCTGCCAAGAAACTGCTGCCTCTGTCCCCCCACCAGCCCCAGCCAGGCTCCCACATCAGGAGCTCTGAAACTGTCCCCTCAGCCTTCTGCTCCCCCAGAGCAGGCCTCCCGTCCCCAGAAGCCAGGCATATGACACCCCCACTCTCCCTCAGCCCTCCCCCTCAATGGCTGATGAAACACAGGCCAGGGAAGGAGGGGAAAGAATAAACAGACATCTGCAGGGGGGCCCATCAGGAAGTAGGGGGCAGGCTGCGGCGGGCTGGGGCTGCCTGGGGGCGCCAGGGGGCCCACAGGTCTAGCAGGGTGGGTGGCAGATGGCGGATAGCGGATGGAGTGGGATCCAGGGAACAGTTGGAGCCAGCAGGGAGTTAACGTCTGCAGTACTTTGCCCGACAGGACTAATGAGACACAGGTGGTCCCCTGGCTCCAGCCCCACCTCCCAGCCCCCTGATAGTGTAAACTGATGCTGGTTGTCTGGGGTGGGGAGAGGGGGGTTCTGCAGCTACGGGAAGGGGGGCGGGGCTGGGGCGGCTGGCGGGGGCCCAGCGCATAACTCTGGGCGGTTGCAGTCTGGGGCCGCAGACACCCAGCCACTCTGAGCAGAACTGACAGCATGAAGGTACGGGGCCCAGGGTCGGGGGACTCATAGCATGGGGGAACTGAGCCCACTCCAGAGGCCCCTGGCCACAGAGGGCACTATGAAGGCACAAGGAGTTCTCTTGAAACTCGTAAGCTATGAGGGTACACAGCGTCCCAGAGAGTGGGGTTACTTGGCGGGCGGGGTGGGGGGGCAGGGAAGAGGGGCCAAATAGCAGGAGAGGGATTCAGGCAAGGGCAGTATGTGCATGCATGGTGGGGGCAAATGCAAAGAGAACAGGGGATCTCTGGAGCTGGGAAGGGGCTGTGCTGACCCTGTCTGCCCATCGCCAGGCACTCCTGGCCCTGCCGCTGCTGCTGCTTCTCTCCACGCCCCCGTGTGCCCCCCAGGTCTCCGGGATCCGAGGAGATGGTAAGCAGCCCCACACTCACAGACGCGGCCTGGCCCACAGGTTGTGCAAGAAGAGGCTGGACTGTCAGAACAGACTGTCAGGGCCGAGCCCCAGCTCTGCAGGACTCAGGTTCCTCCTTTACAAAATGGGGCAGATGGATGACATAAGCATTGCTCATCTCCCTTGAAGAAATCTTCCATGACTCCTTGTGTCAAAGTCCCCCAGCCCCAGGGACTGAGGCAAACCTTGGGGTGCTGAGGTGTCAGTGATGCCATAGTCCCACTCTCCTCACTGTCCCCATGTCCCTACCCCCAGCTCTGGAGAGGTTTTGCCTTCAGCAACCCCTGGACTGTGACGACATCTATGCCCAGGGCTACCAGTCAGACGGCGTGTACCTCATCTACCCCTCGGGCCCCAGTGTGCCTGTGCCCGTCTTCTGTGACATGACCACCGAGGGCGGGAAGTGGACGGTGAGTGGGAGGAGGGAACAGAGGCCAGAGCTGGTTCTAATCCCAGCCCTGTGACCCTGGGCTTCACATATGCGAACCTCAGTTTCTTCATCTTTAAAATGGGGATAATGATACCCACAGCACAGCTTCTGAGCAGCTGCCAACGCTTAATTCTAAGTGCCTGAGGTAGGTGTTTGTTTGTTTGTTTTGAGGCGGAGCCTCACTCTGTCATCCAGGCTTGAGTGCAGTGGCTCCATCTCAGCTCACTGCTGGAAACTCCACCTCCCAGGTTCAAAAGATTCTCCTGCCTCAGGCTCCCGAGTAGCTGGGATTACAGGCATGTGCCACCATGCCCAGCTAATTTTTTTATTTTTAGTAGAGATGAGGTTTCACCATGTTGGCCAAGCTGGCCTTGAACTCCTGACCTCAGGTGATCCGCCCGCCTCAGCCTCCCAAAGTGCTGAGATAACAGGCGTGAGCCACCGCGCCCAGCTGAGGTAGGTTAATGCACATAAGCCTCACAATAATCCTGGGAAGTAGTGAGGAACTAAAGCCCAGAGAGGTGAAGTAACTTGCCCAGATCCCACAGCTAGGCACTCGAACTCTAGAACGCCTCCCTCTTAGCCTCTTTCCTGCCTCTATACGAAACTGGGTATGAAGAGCCCAGGTGGGTGCTGGCAACTGCTCCACAGGGGGCCTGGTGCCAATGTGGACGTTGTTTTAGCAACCCCACTCCCACCACCCTCCCCACCCCCAACCCAGTCCTTTAACAAACTGGCCACAGCATCACAGGGTCCATGCTTGAGGTGGGCAGGGCAGGACCAGAACCTTGCCCATTGGACCCTTGATGATCCAGTCTCATCTTCTCTGCTCCAGGTTTTCCAGAAGAGATTCAATGGCTCAGTAAGTTTCTTCCGCGGCTGGAATGACTACAAGCTGGGCTTCGGCCGTGCTGATGGAGAGTACTGGCTGGGTAAGGCAGGGACCAGGTGGGCTGAGGGGCTGCCCCAGGGCCAGGTCCTTGTTGACCAGCTGCCCCTCCTCCCCAGGGCTGCAGAACATGCACCTCCTGACACTGAAGCAGAAGTATGAGCTGCGAGTGGACTTGGAGGACTTTGAGAACAACACGGCCTATGCCAAGTACGCTGACTTCTCCATCTCCCCGAACGCGGTCAGCGCAGAGGAGGATGGCTACACCCTCTTTGTGGCAGGCTTTGAGGATGGCGGGGCAGGTATAACCCGCTGTTAGCTTTGGGAGGGGCTGTGAGGGGAAAGAAGGCAGGGCTGGCCCTGCCCAGTCAGCCCCAACCTCCTTCAGGCCCCTCCTTCAACCCTTCTGGATCTGGAAGGGCCACAGCTGGCTCCAAACAAGCTCAAACCAGCTTGGGCCTCAGCCCTGGGGAGCAGCCATCCTGGCCCTGCTCCAGGCAACTCTGTGGTGGAGCAGCTGTTTCTCTTCATTGCAGAAGCACATCAACCCAACATCTGGCTCAGGGAGGGTGCCCCCATCCCGCCAGGCTGCCACGTGATATCTCTCACAGTCGTCATTGTCACCCTCTCCCGGCCAGCTCGGGGCTCAGTTCCCTGCCTCAGCAGCCCCAACCCTTCTCTCCTCTGCCAGGTGACTCCCTGTCCTACCACAGTGGCCAGAAGTTCTCTACCTTCGACCGGGACCAGGACCTCTTTGTGCAGAACTGCGCAGCTCTCTCCTCAGGAGCCTTCTGGTTCCGCAGCTGCCACTTTGCCAACCTCAATGGCTTCTACCTAGGTGGCTCCCACCTCTCTTATGCCAATGGCATCAACTGGGCCCAGTGGAAGGGCTTCTACTACTCCCTCAAACGCACTGAGATGAAAATCCGCCGGGCCTGAAGGGCTGGCCCCCTCAGGCACCTTTCCTCCCCTGGACACCCATGGTCTCCATGAGTGCTCCCTCTGCTGCCCCTGATGCATGCTTCTGCTGATTCCCGAGCACCAACTCCTTACAAGGGGGCCTTGTGGCTCTCAGCCATGCCACATCCCTGTCACACACCCAGGGCATCCATTCCTAAGCCAGACCCGGCTCCCCTACACCTGAAGTTACACTGCCAGCAGTTCCCCAGGCCTCTTCCGAGAGGCACATGGTTCTAGCCTGGACCTGGCTGGGCTCCATGAGAATGAGTTGCCTCCAACCTGTCCCAACAGCTGACAGCCAGGAGCCACTCTCCCAGCTGCAGGCCTTTGTGGTCCATCTTGTCCTGCTTCCTCACTGTGGACCCCTGTCTGGGCCACCCTAGTGTGCTAAGCTGAGCAGTGCAGTGTGAACAGGGCCCATGGTGTATTCTAGGCCACAGCCCAGCACTCCTCTGGGCTGCTCTCAAACCATGTCCCATCTTCAGCATCCCTCCCACCAACTTACTCCCCTGTGGTGAGTACCGTGGAACCCCAGCCCACCTCACTATCATACTCAGCTTCCCCTGATGGCCCATCCCAGCCCCTGAAGCTCTATGCCAAGAACACAGCTACCGCACACCACCCTGAAACAGCCACAGCCAAGGTAGGCATGCATATGAGGTCTTCCCCATACCCTCTGGGTGTTGAGAGGTTTAGCCACATGAGGGAGCAGAGGACAATCTCTGCAGGGCTGGGAGTGGGTAGGGACTGAAGGTCTCAATAAACCTTCAGAACCTGAATGAACTGGCTTCATACACACAAACATATTTGTTTATCCCCCAAATGTAGGCACCTGGCTCCTCCTTGCTCCCCTGCTGATGGTGTCCTACCCCGAACTCCAAAAATTACACCTGGAGTCAGGTGCAGAAGGGAACCTTGTATTTCACAGGCCTCATTTTGATGGCAAAAAGACAGTGTAATAATAACATAATAATAATAAAAATATAATACTGAAAAGGATTGTTCAGGGGGAGTTGGGGTCTCCCGATCCTGCCATGGCTCGGTGGTGGCTCAGGTGGCTGCTTAAGGCTGAAAGGTGGGTCTGAGATGAACCTGCAGAATAATCCAAGCCGAGCCTCACCTGCTGGGTCCAGGGCTAAAGCCTTTGAGAATGCTCCCATGGATCCTGGAACTAGGTCTACTGTGGCAGCAAGGCACAGGCTGGGGGCCTCAGGGGTCCTGGAGGTCAGGCAGGTCAGCCAGCAGCATTGGGGAGTCCATCTGGATCTCACGCTGCAGGGACTCAATATCGGCAGGGTTCATGCCATGGCCTTCGAGCCAGTCAGCAAGCAGGGAGGCTGAGAGAGAGGCTGAATCTGCCTGGCTGCAGGGGAAGGAAAGGGAGGGGTGCTATTAGCCTAGGCTGGACCCTCACCCATCCCACAGGTGCATGTCTCCTGCACCAGGAACCTCTCCCCACAGTCCCAGTCTAGGAGCTCAGTCCAGCCACCTTACCCATCCTGTGGCCCATCAGCCACGCCCATGTCGAAAGACTGGTTTAAGAATTCCTCCAGGTCAAAGCCAACACCGTAGCCAGCCCCACTGCCCTTTGGTGTGCCTGAGAACACAGGGGGCAGGGGGTCCTCCACCTGCAGGGAATGACAGGTTACAATGCAGACAGACTGAGGTCTGTAGGCCACCCTGTCCCAATGCTGCTGACTACTCCGCCTGGATATCTGGGAGTGCTAACACCAGTCTCGGCAGTCAGTGAGTGCTGGCTGGCCCCATCTCTGGGCTAGGCACTTTGCAGGCCATATTTAACTTGTCTCCTAACAACCTCTTCATTGCCATTATGCTCCTTCTGTGAGCAAGAGGACACGTTCAGAGATAAAGCCCCATCTGCTGCTCAGTTTTTGTGGAACACTGACCGCTTCCTGAACCCATTTTCCTTTGGCCCAGACCCAGGTGTCCCCATGGCCTGGGCCTCCCTCTCACCTGTGACTTAGATAGCTGCTGGGTCACAAGGTTGACATCAGGTGACTCTGACATGGAAGACTGAGGGGCTCCCCCGGCGTCTGGGGGCGGCAGGCCAGGTGGGAAGTAAGGCAAAACTCCTGGGGTGCTGGAGCCAGGCAGCCCAGGGGGTGGCACAAGTGACTGGGCAGCCAGGAGGCTGGTGGAGGTGGCAATCTGGGGTGGCGCGGGGACAGGGATGGGCCCAGGAGGGCCAGTGGGGTGGGGTGCAGGGCCAGGGGGTGGGCAGGCAGGCTGGGGTACAGGGCCAGAGGTAGAGCCCGCAGATTGTGGTTGCGGGCCAGTGGGCTGGGCTACAGGGCCAGGAGGAGGACTGGTAGGTTGGACTGGGGTTGGGGTTGGCGTTGGCGCTGGGGCAGGGGCCGGCACAGAGGTGAGGGCTGGGGCTGCGGGCCGGGCCATTCGAGTCCAGCGTTCCAACAGGCTTCTGTCATTGTCACTGAGCACTAGTCCAGCCAAGGGGTCAGTGGAGGGGCCCCCAGAGGCCCCAGCCCCCCGTTCCTTTCGCTCCCGCTCCTGCCGCCGTTTCTCCCGCTCCTTGGCTCGTTCTTGCCGCCTCCGCCGCTTCTCCTCCCGCTCCCGCTGGCGCTCCTGGGCTGTCACCGGCTTCCGAGGCTCAGGAGCCTCCAGGGGTGCGCTGGGGCCATCTGCGGGGAAGTTGGGCAGGGGAGAAGGTAAAAGCCTGAAGCCTTGTCCAAGTCCAAGTCTCCCCTCTGCCCACCCGACCTGCCCACAAGGCACCTCTGAGCCGGCTCCTCAAAGACTTGAGCAGGGCAGCTTTAAGGGCAGCCTTAGTATTGTCTGAGATGGCACCATCTTTCTTTGGTGGGGCAGGCTCACTGACTGGTGGAGGTGGCTGCAGGGTCAGATCAATGGTGTCAGGTGCAGGGCCGGGGCATGGTGGCGGGGCTGGTGGTGGAGACTCCATGGCACAGTCCCCACTGGGAGCCCAGGGACTGGGCATTTCAACATCTGGACAGCCAGGCTCACTAGCCACAGGCTGTAGAGAAGGCTGGAAGCGGATCTGTTGGCGGATGCCCTCACGCCTTGCATGGAAGTCCTCAATTTCAGCCACAATGGCCTCCTTAATGCGCTCCCGAGTGAGGGCTTCGCGGTCAAAGGCAAAGTCAAAGGGCGGGGCACAGTCAGGCTCATCATCAGGATCATGGTACTTGGCCAGGAAAGGGTGGCGAAGGGCAGCAGCTGCTGAGATGCGAGCGCTGGGCTCAAAACGCAGCATGCGACCCAGCAGTGATAGGGCCTGGCGGTCGGCACCTGGGTACACTGTCTCCCAGGGCACAGGCTGGCGTGGTGGCAAGCTCTGGATATAGGCCCGCACCCTCTCAGCCCCCACAGCCTGAATCACGGCTGGTGATGGGGTACCCAGCACCATCATGATGAGCTGTAGCTGGTGTACATAGTTTTTGCCTGGGAAGAGCTGGCGCCGGGCCAGCATCTCACCAAAGATGCAGCCCACAGACCAGAGGTCAATAGCCTGTGTATACTCATGCAAAGAGAGCATGAGCTCGGGCGCACGGTACCAGCGCGTGGCCACATACTCAGTCATGAAGTACTGATGTTCAGCGGGCGAGGTGCACAGGCCACGAGCCATACCAAAGTCACCAATCTTGAGCTCACAGTTCTCATTCACCAATAGGTTGGAGGGCTTCAGGTCACGGTGGATGACCTGAGCCGAGTGCATGTACTTCAGGCCCCGCAGCAGTTGGTACAGGAAGTAGCGCACGTGTTCCAGTGTGAGGGGCTGTGAGGAGTGGATGATCTGGTGCAGGTCGCTTTCCATCAGGTCCAGGACCACGTAGCTGGAAGGGGAAGGAAGGAGAGAAGCATGGGTTGGCCTGATCACACTCCAGGGACAAGCCCCATCCTCACCACACCCTTCCGATTCCAGACAGGTAACAGCCTTACCCTGGGACCCCATAGGGGCTGACGGCATGGTATGGAAGAAGAGCATCACGTTTTAGATTCTCTACGACTTTTCCATGAACTTGGTTAAATCACTTTTGTCTCCAGACCTAGTTTCCCCATCAGATAAAAGATGGGGTTGGACTACACCAGGGCTGGCCAATAGGTTTCCTTTTGGGGCTATCTCCATTGTTTGGTAGTGGCAGCTTGAAGAACTATGATGAAAATTGACCAGGCTTGTCCACTGTCTGTAGGAAAGTGTTCTGTGATTGATTAGTGAAGTCTGCTATGGGAATAGGAGGGTGTGGTCATAGTAGGAATGTCCTACATTTGACATCCTATATACTAAGATTCTATAAAACTGTAAAATCATCTGTACACTTCTTGAGGAATAACAGTTGTCCCTGGCAAAACTCTAAAGAACTGGTCCTAGAACTGCGGGAATTTTCCCAGCCTGCTTCAGATTAGATTCAGCTGCCTTTCCAGAACTTCGGCAACATGGTTGCAGCCTTCAGAAAAGTCCCAAGTCTGGCTCCCTCTCCCATCCCGCTTCTTACACAGATTTGAATTCGCCATAGGGCACGGTGGGCCTCAGGATGTCCTTGATGGCGATGATGTTGTCGTGTTTAAAGTGCTTGAGGATCTTCAGCTCCCTGAGGGTCCGCTTGGCATTGGTCACCACATCGAAAGCATTAGGGATCTTCTTGATGGCCACCTGCTGGCCTGAGGAGCAGGGAAAAGGGACATACCAGAGGATACCTTGGAGAAACTGCAGAGTCGACTCAGCCCCTATCAACACCTCCCTTCTAGGATGCAAATGACAACAGCTACCAAGTATTGGGTACCTACTATGTGCCAAGCCCTGTGCTAAGCATGTTACCTACATTATTAAATGTTACCTTCACAACTCCCCTGCGGGGCAGGTCCCAATAGGTCAACGTTAAAGAGAAGGAAATATGGCTTAGTAACTTGTTGGAGGTTGCACGGATGCCCAGTGGTGTAGCTCAGCCTCTTATGCCTACACCCTCTCCATCTCAGACCTCACCCATCCCACCACCAGTTCCTTATGCCAGTGTCTGGCTCCAGAACACATTTCTCTCTTAGACACGAAGGACTGGCTCTCCATTCTGGTCTAACTGGGACTATCATTTTCCTAAGGAGGAAGTAGGCAGGCAGGATGGCAAAACCACCAGGCCGGAGTTTCAGAGAACCGAGCCTCCCCGGAGCCTGGCAGGCAGAAGGCCCTGGTCAGTGTGTGTTGACTGGAGCCAGAACTCGCACCCCGCTTTCCTTCCCGGCTGTCTGGGACAGGCCGGTTTCCCACTCCCTGCGACGCTGCCACATCTGGGAGGCGACGGCTCAGGAAGCTCACCGGTGAGGCGGCGGCGGGCGGAGGACACCACTCCATAGGCCCCGTTGCCTATGGTCTCGATGATCTCGTACTCGTCGCCCACGTCAAAGGTCACATCGAAGGAGCGGGCTTTAAGCAGGGCCAGGTTCTTGGCCGCTACAGAGGCAGCGGTGTGGGCGGGTTCGGCCTTCACGGGCCCGGGGGGCTCCGCAGAGCCGTCCTCGCCGTCTTCCTCCTTCAGAGGCTCGGCCATGGTGTCTGTGTGGAGACTCGGGTGAGGAGAGGACCACCTACCGTGGGCCTCAGTGTCCCCTCTGCGGGCTGGGGAGCAGGACCAGGGAACTTCCCAGTTTCCTAAACCGACAAGGGCAGAAGCGCGCGGCTGGTTCGTGGCAGACTAGCTACCCCAGGGGTCCGGGCCCAGAGCCGGGGGCCCGCCAGGGTCGGGGGAGGGGTAGGCGAGGCGCGGGCCAGGAAGAAAGGGAGGGGCGGGGCACCTGGGTTTCCTCAGGGCCGCACTCACCCCCGCGCCTCCTCAAGGCTTTCAGAGGTCCCGAGGCTCGCCGGCCTCCCGTCCCCAGCGCGGGGGTCTCCGAGGGTGGCTCACTTACTTGTTCAAAGGCCGCAGCCACCACCTCAGCGTCTTGAGCTGCCCTGTCCGTCCCCCTCCGCCCCGCCTCCCAAGGCCACGCTCCCTCCAGCTCCTGGCCAATCGCTGAGCTACTGCTGCGGAGGGTCCTGCCCCTTCTACCTACTGCGTCCAATCCTAGCCCACCGGCCGAGAAAGCCACGCCTGGCGCGCGCCGCTGTCCAGCTCGCCGGCGGGAGCCGCCCAAAGGGTGCCCGGCACTTCGCAGGGGTGTGCTCCCCGCCCTGCACCGCCTTCAAACGCATGCGCACTGGCAGTCGGGCGCCAAGTGAATGGAAGGCAACGCCCCTGCACGTAGCGCGCGCGTCCCCATGAAGCTCTCAACCTCATCCGGCCAATCACAGCTAGTCCCGTGAGCTCGGGGAACTGCCCGGCCTGAGATGCCCAGGTCTGGGACTGTTACCTTGGCTACTGGCTCCCGAAGTCCCCTTCCGCCCAGGGAATTGTGTCCGCCATTTGCTTGGTCCCAGGAGCTCTGGGAATGTGTCATCCCCGGTAGAGGGTGCCCGTCACGGCCAACCACAGAGATCCCGGTCCTCCGGGATTCTAGAGCGTCCGGCCGAACCCTCCACTGACTTCCGGTGGCTGAGCCTCTCCGCAGCTTCCGGCCAAGTTGGACTGCAGCTCGCGGTTTCCTGGCTTCTAGGTATCTTCCCTCCGCTCGTTTGTCTGTCCCGCGATTCCCGTGCTTTGGGCTGCAGCGGAGTTAACCGAGGCGGCCGCCCAACCTCTGCTCCTCTGCGGAGCCCGCGGGTGGGCGGAGCCCTCGCTGGAACCGAGCTGTCCCGACCCACCCCAAAATCCGATAGTTTATTCGTTCATTCATGTAGCAAATGTTTATGGAGCACCGCCCCTCTAAGGCTCAGTGCCGGGAGGCGAAGGTGGACATGGTGGATACTGTGAGCTGGAAGGAAAGGTTTTCTAAAGGGAGCTCGAGGTAGGGCCGAAAAGAAGTGAAGAATTTTGGTTTCACTCCTAGGCGGCTTCTAGAAAAAAGCAATATGTATGCATATTCGTACCTACCTCCCCTTTGGTGTACAAAAATGTAGCATATTATGCTCTTTTCCTGAAGATCATTCCATATCAATAACTGGAGGGGTCCCTCACTTTTAAACAACTTTTAATAACATACCATAAAACTCATCCTTTTATAGTGTACAATTCAGTGTTTTTTGGTATATTCACAGTTGAGCAGCCATCATCACTACCTAATTTTAGGTAGAGTGGTTTATGGAACATTTTCATCGCCCCTAAAAGAAACCTATGTGAACCAAGTATCTGAGACAAGTCTCAAGTCAATTTAGAAAGTTTATTTTGCCAATGTTAAGGACATGGTGGTGACAGCCTCAGGAGGTCCTACAACATGTGCCCAAGATGGTCGGGGCATAGTCAGCCTTTATACATTTCAGGAAGACATAATACATAAGTCAATACATGCAAGATTGACATTGATTTGATGTGCTTATTGGCCATTTGTCTCCTTTGGGGAAATGTCTGTTCAATGTCTATTCTGGAAGGGCGGGACAACTCAAAGGGGAGGGGCTTCCAAGTCACAGGTAGATTTAAACATATCCTGATTGGCAGTTGGTTACAAGAGTTATTATCTATAGAAAGGAATATCTGGGTTATGATAAGGGGTTGTGGAGACCTAGGGTTTTTTGGTTGTTTATTTTATTTTATTTTATTTTATTTTATTTTATTTTATTTTATTTTATTTGAAGAGTGAGTCTCACTCTGTTGCCCAGGCTGGAGTGCAGTGGTGCGATCTCGGCTCACTGCAACCTCCCCCTCCTGGTCTCCTGCCTCAGCCTCCCGAATAGCTGGGATCACAGGCATGAGCCATCAAGCCCGGCTTTTTTTTTTTTTTTTTTTTTTTTTTTGTATTTTAGTAGAGATGGGGTTTCACCCTGTTGGCCTGGCTGGTCTCGAACTCCTGACCTCAAGTCATCCACGCCCCCCTGCTCCCGGCCTCCCAAAGTGCTGGGATTACAGGCGTGAGCCACTGCACCTGGCCAGGAGACCTAGGTTTTATTATGCAGTTGAAGCCTCCCAGTAGCAGGCTATAGAGAGAATAGACAAATATTTCTTATCAGACTTAAGGTCAGTGTTGATGTTAATGTTGGAGGGGTATAATAAGGCATGTCCAACTCTCACCTCCCATCGTGGCCTGAACCAGTCTTTCAGGTTAAATTTTAGGGTGTGCTGGCCAAGGAGGGAGTCCATTCAGATGGTTGCAAAGGGCCTTCTAATTTTATTTTTGGTTTATACCCATTAACGGTCACTCCTCATTCCTCTTTCACCAGAGCCCTTGCAACCACTGAACTACTTTCTGTCTCTATGGACTTGCGTATTGTGGATGCTCTATACTAATGGAATCACACACTGTGTAGTCTTTTGTGTTTGGCTTATTTCACTTAGCATAAAGTTCATGTTGTCATATTAGCACTAATTTTTATGGCCAAATATATTGCATTGTTTAGATATACCATATTTTGTTTATCCATCAGTTTATGAACATTTGGGTTGTTTCAACTTTTTGGCTATTATGATAATGCTTCTGAGAACATTTGTTTACAAGTTTTTTTGTGGACATGTTTTCCTTTCTCTTGGGAGTGGGATTGCTGGGTCACATGGTAAACTATTAACTTCTTGAGAAAGTGCCAAGCTGTTTTCTCCAGCAGTTGCACCATTTTACAAATTCACCAGCAATATTTAAGAGTTCCGATTTCTCCACATCCTCACCAACACCTCTTTTCTTTTTCTGATACTGAGTCTCACTCTATCGCCCAGGCTGGAGTGCACTGGCACGATCTCGGCTCACTGCAACATCTGCACCCCAGGTTCAAGCAATTCTTCTCCCTCAGCTTCCCGAGTAGTTGGGATTACAGGTCCCCACCACCATGTCCAGCTAATTTTTATATTTTTATTAGAGATGGTCAGGCTGGTTTCGAACTCCTGACCTCAAGTGATCCACCTGCCTCAGCCTCCCAAAGTGCTGGGATTACAGGCATGAGCCACAGTACCCAGCCTTATTATTATTATTATTTTTTAATTATAGCCATCCTAGTGGGTGTGAAGTGATACGTCATTGTAGTTTTGATTTGCATTTCCCTAATGACTAAGGATGTTTTCACGGTTTATTGGCCATTTGTCTCCTTTGGGGAAATGTCTGTTCAATATCTATTCAAATCCTTTGACCTTTTTTTTTTTTCTTTTTGAGACAGGGTTTCACTCCAGCCCAGGCTAGAGTGCGGTGGTAGGATCTCAGCTCACTGCAGCCTCCGCCTCCCAAGCTCAAGTGATTCTCCTGCCTCAGCCTCTCAAGTAGCTAGGACTACAGGCACACATCATTGCACTCAGCTAATTTTTGTATTTTTAGCAGAGACAGGGTCTCACTGTGTTGGCCAGGCTAGTCTTGAACTCCTGAGCTCAAGTGATCGGCCTACGTCAGCCTCCCAAAGTGCTGGGATTACAGGCATGAGCCACCGCATCAGCCCTCTGTCCATTTTTAATTGGATTATTTGCCTTTTTATTGTTGAGCTGTCAGAGTTCTTTATATATTCTAAACAAAAGTCCCTTATCAGATGATTTACAGATACAGATATTACCTTATTAGATGATTTACAGATATTTACTTCCCATGATTTACAGATATTTACTTCCATTTCTCAGATCGTCTTTTCACTTTCTTGATAACATCCTCTGTTCCACAAAAGTTTTTAATTTTGATGAAGTCCAGTTATCTGTTTTGTCTTTTGTCACTTGTGCTATTGTCATATCTAAAAAAAAAGCACTCATTTTTACAGCTGCATGATATTCCTTTACGAATATAACCTATTTAACCAAGACCCCCTAGATAGACATTTAGATGAGTTCAGTTTTTTCACTATTGCAAACAATGCTGCAATAAATTTTCTTGAACACATCATTTTGCACACAGCAAGTGTATATGCAGGAAGAATACCAGAAGTGGGAGTGTCAAGTTAAAGAGTATTGTTCTTACAATTTTAGTAGCTAATGTCAAATTTCTATCCTTAGAGATTATACTGATTTAGACACCCACCAGTGGTATGAGAGAATGACTCACACGGTGCTTTTTAAAAGCTTGGAATTATTTGCCTGTCAAAAATGGGGAGATTTGCCATAAGAATCCTGATTTTTGCTTTCTTTTGGGAAATCAGATCAGCATTTCTACGTAGCCATCGAACTGTGACCCCGCCATTGAAAGAACATGTGCTCTCTAATTCACCACAGTCCCTGCCACTCCCTGACAGCCTCCCCAGCACAGGCCGAGGGTCAGATGCTACTTATCATTGTGCTTTCACAACTGTTTTCTACATCTTATTAAAAGCAGGAAAACAAAAGAGGCTGAGATGACATGTGTTTCAGGAAAAGAAAGACCAAGTATATCTTTTTGTGGGAACAAAGACAATCTCATGTGTTATATACAGATACTCCACTCACTTGGCTCACGTTTCCTGCATGGCCACAGTGGGCATTTGAGTTCAAGATTTCTGGTTTAGGTTACCAAAAGCCCCTGAACTAATGTAAATGTCTACCTAGGATTTTTGAGTAGACAAATGCCCTTCAGAGCTGCCTTCCTGAAAGGTATTTCTGGCAGACATCATGGAGGGTGTACTTGAAGGCAGAGCATGCCTTGATTAAAAGACAGACGTGGGATTGGGTGCGGTGACTCACGCCTGTAATCCCAGCACTCTAGGAGGCTGAGGCTGGGGGATCACCTGAGGTCAAGAGTTTGAGACCAGCCTGGCCAACATGATGAAACCCTGTCTCTACTAAAAATACAAAAATTAGGCTGGGCGCGGTGTCTCAATCCTGGCACTTTGGGAGTCCGCGGCAGGTGGATCACCTGAGGTCAGGGGTTTGAGACCAGCCTGACTAACATGGTGAAACCCTGTCTCTGCTAAAAATACAAAATACAAAAATTAGCTGGGCATGTTGGCAGGCGCCTATAATCCCAGCTGCTCGGGAGGCTGAGGCAGGAGAATTGCTTGAACTCGGGAGGTGGAGGTTGCAGTGAGCCAAGATGGTGCCATTGCACTCCAGCCTGGGTGACACAGTGAGACTCTGTCTCAAAAAAAAAAAAAGTAAAAAAAAGAGGTATATAAAGGGGTAAATGCAGGACATGTGATAGTGTCCATTTCTAGCAATGGAGATGTCACCAAAATGAGGAACCAAGAAGCAGAACAGGTTGGGGGGTGCTGATGTGCTTTGAGACTCTTTTAGTCATCTGTGATATGGTAATTATTATCTCTAATCCAAGCCTGGAGACCTTCCTGAGCCCCAGAACCTTACCCTCATTTCAGGGACATCCATCACGGCAGTGGGCATCCCTTTTTGTCAGTCCCAGCATGGGTTCCAGGGTAGCCTCCCATTGGACAGGCTCAGCGTGGGGGAGGGGAGGGGTATGCTGATTGGCCAGACCTGAATCACCTGTCCACCTCTGGAAGTGGCACAGGGAGTCCGGCTCAGCCAAACTCCTCAGACCACGTATGGATGAGGGCCATTTCCCCACAGGAAACCTGAGTTTTCAGGAAGGTGGATGGACGTGGGTCAGCAGAAATAATAGATGTGCCCAACTGTTCGCACCCCTCTGCCGCAAGAGTGGGTGTGGTTAAAAACTTTGAGGAGCGCAGGTGAATTGTCCGAGCAGGGTGCCGCTCTGCTGATGTTACTGCCTCCCTTCCAATCCCATGCTCTTAAGTTTTACGAAGGCACGCTTTGGTTTCAGAAACACCTGGGTTTGAATCCAGCTCCGTCACATGGAGGCCGGGGCATCCTTTCTTGTCTGTGCTGTGTGCTGGGGTCAGAGCCATGAGCACAAGTCCCAGCTTTCTCTGATGAGGGAAATCTGTGACAGGCACCGAGATGGGGGGCCGGCCCTGGGGAGCTAAGAATGGGCCCTTTGCCCAGCACAGGAAGTCGGGAAGGGGCCCTGGAAGTGACATGTAAGTCAGGACCTAATAGACGAGCATGCGGCAGCAGAGGGACAGTGGGGGCAAAGGACACAGAGCTGATGCGGGTGAGAGTGTGGCACATCTCAGGGCCACGAGAAGGCCAGAGGGAAGTGGCAGGAGGGAGGGGGTCACAGAGACATGGAGACGAGAAAGTTAGGCAGGGGTGAGACCATGCAGGGCCCCAAGGCCATGCAGGTAGCCAAGACTGACAGCCCTGACCTCGAGTTCCTCATCTGTGAAGTGGGGATGTTCAGATCCACCTGGTTGCATTGTTTTGTGGACTCGAGGAATTATATCTGCAGGGGCACCTGACACAAGGTCTGGCCCTTCACCCACACTGCAGCAGCCGCCCTTGTTAACGCTGTCCCCGCTCCGCCCAGTCCCTGCGGTGTTCCAGCAGCATCTTCAGTGTGTAAGCGTTTCTACCTTCATCTTTCTCTGAGGGGGACTCGGGTGATGCATCATTGTCCCTGGTTACAGGTGACAAAATGGGCTCAACTGTGGGAGGGGCCTCTGTTTGTAGGACTCCCTGCACCAGGTTTTCCTTCTTTACACACACACAGCTCTCTGATTAGTGCCAGCAGCCACAAGTAATCCGGTTCAGTCACCCAGTGTGTGGCTGGGGCATCCAGGAGGAAGCCCAAGTGGCCAAACCACAACCCACACCCATGTCTGTGGCAGCCTCTCCCACAGCCCACACTCTGAAGGGCAGGCAGTTGTCTTTCTGCAGGACCCCCACCCCTTCCCCTTCCCTGCCTTCCTTGGCAGGCCCTCCTGCTCCAGGGGCCATCTACCCGCTAGGACAGTCTTGGGAAGGATGGATTGTCCCTGTTTCATGAAGGGAGGCCAGTTTAACAGATGAATCTGCCAAGGACACTGTCTCTTCCCAACAGGGGTATTGCAGGCACCAATGGAACAGGTTGGGGAGGAGAGTTTGGGACCAAGAACACCCATGAACCCTTAGAAGCCACCATAGAGGTAAGGACTGAATTGTAATCCCATCAGCTGGTGACCTTAGGCAAGTCTCGGCCCTCTCTGAGCCTCAGTCTCACTTCTGCAAAATGGGAGTAGTGATCTGTTCCCCGGTCCTGCAGGAAGGAATCTCGCCAAGGCTGAAAGTGGGGTGTTGATCTAAATCATAACTGGTTCCAGGCGCCTATACACACACGTTGACACACAGACAACACTCTTAGGTACAGGTTTACATTCACAAAGATTTGCACAAACACACACAGAGATTTGCACAAGCACACACCCAGGGCACAGGTACACACAAGCTACTGGGACATACATGCTAGGTACACACACGGGACTTGCACACAAAAATCCACACACAGGACGCACAGCCACACACACACTCCTCCCTCCCTCCAGTGCTGCTGCCTGTTCGCTCTGCGTCAGCACACACAGTGGCCAGGGCCACCTGCCTTCTTCTCCCTGTATCAGGAAAATCGCAGGGGATGATTGCATCTAAAAGTGCCTTACATGCAGGGGCTCAGGGTGAGCAGGGTTCACCCAGAGAGGCGAAGGCACCAAAGCAGTGGAAAGCAGTGGGGCTTGATGGGCAGGCTGGGCTTTGTTGTGGTTGACCTGCCCATAGGACATGGAGGATCCAGGCCTTCAGAATTGACCCCTGCCTTGGCTCAGCTCAGTGTGGCATTTGCATGCGGCCCTCCCCGTGGGAAAGGGACTGCCCCTGAGGCCAGCCTATGAGCTGAGTGTGGTTTTGGTGGAGGAAAGGGCAGGAAGCCGCATCTGGGAAGTGGCTGCCCATGGCTTCCAGAGGCCTGGCTGGGTGGCTGACCTCACGGCCAGATGGCTCCAGACACCTCTCGGGGCCTCACCCCTGCTTCCACCATTCAGCACAGCCAGGCTGACCACAGACCTGGGTGGGGGAACCTGGTCACATCCTGTCACCACGCCTGGAGTTCCACCATTGGTGCTGCAGTCCTCTATGGTCCCAAGAGAGCCCAGCAGCTGAGCAAACACACTGAGGCTGACATCGCCCATCCCAGAACATTCCCCAAGGCCTGTGTTTGCCTCCCAGAAAGATCCCAAGTCTGTGAGGGACACACACAGCACATGTCATCGAGATGTCAACCACACAGCCACACGCCCCTTCTCCTGGCCCTCTGCTCTTCTCTGGAATGGTGGTATCTCCAGGCTCAGCCAGGGGCCATCTCCTCTGAGGGTTGTTCTCCCTGAGCTCCAGATCCAACACCCAGTTGTCCTACGACATCTCCCCCGTGTGCACCCTGAGAAGCCACTCTGCACAGTAGCCAGAGCAATCTTTCAAAAAACAACTCAAATCGTGTTCCTGCAACAGCTGCCCCATCTCATGGAATAAAATCCATCACCAAGGCTTGCAAGGCCCTGCCCATGAAGAATGAAAGGGCGATGGGAGGTGGCCGTCGGTGAAGTACCCAAGTTCTCTGAGTCCAGGGTGTGGTGACAACTCTAGCTTGTCTGGTTTCCTGTGAGATCATCATTTCACCCATCAGTGGTGTGCTCCCTGCCCAGTTTCCTCTCTCAATCTGCAGGAAAAGCCTGTAGGAAATGACGGAGGGGCGGGTGTGGTCCAGGGTGACTTGGGGTGTGGGCCATGTTTGGCGGGGCACTAGGTAGGAATCCTGCTCTGAACATCTCAGGAGGAGGGAATGGCCATGGGGTGGGCGGAATCACACAGCGAGTCTTCCAGAAGCAATCGTGAATCTCCATCTTCCACCTGCCACCTGGGTTGCTAGCTAAAATACAGGATACCCAGTGTTTTAAGTTGGAATTTCAGATAAACAACAAATAATTCTTTAGTTAGGTATGTCCCGAGTAGTGCATGCATCCTGTATTTTTCTTTGCTAAGTCTGGCAAACCTACCTGGATGACCACATCTGCCTGCTCCTCGGCCTCTCAGCTTTCCCCCCACACCCACACAGAGGGACCCTGTAAAAACCCAACTCACTTAACCTCCAGCCACTCAGGCGCTGGGTGATCTGGGCCTGGCGAGTTCTCTGACCTCATCTCCTACCCCCAGTGATGTGCTGGTAAAGTAGCACGTCCCGTTTTCTGAGAAAAAATAAAATATAAAATAGTAAAGCCCTGATTGTTGCATTGGCCAATTTCCTTAGTGTAAATATTCCTTCCGTGGCTGATCGCAAGCTACCAGCATGACACACCGAACGCGGCCCTGGGAAGAGGTGCACAGTTGTCTCAGTGCAGGCAGGCTCCAGACTGCCCCTCCCTCCATGCAGGGCCTTTGCACCGACTATGCTCTTTGCCTGGACGTACACACCCCCAGATCCGTGCATGACTCAACCCTTCACTTCTTTCTGGACTTTGCTCCAATGTCTTCTCCTGAGAGGAGAATTGCTTGTCTACCATAACCCTATACGCTTCCCTATCCCTCGCTAGCTCTTTGCCATGCTTCATGTTTTTTCTTCATAGCAGTTCTCAAGAACAAAAAAAGAATGTCATCCACTTCACTGTTTCTCAGAGGGGGAAAATGTAGCTCTTAGAAACAAGCATCCTAGAACCGTCAGAGGTGCTTATACTCAGTAACATCCAGTGTTAAGAAACAGAACTCATGGTTCTGGGTTTGTTTTTGTTTTGTAAGAGATGGGGTCTTGCTGTGGCGCCATCAGCTCACTGCATCCTCAAACCCTGGCTCAAGTGCTCCTCCCGCCTCAGCCTCCCAAGTAGCCAGGGTCACAGGCCCACACCACCATGCCTGGCTAATTTATTTATTGTATTTTTCTTAGAGACGGGGTCTCTATTTGCCCAGGCTGGTCTTGAACTTCTGGGCTCGAATGATCCTCCTGCCCCAGCCTCCCAAAGTGCTAGGATCATAGGCATGAGTCACTGTGCCCCGCCCCCAAATGAATGATTTTTAAAGACCTACGATTTTTTTCAGAATTTGGCCAGCAATTCAACTTGTCTGTCTGCAAGTAAACTGGACTCCAATCATGTCATCATCTTCACTGTGGAGACCATTGCTGACATTTACTGAGCCCTACTAGTAGGGATCTTATGTTCCTCATTTTCCCAGAAGCTGAGTCTCAGAGAGGTTAAGCAAACAGCCCAAGGTCACATAGCCAGTGAGGGGGAAGAGTTTGGATTGGAACTCAGCTCTGTCTGCTGACTAACTCCTAGAAGAAGCTACTCCAAGCACTTTCTCCCGTGAGCTTCAGGGGTAAAGGGGGCATGCCTAGCCCGAGTCACGGTTTAGAAAGGCCAGGGATTCCCGCAGCCCTTCAAATGACTTAACAGGAGAGTGAGATAGTCCAGGCAATGCCCTCTTCTCATTAATGAAGATTTTGAGGCCCAGAATACGGCAGTGACTGGCCTGGGCTCACACTGCAAGTTGAGGAAAGGCTGATAATGGAAACTGAGAGCCCTCTATCCCACCTCGGGCTCTGCCTCAGACCCAGACCGGTTTATTCTGTTATGCTGCAGGAGGCTGGATCCGAGTTGTCTCTCCCCATGTCAGACTCTAGGCCCTCCCTGTGGCTGGAACCCGAGGGCCCAGCCCTACCCACAAGGCCTCAGGGCCCCCCAGAGTGCTCCCCAAAGACCTCCACTCATGCATTCACTCAACAAGCATTTAGTAAATGATCCCAGTGCACCCACCCTCCACTGCATATGCCGGGACTTTGAGTCTGGCTGGGGAGACCAAGTCAGACCACTAGTGTGGAAGGGCTGTGACCAAGGGGCTGAGGAAGCCCAGGGAGAGCCCCTAGACCAAGTTGGGGATCAGAAAAAAGACATCCCAGAGGAAGGGGCATTTATCGGGCTCTTGAAGTTCAACAGGAAGCTTCCAGGCAGAAATGGCAGGAAGGACTTTCTAGAACAAAGGAACAACATTTGCAAAGACAAGGTGATATACAGAATGCCCCTGAATTATACACATAAAAAATGGCTGATTGGCCGGGTGCAGTGGCTCATGCCTGTAATCCCAGCACTTCGGGAGGCCAAGGCAGGTGGATCACTTGAGGTCAGGACTTTGAGCCCAGCCTGGCCAACATGGGGAAACCGTGTCTCTACCAAAAATACAAAAATTAGCTGGGCATGGTGGCAGGCACCAATAATCCCAGCTACTCGGGAGGCTGAGGCAGGAGAATCGCTTGAACCCAGGAGGCAGAGGTTGCAGTGAGCCGAGATGGCGCCACTGCACTCCAGCCTGGGCAACAAGAGCGAAACTCTGTCTCAAAAAAAAAAAAAAAAAAAAGATTGATTTTAGGTTATGTGAACTTCCTCTCAAAAAATAAACACACAACATTGTTGAGAACGTCATGTGCAGGTGCAGAGGCCAAAGCGGCTCCATCTCAGAGGCAAATCTGCCATGCTGGCTTCTGATTGACCCCAGTTCCAGAAAGGCCTCTAAGATTTCTACTTTATCTACCGTCACTGGCAATGCTGATCAATTGTCCTACACACCCCTTCTGAAGCATGTATGCCCTTTCCCTATGCTATACATGCCCTGGCTCTAGAGGTAACAGTGCAGAGACCTACATGTCTCGTGACCGCCCTAGACATGGCTTCTGTTTATGTGCCTCTATTAAATGCTTCTTTCTGAGAAACCAGATTTGTCTGCCTCTCTCTTTGGCCTCTCAGCCCCTGTAGCTTCTGGTTTGCATGGACCTGCCCACCTAGAACCGCAGGCATACAGTACTTCAAGCCTGAGGGGAAGGGTGAGGTGAGGCCCAAGGAATCGTCAGGGACAGGCCACAAAGGGTATTGACTTTGCACCATTTGTGAAATTCAGCCGAGTGCCTGCACCAGGCATTTCAAGCAACCGGTGTTCCAAGTGTGGCCCCTCCGCTGAAGAGCCAAGAGGCAAAGACAGAAGGAAAGACCTATAAGGCCTTTGAGAGAAATGATTTGGGGACTTGGAGTCACAGGGACCCTGATTTGAATCCCAACTCTGCTTCCAACTCACTGTGATCTTGGGAAGTCGGTTTGTCTCTGAGCCTCGACTTCCCCATCTGTAAAAGGGGGCTAGGAGCACTGGTCTGGGGGGTCACTGTGAGGAGCCCAGAATCACAGGGGCTCAGGACTTCGTGGGGGTGTAAAGAGAGGGCACATGGGATTATTATTGTTACTGTTGGTCTCAGCCAGCTGCCCTCTCTGCCTCTTACCTGAGACGGGGCAGAGCAGGACTCTAAGAAGTCCCCTGCCCCAGGACCCAGGACAAGCTCCTGGGAGGAGGATCTGGAGACCCCAGCGCCAAGTCTGTATGCAGGATGCCTGCCCCTAGTGTGCACCCCAGGGCTCCCCACCCCTTGAAGGTGCTGAGGGTGGACCCCGATGACCAGGGCAGAGCAGATGGAGGGCTGTCCTCAAGGAGGCCCAGCTTCCTTAGAGATGAGTGAGCTCCCTGTCTAAAGAGAAAAGCAAGCAGAGCCGGACACCCACTTATAATGAGCTTCTGGGTGGGAAGTGGGGAGCAGACTGTGGGGCCAAGGGGAGAGGCGTTCAAGGAAGACTTCACAAGAGTGGGCTCTGAAGGCTACATAGGAGTTCTCTGGGCGGATAGGTAGGAGATGATGAGCTAGGTAGAAGGAACAGCATGTGCAAACCAGGAGGCATGAAAAAGCAGGAGCACCCCAGGAATGACTTCAGCAACAAGAATAGCTGCAATGTATACACCTACTATGTGCCCATAAACTTTTTAATTAAAAAAAAAAAAAGAATAGCTACAAATGTATGGAACTTTGACATATATTATCACATTTAATCCTCACAACAACCCCCTGGGTGTGATGAGGAAACCGAGGCTCCGAGAGGTTAAAGGACTTTCCCTGAGTCACATAGGATTCCACTGCAGGCAGTCTGATTTTGAGCTGGAGGGGTGAGGGGTGGAAGCTGGGCTGCAGAGATCGCAGGGCTGGATGGAAAGAGATGCATGGTAGACCTGCAAGGCCCTGGGACCCGGAGCTGAGCTCTGAGGCTTCAGTCTCCTGAGGTGCAGGGTCCAGGCTGGCTGAGGCCTCCAGCAAGAAGGGCCCAGACAAATGGCTTGGCCAGGCCAGCATCTTCCTGGACACCTGGTGCCGCTGTGAGGGGGCCCTCATCTCCCAAGAGTGGGTGCTCACAGGCGCCAACTGCTTTGACAGGTGGGTGCACAGCCAGGAGGGGTGGTGGAGAGGGGCTCCAGGAGGGTGGCCCCCAGCCTCTCCAGCTCTCCACCTCCCCTTCACCTCCTCTCTCCACAGTTGGCCTTGGTCCCACTTCAGTGTGACCTTGGGTCCAGATCGACTGCAGATGGACTCTTGTGAGATCAGGTTACCATGGGGGAGCTGCTCTTGTCCTCAGCAGGGCCCGAGGGCTCTGGGTTTGGTAGCCTGGTCCTGGCACAACTGGCAAGGGGCAAGGCCTCCGTCGCTCACCAGCGCTGTGCAGGCCGTCCCCCTGGCCACTCAATCCCACTGTTCCCTCTTCCTGAGACAGCTCTGCTGGGGCCAGGGGTTTGAACCCGATTTCAGTAAGGATGGGAGCAGAAGCCTGGGATGGTTGAGAGACTGGGGGAGGCAGATGGCCAGGGTGGAGCTTGGGACCCTGCAGGGGCTCTGGCCAGCTGCCCGGCAGCACCATGGCCATAGGCATGCAGGGAAGAGGGCTGGCGCTGACACCTGCTCTGCTCAAGCCAGCTTCCAGCCTCACCCCTGCCCAATGGCTGACAGCCCCGCCTGCCCAATGTGCTGGAAGCTTCCCTGAGGGGACTGCGTGGGAGTGTACCAGAGGACAGAGCTGTACTAAGAGTGAGGTGGGAGCGAGGAATGTCTAGGAGCCCAGGAAGGCATCTGGGGGTGGAGAGACTTGGCACAGGCACAGGCAGGGAAGCTCAGCAATATATGTTAACAACCAGCATGGCTGGACTGGTGCAGATCGGCTGGATGTCAGCTGGGCTGAGGGTCTGCCCCACCCCATTGCAGATCCCTACATCCCACCCCAAGAGCTGCAGAGTGTCCTGCTGAGATCGCTGTGTGTCAGCATCTGCAGAAACTACCTTCTCCTCCAACCTGACTGTCCTGACCTGAAGGACAGCCTGCCCAAGGACTTCTAGTACACCAGGCTCTCCACTGGGCCCTTGAACTGGTGGTAAGGATTCCAGCAGGCCCTATGCAAGCCCCTATGCAAGCCCCTGAGACCCCTCTCCTAAAGTCGCTTCTAATGCCACTAGACTTGTTAAAGTTAGGCCTGGTCACCCTCCCATCCTATCCTGGAGTCTTCCATTCCCCAACACCCAGGGGTCGGGCTTATTTGTACCCCTGAAGGCCACCCTAGAACTTCCCACCCCTTGGGGAGACTCCCCCATTATGTCCTATTTGAATGTGGGGCCACCTTTGGTATAGCCAGGTCTTAAACTACTGGGAGCCCCCAGTTATTCGATAACTACAAGCATTTTGCTGAAAACTAACTTGTGTGCAACACCGAGCCTCAAAGGCCAAAGGGAGGAAATAATTGGGTGAGACTGATAGAATGTGTGGGAGAAAGCACTTTAACTGGAAAGAGATGGACAGAGCGGGGGAAGAAGGGAGTATGACCCCCTCTCCAGGAGGGGAAATGGGCCCTGTCTTGGGCTCTGGGTGCAGCACTTGGGCCACCAGCCCACCCATCCCCTCCCCCAGCTGCTCTTGTCAGATGTGTGAACTGGTTACCCGCTGCCTCCCTCCCCTGATCAAATATCTTTGCTCACTAGGCAGGGGGTGGTTCAGTGGGTGCAGGCTGGGCTGAGACTGCTCCTTCCCTCCCTCGTGCAGATGGTTGATGGGACTCCCCTAGTCTGCTCCCAAGCTAGAAGCTGCAGAATGTGATGACCTGGGGTCCCTGCTCGGAGCCTGGCCTCCCGGGAGTCTACACACCTGTGAATCCCTTCATTTCCTGGATCCAAGATAATGTCTCCAACGTCTCCTTTGACACCTCTGCCAACAGATGCTGTTGGGGCTGGCCCAGGACAAGACAGAGGCAGTGAGGGTTGTTAGCCTCTGGAGTCCTGGGTTTGAATCCTGACTTAGCTACTTACCTGCCTTTGCCATCTGAATCTGTTTCCTCCTCTGTAAAATGGAGATGTCTTCAATTATTCATTTATCAACAAGTTAGTAGTTACCAAGTGCTTACTCTGTGACAGGCCACTAAGATACAAGACTGTATCTTGACAGATTCGTGGATTTTGGCTAGCAACTCCCCTGAGCGCTGGCTGATTGGGGTGCCAGGCGCCGCCCGCTGCGGGCCTCAGTTTCCCCAGCTTCGAACTAAAGAGCGATGGCTTGGATGTAAGGATTCTTGAGGTCCCTCCCAAGTTTGTTTAATAAACTTTTTCGAGGGCAAGCGTCTCCAAGCCACAGGGGCGCATCCTTTTCACCTGCTTGGACGCTGCTTGGCCCCAGCTGGGGAGGCTCCTCCGAGCACCCGGCATTCCAGAGTTAGCCCCGACAGCTGTGGTCACGTCGCCCGTGCTCTGCAGCGCCTCCCTCCGCGTCCTCGCGGTGGGGCCACAGCGACATCTAGTGGCTGAATGTATTTTAAACACTCGGCTTGCTGAGGGCGTGAGTCGGAGCGCTGCTCCCCAGGACTCAGCTCTCATTCGCCTCTGCGCTTCGGCGGGGACGGGGAGCCGGGCCGAGTCAGAGTGAACACACACTCCCTGCGCGTGCAACTGAGTCGAGCGGTAGGGCTGGCTTTACCCGACAGGTCAACGCTCCCGCCCCAGCTCTCGGTCATACCTGCCCTAAGGAGGGGTGGAGCCTCGGCGTGGATCCCCGCCCCTTGTGCCCCGCCCCCTTATAACGGCGCCCGTTCACTGCGCCTGCGCATGCCACACGCGCACTCGCGTGGCCTTCGCGAAGGTGTCGCTGCCAAGAAACGTGTCCTGCGCGCTACGCCGTCTGTTTCTAGGGCAACGCCGGCGTCTCTTAGCAACCGCGCGCGGCCTAGGTGGGTCCCCCCGGCACCCCCAGACCTGCCATGGCGACCGCGAGTCCTAGCGTCTTTCTACTCATGGTCAACGGGCAGGTGGAGAGCGCCCAGGTGAGCGGCCGTGGACCCCGCCGGGGCCCGCCCCCCAGCGTCCCCCGGGGCCCTTCCCGCAACCCCCCGGGCTGCCCTGTGGCCCCCGGAGAGCCACGTCATTCCTCTGAGCCTCTCGGTTAGGCGGGGGAGGGGAGCCAGCATTGGAGAGCTTGGCGCGAGGTTGCCCGGATCCTGAGTCCCGATGTGCAGGAATAGAAGCAGACCTCGAGATGTTGAGCTAGTACCGAGGTCACACTCGGGCAAGCCTGTGGGCCCTCGCACGGGTCATGCCCACTTGCTTGGATCACTGGCAGGAGCCTCCTGGGGTTAACGCGAGGAGCCGAGGCTTGGCCGAGTTTCCAGCATTTGCGCTGTGTCCCGTGTGGAGTTACTGTCCCGCGTTCTGAATCCCCAGATCCTTGAACTCGGGTTCGAATCCAACCATCCAACAATGGTGGTGGCCTGGAATTGACCCAAGGAAGGTGTGCCTGCTAGGCCCGAGGGACGCTATTCCCCATCCCCCTACACTTTAGAGGAATCATTTATTGTAAATATAAACCAACGCTCACCAAGTCCTCAATATGTCCCAAAGTCGGTGCTCCGCACTGGTCCACCCTTACAGCCTTACCAGATAGGCACTACTAACACCCCCATTTTACAGCTGGGGAAATATACCAAAGGAACTGGCCTGTCTGGGAATTGAACCCACGCCTATCTGACCTCAAAGCTTCACTACACTGTCCTTCCAGGCTGTTGGAGGTGGTGTTTATTATTATTTTATAATATTATTGTGAGGATTGACTGAGACGGTTTGGGTAAGGCTCTGACAGGGCCTGATGCTTTGTAGGTGTCTCCTGCCTTCCTATTTCATCAGGGATACTACTCCATGCTCCCACCCTGTCCGCCTCTGCCTTAGCCTAGTGCCTAAGACCGTCTTTCCCCACTCTCCTGTCCTTTCCTATTAGGGGCTCTCGGCTGGGCTGAGTCACATGTGTCTGTGCTCTCAGCATCAGCGACCCCCCCGCCACACACACACTGACAGTCACACTGTTCCTCCCTGCTCTGCTCTCAGCACCTCCCTCTTTTCAGGGCCTCAGCTCCAGCCTTGCATATGATGGCTTCCTGGGTTCTCAGACCTTTCACTTCAGCACCATTCCCTTACACCAGTGGTCCTCAACCTTTTTGGCACCAGGGACTGGTTTTGTGGAAAACCAGGTGGCGAGGGATGGTTTTGGGATGATTTGGGGACATTACATTTATTGTGCACTTTATTTCTATTATTACCTTGTAAATAATAATGAAATAATTATACAACTCACCATAATGTAGAATCAGTGGGAGCCCTGAGTTTGCTTTCCTGCAACTAGATGGTCCCATCTGGGTGTGATGGGAGACAGTGACAGATCATCATGCGTTAGATTCTCATAAGGAACATGCAACCTAGATCCCCCACATGTGCAGTTCACAGTAGGGTTCGTGCTCCTATGAGAATCTAATGCCGCCACTGATCTGACAAGGAGGTGGAGCTCCCGTGGTCATGCGAGCAATGGGGAGCAGCTGTAAATACAGTTGAAGCTTTGCTTGCTCGCCTGCTCCTCACCTCTTGCTGTGTGGACCCGTTCCTAACAGGCCACGGACTGGTTGAGGACCCCTGCCTTAGACCTTATCTGTGCCCAGCCCTGTGCCAGGCAGTGGGGACACAGAAAGGCATTAAATCTCTTCTCTACTCATGGTCTAGAGGAACTGACAGACTTAGACACAGGCAATCATTGCTTTTATGGAGGGAAGCACGGGGCTAAGGGAGCCAAGAGGAGACCTTAAACCAGCTTGAGAGTTAGAGCAGGCTCCCTGAAGGGTAAGTTTTGAAGGGTGAGCAGGAGTTTTCCGGATGAAGTAGGAAGGACAAATCAGACAAGGCAGAGCCTGAGCAAAAGCCAGGGGCCGTGGCACCTGGGAGTCTCCCGTGGACTCCCGCTTCTTGGTCCTCAGCCTCTCCTCTGAACACATCTCCAGCCGTCTCTTAGACCCACTCCCAGGTGTCTCACGTTCAGAATTCCCCTTGGCTGCACCTGCCTAGCAAATGCATTGGCCTCAGCATGAATACCAGTCGACAGAATCTGTCTGTGCTTTTTTCAGTTTCCAGAGTATGATGACCTCTACTGCAAGTACTGCTTTGTGTACGGCCAGGACTGGGCCCCCACAGCGGTAAGCTGGACTCTTGGGCCTCCCTTACCGCCTTCATGACTTTTGGGGTTTCTGAAGGTGTCATATCCTTCCCCTCCCCATTCAGAACAAGTTAAGAGGTAGAGACTGAGTTCAGGGGAACCCAAACATGAGTGTTCCTGGTAAAGCGGGAGCAGAGGACACAGCCATGGTTGGACTCCCTGATCCATCCACCAAGACTGCACTCAGAAGCCCTACCCTGTGAGCTTCCCCGGGGCAGCAAAGAGCAACACCTGCAGTAGGAGGCAGGCCCCAGTGAGCCAGCCTGGACGTGGCTGAGCTGTGGACACTCTGGCCAGTCCGCTCACCATTTGGCCTCTCCTCAGCCAGTGGGGAGGACCTGGAGTAAAAAGACAGAGTAGGAGCTCTCCTTCCAGGACTTCCCAAGGGGTAGCTTGCCTCCACCAGGTGAGGGACTGTGGTGACAACTTCAGCCCGCTCTGTGCTCTGCTGTTTGCAAAGCACTTGTTTCATCTTCATAGCAGTTTAAGAAAAGGAGACTGAACTTATTTAAGCTCTCTGAGCCTCAGTTTCCTCATTTGTACAACTGAGATGATAATCCTTCTTTTCCCTTTATTGATTGTCTTCTGGGTGCTGGGGATGCAGGGGTGAGCAAAGCCAAACCAGAAGACCCTGCCTTCCCGGAGCGCACGTTCTTGCTGGGGGGTCAGATAATAAGGAGTGCATATTCTAGGATGTTAGTAAGCCAGAAGTGTGAGGGGAGACCAAGCCAGGAAGTGACAGGGATGAGTGATGAGAAGGAGGCTGCGATCTCGCTAAGGCTGCCAGGGAGGGCCTTGCCGAGAAAGTAACTTTTGAGGAAAGACCTGAAGGAAGTGAGGGAACAAGCCATGTGGAAACCCGTGAGAACTGTCCAGGCAGAAACAGCAGAGAGTGCAAAGGCCCTGGAGCAGGAGCTTGCCTGGCATGTTTGAGGACCAGCAAGGAGGCTGTGTGGCCACTGGAGAGCGAGCCAGCAGGAGAGTGGCTGGAGCAGAGAGGCACCTGGGCAGGTCTTGTCAGAGTAAGGACTGTGACCTTTACTCAAAGGGAGATGGGATCCCACTGGAGAACTTTCAGCAGAGAAAGTGATCTGACTTATGTTTTTAGAAGATTCCCTGGCTTCTACGACAAGGATAGACTCGGGGGGAAAGGGCAAGAGCAGGCAGCCCAGTTGGCTCTGACAGCAGTGGAGATGGGAGAGGAGGGCAGTGGCAGTGGGGTGGTGGGAGGGGCTGGACTGCAAGTATATTCTGAAGATAGAGCCGCTGGGTTCTTTTGATGGATGTGAGGTCTGAGAGAAGGAGGAGTTAGGATTCACAGCAGGGCTTTTAGCCTGAGCACTTAGAAGTAGGCAGCTGCCTTTCAGTGAGAAGAACAGATTGGGGAGAGCTACCTGGAGCTCAGCCTGGTGTGGGTTAAGGTTGAGGCACCCACTGGATATCCAAGAGGAGGTGCTGATCCAGAGTGCAGAGGCAAGGACCAGGCTGGAGACATAAATTTGGGAATCATCGACATCTAGAGCACATTGAAAGCCATGAGATGGATGAGATCACCAAGTACAGGTAGAGGAGCTGGCCAAAGATGCAGCCTTAGGACGGCAACACTGAGAAGGAACCAGCAAGAGCCACTGAGCAGGGGCCACCCTGTGCAGTGGAGAGACCCAGAAGCCAAGGGAAGACAGTGTATCAAGGAGTAAGCAGCTGCATCAGGTGCTGCTGATGGGTCAAGTAACACGAGGATAGAGAAATGACCATTGGATCTAGCAATGTTGGTCACGGGCATTAATGGAGAAAACCCTTTGGTAGAGTGCTGGAGCCAGCAGTCACATTGGAGTGGGGTCACAAAAGAATAGCAGGGGAGGAATTGGAGCCGGTGAGTGTGGCAGCTCTTTGAGGCAGTTTTGCTATAAAGGGAGCAGAGAAAGGGTTGGTGGGTGGAAGAAGCCGCAGAGTTGAAAGAGGACTATTTTTGATGGAGAAAACACATTTACGTATTTACCGATGGGGATACTCAGGTGAGGATGGGGATACTCAGGTGAGGGTGGGGATGCAGGAGAGTGTAAGCATGCTGGACCATTCCTTCAGTGGGGCAAGAGCTTGGGACCAGATCTAGTGCCCTTGTGCCCGGGAGAGTGGCTGGCCTCCCAGGGTTGTCAAGCTACGGCGTTAAAGTACCAGACTTAAAGAGGTACTCCATCATCTCTTAGTCCCCTTTGTTTGGAAGTTCGTGTCTTGGGAGAAGACAGCTGAGAAAACAGCCCTCCCAACTGCCTGCTGAAGGTAAGGGGAGGAGCCGCAGCAGCTTGGCTCTGCTCTGAATCCAGCCGTCTGTGTCACTGTCCTCACAGGGTCTGGAGGAGGGGATCTCACAGATCACATCCAAGAGCCAAGATGTGCGGCAAGCACTGGTGTGGAACTTCCCCATTGATGTCACCTTTAAAAGCACCAACCCCTACGGCTGTGAGTCTGCAGGGGCCCTGTGGGGTAGGGTGGCAGAGCTTTCACACAGCACCCCCAAGACAGCCTCTGCCTCATCCAGCCCATGACTGTTCACATTCAGATTGTCACCTGGGCTCTTGAAGCAGCCCTCAACGTTCTCTCTCGCCATCTGTCCCTTTCCCTCCTCTTCTTCCTCATCCCCACTCACCCCCTTCATCTGCTACAGGCTGTGCAGCTGGCCTTCTGGAAGTTCAGAGTGCATCAGGGCTAGTGGCCACGCCTGTAAAAGGCAGGCTCCCCACCCTGGCATGCAGGACTGTGGCTGTTTGGCCTGGAGGCCTGACTCTGTGCCTGCTGACTTCCCATGGCGTGTTGTGTTCCGGCTAGACCCTGGCACTTTCTCCTCCTGTGCTAGTCCCTCAACTTTCTTCATCTGAGCTTTATTCATGCCGATCCATCTGTCTGGATACCATTCCCACGTCCTATGTCTAACCTCTTTCCCAAGGGCTTCCTGGCTGGCATTGCTTACTTTCTACCTTGGCTGGTGGTTATTAACCATTCTGATTGTTCACTTGCACTTCATAAGTGCCTACTGTGCACAAAGCCTGGGCTTAGTCTCCATGGGGACTATGAATACTTTCACTGTGTGGACTTATCCGAGCTTCCCAATCATACCTGCTGGAGAGATTTCTCTCCATTTCTTTTCCCATATAAGGAAACTGACACTCAAAATTGACATCATTTGCCTTCTGCTTTACATCTAGTGACCAAGTGTGGATTTTAATTCAGGCCCATCTGATTTCACAATCTAGGCCTTTCTACTGCACGTGGCCTGGGCCTAGGCTTACCACGGTGTGGAGGGTCTGGAGCAGAAAATGCTTGGTGGTCCTCCTGAGCAGGGAATTCCATCCTGCTGTCATCATCCATGAGTAGGAAGTTTCAATAGACTTCCTGGAACAGTGCAATAGGTACTGTAGGTACTGGACGAACCTCCTCCTGCCGAGGACAGGTAGGAGAGGTAAATGTAATACACAAAAGCAAAAACAAAAAGCAACTACCTCAGAGGCATCAGAGAGCTAGCAAAGTAGAAGAGATTTACCAGGCAAGATCCAGGAGAACAGAAATCCAGAGAGGTTACCCCAATCCCATCTCCTCTGGGAGTGTTTGCTGATTTCAATAGAGGTGATTGAGAGACTGATCAAGACTTTTGACAGCCTCTCTGGGTCCAGGACACAAAAAAACTGATGTTCAGAGCCTTCCAAGGGGTTGGGAGGAGGGCCTCAGGTAAATCTCACCAACTGGGTTAAGACCTCAAAGAGCTGCCCTAGGAATAAGGGAGAGATGGAAGCAGAGCAGCCTCACAGGGATTTCAGCTCAGCCCCTGATGATTTCAACCTCCTGATTCTTCTATTCAGCTCCAAGATTGTTACACCAAGGCACCTGACAAAAACAAATTAGAAACCTCTTTGGGCTGGGCATGGTGGCTCATGCCTGTAATTCCAGCACTTTGGGAGGCTGAGGCAGGCAGATCGCCTGAGCTCAGGAGTTTAAGACCAGCCTGGGCAATATGGCAAAAATCTCTCTCTACTAAAAATACGAAAATTAGCTTGGCATGGGGGTGGGCGCCTGTAATCTTAGCTACTTGGGGGGCTGAGGCAGAAGGATCGCTGGAGCCTAGGAGGTCGAGGCTGCAGTGAGCAGAGATTATGCCACTGCACTCCAGCCTGGGTGACAAAGTGAGACCCTGTCTCAAAAAAAAAGAAAGAAAACTCTTTGGAGAAAGATAACATCTCATAGACATAAAATTATTTCTATATATTTTTTCAAATGTAGTATCTGGCATATAATGAGGCACACAAGAACCAAGACAACATAAATGATAACCAGCAAAAATAAGGCAATAAAGCAATAGAGATAAACAGAATCTCTAGACACTGAAATTGTCAGATATATTTTTACTATGATCAAAAGAGATAAAACAGACTGAGAATTATGGCAGAGAACTAGGAAGCCTGACTTTTTTTTTTGAGACTGAGTCTTGCTCTGTTGCCCAGGCTGGAGTGCAGTGGCACGATCTCAGCTCACTGCAAGCTCTGCCTCCTGGGTTCATGCCATTCTCCTGCCTCAGCCTCTCGAGTAGCTGGGACTACAGGCACCCACCACCGTGCCCGGCTAATTTTTTTTTTTGTATTTTTAGTAGAGACGGGGTTTCACCGTGTTAGCCAGGATGGTCTCGATCTCCTGACCTCGTGATCTGCCCGCCTCAGCCTCCCAAAGTGCTGGGATTACAGGCGTGAGCCACCACGCCCAGCCGATTTTTTTTTTTTTTTTTAATTGCAGACAGAGTCTTGCTCTGTCTTTCTGAGTAAAGTGGCGCCATTTCAGCTCATTGCAACCTCTACCTCCTGGATTCAAGCGATTCTTATGCCTCAGCCTCCCCAGTAGCTGGGACTACAGGCATGCACCACCATGTCCGGCTAATTTTTTGTATTTTTAGTAGATACAGGGTTTCACCATGTTGGCCAGGCTGGTCTTGAACTCCTGAGCTCAGGCAATCCTCCCACCTTGGCCTAAGAAAGTTCTGGTGTTACAGGCTTGAGCCCCATGCCTGGCCATATTTTTTAAACATTGTAATAGAAATTCTAGAATTGAAAAATATGATAACCAAAAGCAGGAATTCAGCAGATTAAACACAGCTGAAGAGATAACTATATACTGAAAGGTCAAAGGAAAATATCTACAGTGAAACCCAAGAATAGAAAATATAGATGAGAAGGTAGGAGACAGAGAATACTGAAAGTCTGCCATATGGAATTGGAATCCTGGAAGGAGGGGGAGAGGACAAGCTGGAGACAATATTGGAAGGGATAAATAGCTACAATTCTTTTCAAAAATGATGAGAGACATCAAGCCACAAATTCAAGAAGACAAAACTCAAGCAGGATAAATGGAAGAAACCCACCCCTAGGTGCATGATAATCAAACAGTTGAAAACCAAAGACAAAAAGAAAATCTTTTTTTTCTCTTTTTTTCGAGACGGAGTCTTGCTCTGTCACCCAGGCTGTAGTGCAGTGGCGCGATCTCGGCTCACTGCAACCTCCGCCTCCCAGGTTCAAGCAATTCTCCGCCTCAGCCTCCTGAGTAGCTGGGGATTACAGGTGCCTGCCACCATGCCTGGCTAATTTTTGTATTTTTAGTAGAGATGGGGTTTCACCATTTTGGCCAGGCTGGTCTTGAACTCCTGACCTCATGATCCAGCCACCTCAGCCTCCCAAAGTGCTGAGATTACAGGCATGAGCCACTGCACCCAGCCAAAAAGAAAATCTTGAAAGCAGCTAGTACACAGATGTATGCATTTGTCAAAATCCATTGAATAGTACACTTTAAGATTTATGTTTCATTATGCATAAATTTTATCTCAAAAGAACTGTGAACAAATATTGAGCTCTATTTGCTGACATGCATAGTGAAGTATTTTGGGGAAAGTGTCCAGAGATCTGTGATTTACTTTGAAATTCCTCACAAGTAGGAAGAGTTGACTGAGGCATGGGGAGAGGCAGTAAAGCAAGTAGACTCAGCTGTCAGTGGTGATCCGGTAGTGAGTCAGCGCCAGTACATTGGAATTCTTTTAGCTTTTCAGGAGGAGTGGAGTATTTTCTTTGACCACAGTGAACTTAAGCTAGGGACCAATAGCAAGGATAATGAGAAAAATCTCCATATGTTTGAAAAATAAGAAAATAACTTCTAAAAACAACCCATATGTCAAAGAAGAAATACTGATGGAATAATGGAATTTTGAATTGAATGATAATAAAAATACTGAGCTATTTGAATTTGCAGGGGGCAGTTAAAGTCATGGATAGAGGGAAATTTTGTCATTTTATTTTATTTTTAATTTTTATTTATTTATTTAATTTTTTGAGACAGAGTTTTGCTCTTGTTGCCCAGGCAGGAGTGCAATGGCACGATCTCGGCTCACTGCAACCTCCTGCTCCTGAGTTCAACCGATTCTCCTGCCTCAGCCTCCTTAGTAGCTGGGATTACAGGCATGTACCACCACGCCCGGCTAATTTTGTATTTTTAGTAGAGACAGGATTTTTCCATGTTGGTCATGCTGGTCTCGAACTCCTGACCTCAAATGATCCGCCCACCTCGGCCTCCCAAAGGGCTGGGATTACAGGCGTGAGCCACCATGCCTGGTCGTATTTATTTATTTTTTGAAATGAAGTCTCGTTTTTGTTGCCCAGGCTGGAGTGCAATGGCGGGCGGTCTTGGCTCACTGCAAACCTGCCTCCCGGGTTCAAATGATTCTCCTGCCTCACCCTCCCAAGTAGCTGGGATTACAGGCGCCTGCCACTATGCCCAGCTGATTTTTTTTGTGTTTTTATTAGAGATGGGGTTTCACCATGTTGGCCAGGCTGGTCTCAACTCCTGACATCAGGTGATCCACCCACCTCAGCCTCCCAAAGTGCTGGGATTACAGACCTGAGGCACTGCGCCTGACCAATTTTGTAATTTTAAATGCATGTTAGAGAAGAAAATAGGCTGAAAAATTAATGATTTCAGCATCTCTCTTAAGAAATTAGTGGCTGGGTACGGTGGCTCATGCCTATAATCCCAGCATTTTGGGAGGCTGAGGCGGGTGGATCACGAGGTCAGGAGTTCAAGACCAGCCTGGCCAACATGGTGAAACCCCATCTCTACTAAAATACAAAAAATTAGCCAGGTGTGGTGGTGGGCTTCTGTAGCCCCAGCTACTCAGGAGGGTGAGGCAGGGGAATCGCTTGAACCCAGGAGGTGGAGATAGCAGTGAGCTGAGATCGCGTCACTACACTCCAGCCTGGCGACAGAGTGAGACTCCATCTCAAAAAAAAAAAAGAAGTAGTAAAAGAAGGCTGTGTGTGGTGGCTCACGCCTGTAATCCCAGCACTTTCGGAGGCCAAAACGGGTGGATCACCTGATGTCAGGAGTTCGAGACCAGCCTGGCCAACATGGTGAAACCCCATCTCTACTAAAAATATTAAAAATTAGCCAGGCATAGGCTGGGCGCAGTGGCTCATGCCTGTAATCCCAGTACTTTGGGAGGCCAAGGCGGGCGGATCCCCTGAGGTCGGGAGTTCGAGACCAGCCTGGCCAACATGGAGAAACCCTGTCTCTACTAAAAATACAAAATTAGCCAGGCATGGTGGCACGTACCTGTAATTCCAGCTACTCGGGAGGCTGAGGCAGGACAATCACTTGAACCCGGGAGGTGGAGGTTGCAGTGAGCCAAGATCATGCCATTGCACTCCAGCCTGGGCAACAAGAGCGAAACTCCGTCTCAAAAAAAAAAAAAAAAAAAAAAAATTAGCCAGGCCCGTGGCAGGTGCCTATAATCCCAGCTAATGGGGAGGCTGAGTGAGGCAGGAGAATCACTTGATCCTGGGGGGCAGAGGTTGCAGTCAGCTGAGATTGTGCCACTTCACTCCGGTCTGGGCGAAAGAGTGAAACTCAATCTCAAAAAAAAAAAGAAATTAGTAAAAGAATAGCAAGTTAAACCCAAAGAAAGCAGAATAGAATGAGAAACAGCAGAAATTAATTCATTAAACAGAAAGCACACTTACAACAGAAGAGATGAAAGAGGCAAAAGTTGGTTTTTAAAACTGAAAACCCCAAGTTAAGACGATGAAAAAACAGGCTAAGTGGGGTCACTCACACCTATAATCCCAACACTTTGGGAGGCTGAGGCGGTAGGATCGCTTGAGCCCAGGAGTTCAAGACTAACCTGGGCAACATGGTGAGACCCTGTCTCTACAAAAAATAGAAAAATTGGCCAGGCACAGTGGCTCAAACCTGTAGTCCCAGCTACTCGGGAGGCTGAGGTGGGAGGATTGTTTGAGCCTAGGAGTTTGGGGGTGTAGTGAGCTATGATCATGCTACTGCACTCCAGCCTGGGTGCCAGCGCTAGACCCTATCTCTAAAAAATAATAAGAAGAAACAGAAGACAGAAATGGCAGGAATGAAAAAGGAACATGTTACAGATCTTGCAGACAGTAAAAAGATAAGATATAAAGAACAGCCATTTGCTATACATTTGGCAAGGTAGATGAAATGGTCAGATTCCTAGAAAAAGATAACTACCAAAACTGCAAAAAAGGAATAAGAATCTGAGTAGTCCTATGTCTATTAAATTGAATCTATAATTAAAAATGTTCTCACAAAGAAAGTTCCAAGTCCGAGTGTCTTCATCACTGAGTTCCACCAGGCATTTAAAGAATGACACCTTCCATGGCAGAAGTGTAAGAAAAAAAAGAAGAGGAAGTAACGACAGATTTACACAAACTCCTAGAATTGAAAAGATTAAACATTCCCCAGCTTTTTTAGGTCAGCATAGTTTTGATTCTAAAGCCTGCTGAGGACATTAAAAAGAAGAAACTCCTTCATGAACAGAGTTGCAAAACTCCCAAACAAAATATTCAGAAACTGAATTCAAAACTCCTAAATGAAATATTCAGAAACTAGCAAGATAAAAAAAGGATAATATAATACATCATGAGAAGTAGGGTTTATTCCAAAAATACAAAGGTTTTATGACATCTATAGTTGGCCAGGCACAGTGGCTCATATGGAGGCCGAGGTGGGAAGATTGCTTGAGGCCAGGAGTTTGAGACTAACCTGGGCAACGTAGCAAGACCCTGTCTCTAAATAATTCACCACATTAAAAAGAAGAAAAGTCAGAGTCAGGCCAGGCACCATGGCTCACACCTGTAATCCCAGCACTTTGGGAGGCCGAGGCAGGCAGATCATTTGAGGTCAGGAATTTGAGACCAGCCTGGCCAACATGGTGAAACTCCTTCTCTACTAAAAATACAAAAATTAGCCGGGTTTGGTGGCGCACGCCTGTGATCCCAGCTACTTGGAAAGCTGAGGCAGGAGAATCGCTTGAAACTGGGAGGCAGAGGTTCCAGTGAGCCAAGATTGCACCACTGCACTCCAGCCTGAGTGACAGAGCAAGACTCCATCTCAAAAAAAAAAAGAAAAAAAAAATCATGATCATCCCCATAAATGAAGAAAACACATGGTAAAATTCAACTCCCATTCATGATAAAAGCTTAGTAAACTAGGAATAGAAGGAAGCTTCCCTAACCTGATCAAGATTATCTATGAAAAGCTTAGAGCAAACATCACTTTTACTGGTGAAATGTTGAAAGATTTTTTCTGCAACCTCGGCCTCCTGGATTCAAGCGATTCTGGTGCCTCAGCCTTCCAAGTAGCTGGGATTACAGGCATGCACCACCATGCCCGGCTAATTTTTGTTTTTGTTTTTGTTTTTATTTTTGAGATGGAGTCTTGCTCTGTCTCCCAGGCTGGAGTGCAGTGGCACGATCTCAGCTCACTGCAACCTCTGCCTCCTGGGTTCAAGCAATTCTGCCTCAGCCTCCGGAGTAGCTGGGACTACAGGCACATGCGACCACACCCAGCCAATTTTTGTATTTTTAGTAGAGATGGGGTTTCACCATGTTGGCCAGGCTGTTCTTGAACTCCCATCCTCAGATGATCCACCTGCCTCAGCCTCCCAAAGTGCTGGGATTACAGGTGTGAGCCACCGCGCCTCGCCTAATTTTTGGATTTTTCATAGAGAAGGGGTTTTGCCACGTTACCCAGGCTGGTCTTGAACTCCTGGCCTCAAGTGATCTGCCACCTCAGCCTCCCAAAGTGCTGGGATTACAGGCATGAGCCACTGCTCCCAGCCTGGTCTTTTTTTTTTTTGAGACAGAATTTCGCTCTGTCGCCCAGGCTGGAGTGCAGTGGCGTGATCTCAGCTCACTGCAAGCTCCGCCTCCCGGGTTCACGCCATTCTCCTGCCTCAGCCTCCTGAGTGGCTGGGACTACAGGCGCCCGCCAGCCTGGTCTTTTTAATAAATGGTGCTGGGACAATTTGATATACATAGGAAAAAACTTCAGCCTGTCCTCATACACACAAGTCAATTTCAGATGGATATGTAGCATAGAGGACTATAGCCATGATATCAGGGTAAGGGAAGATTTTCTGGCAGGACTCCATGAAGGAGAAGATCAATGAAGTTGACTATATTAAAATTAAGGGCTTATGTTCATTCAAAGACATCACTAAAAATGAAAAGATAAGTCACAGGATAAACACACATATACACACTATAAATCAATAAGAAAAAGGCCAGGCCAGGCAAGGTGACTCACACCTGTAATCCCTGCACTTCGGGAGGCTGAGGCAGGAAGATTGCTTGAGCCCAAGAGTTTGAGACTAGCCTGGGCAACATAGTGAGACCCCATCTCTACAAAAAATTTAAAAATTAGGCATGGCAGCACACGCCTATAGTCCCAGCTACTTGGGAGGCTGAGGTGGGAGGATCACTTCAGCCCAGGAGGTTGAGGTTGCAGTGAGCCATGATTGCACCACTGCACTCCAGCCTGGGCAACAGAGCAAGACCCTGTCTCAAAAAAAAAAAATGTTTTTAATGAAGAAAAAAGAAAAAGACCATCAAGTAGAAAACCGGGCAAGAGACTTGAGTAGGTTCTTCACAAAAGAGGACATCCAGGTGACCAAGAAACAGGTAAAGGTCTCAACCTTATTTCAGTAAGAAAAATCTAAAATGAAGGAAAATATAAGTTAAAGCTACAGTGAGCTACCACTATTCTCTCACTAGGACGGCTCAAATTTAAAAGATTGGTAATGCCATGTTTTCGTGAGGTACAGAGGAGCAGGAATCAGATACCACTGCTGGGGGAGTGCTGGCTGATAGGACCATGCTGGCAGCTTGGTGTTACCTTTTGGGAGGGAACATACATGGGCCCTGTGCAGTGTCATTCTTGGGTGTGTGCCCACCAGAGATGTGTGCACGCGAGTACCGAGAGCCTGCGCCATGGTGCTCAGCACTGGGTGCGTGGCCCCCAGAGGAAGGGCAGCCCATGTGTCCATCAGCACTAGAATGAACAGTCATTGTGACAGATTCCCACGCAGAATGTTATATGGTATTGAACATGAACACGCCCCTTTACAGGAAACCATTTGAGAAAATCTAATGGACATAATTTTGGATTAGAGTCTGGGCACAAAAATAAATGTACTGTATAATTCCTTTTGTATAAACTTTCAAAAACATTGGTAAAGGTAAAGTACCAGGTTTGGGATGCATTCTTTGGCAGTGAAGTCTTAAAGAAAAGTAAAGAGGTAGTTTCCTAAAATTCAGAATAATGGTTACCTTTGGTGGAAGGTAGTAATGGGAAGGGCACAAACCTCTCCCTAACATTTACTGAGCACTCACTATGCATTAGGTACTATTTCATGTGTTTTAGAGATGATGAAACAGGGGCAGAGAGGTTGGCTAACTTGCCTCAGTCGTGGCTGCAGGATCAGAGCCTGTCAGGCCGGCTCCTAGTCCCTCCCTGGGCCTCACCTGAAACTGGCGAGGTGAAAGTGCCTCATGCGCCTCAATGGCAACACGAAGCGGGTGTAAAAACAGCCACACCTATTATAGTACCTATAATATTTTAAAGGAAAATGCCCAGAAGGTTTTTCTTTTCTCTCTGACTTCTAGACACCCCCAAAATGAGCCCCTGCCACCTCAGTCCCATGAGCCCGCCTCCATCAGGAAGGGAGCACCCAGAGAGCAGAGGTCCTTAGTCGGCCCTGATCATAGCTGGGGCCCTGGGCCCAGATAAGGCCTCTGGAAGTGCCTCCTTGTACATGGAGTGACTGAGTGGGCACTGACTCCATAGCGGTGAGAAGGGGTGTGGAATGTGTGCCCAGGCCTCAGTGGAGACACAGGAAGTACCAGGGTGGGCAGAAGTCTTTGGCACAGTCTGGGTTCCCATGCCTGCTCCTGTCCCCTCTCAAGCCTGCCACCCCAGAGTTTTGAGCTCCATCCTTTGAGCACCCTCAGCTGGACACGCCCTGTTCTCTGCCCTGCACCTCCCCTGTGTGTCCTCATGTGCCCACCCCCTGCCTTGTCCTTCCCAAGGGCCACAGATCGTGCTCAGCGTGTATGGACCAGATGTGTTCGGGAACGATGTGGTTCGAGGCTATGGGGCCGTGCACGTGCCCTTCTCACCTGGCCGGTAGGTCCTCATTCTGACCTGGGCCCTGGGCAGGACTTGTCCTAGGACAGACTTCACCTCGTTTTCTGTCTTAGGTTCAGGCTGGGAATGCTCTGGGGTCTCCAGGGGCCTGGGCAGCTCAGCCTGGTGGCCAGGGGGGTTGTAGCCTGTATTTGGGAGGAGAACCTTTCAGATGGGTGGTGCCAGCCACACACCAGGTGGGTTGGGGAGGTAGTGGGACCCAGAAAAGAAAAGACCCTGAGGGACTCTGACCTCCATGAGGCTGTCTCCTGGCGCTCAGCACCTTGCCCAGACACAGGGGGTGCTCAGTTAGCACAGGTTGGATTCGTTGACATTGGCCCTGACTTGGCCCACGCTGCAGCTGCACTGGCCTGATCTGAGGGTTTCTTCTCCCTGGAGGCTCAGAAAGGTCTCTTACTCAGCATCTCTGTCTGCAAAAACATTTGTTTCAGGCACAAAAGGACCATCCCCATGTTTGTCCCAGAATCTACGTCTAAACTGCAGAAGTTTACAAGGTGAGTTTTGTACCCATAACCCCAGCCCCTCCTGATCTACTGGATGAATGGATGTCCCATTCTACCCCTCAGTTTGTGCCTGGTCGCCTCCTCAGATCTGCAAGCTGCTCCACCCACTGAGGACAAATAGAAACAGGTCCCCTGGGAGTGCTGAGTCACGGGGCTCCCTTCAGCCCTGTTCCAGCAGCAGAAGGCCGGGCGATTTTACCCTGTGCCCTGTGAAAAATCTTTGTGTCTGAGGGAGCAGAGGAAAAACTCTTGTCAGATGGGAAAAATGCTCATGACATAATGTGACATTAAAAGGTGGGAAACAAGAGGATATAGCAGTATGAGTCAGACACCTTGGAACAGTAATCATGATAAATGCCTTTACATGTGGGAGTCTCTGGCCGGAGCTGACATTTGCGCAGAGGCTTAGTGTGGAGGGAAGAGCCGGGGAAGAACATCAGGCACAGGGAACAGTGCCTGCCAGGCTGAGGAGAGCGTGAGCTTAGCATGCTAGAGAAGCCAGGACGGTGGTGTGGCCAGGACGGCAGTGTGGCCAGTAAGTGGTAAGCCAGGCAGAATGAGGGAGACATCAGGGAGGCAGGCAGGGGCCAGGACACAAGGGCCTGCAGGGAGGGCCCAGGGGATGCCTGGATGCAGCCCCAGCATGAAGGCCTCTTACCCCTGCTCACATCCAAGTGGGAGCTTAGAGGGCCAGCTGGGCCCTGGCCTTCTGACTCGAGGACCATTAGCGCAGTTGGGCAGCAAGCCTCTGCCGCCCACCGGCAGATTAGTGAGGCACAAGTGGAACATGGAGGACTCCCTGGGTTCCAGGGCAGCAGCCGGCAAGCAGCCCCTGCGAGCCTGGCCAGTACTGGGCGTGAGACCAGGCCAGAGCCCTGCTGGGTGGAGGGACAGCATCGCGCCCAGGGCCGAGAATGCTTCACTGAGCTCTGAGAGCCGTGGAGGGGAGGAAGGGCAGGGTCTCCGCTGGCCTCAGCCTGAGAATTTGTGTGCCTACTGCCCCTAGGAGTCCTTCTGGGAGGCCACCCTGTAGCAAAGGACTTCTTTCCCAGATGACCTGGGCCAGTATCACCTGGAGGTGACAATCCCCATGCCACAGGCTGTCAGGGAGGCAGCGAGGCAGTGCCCATCAGTGGGTTGGGAAAGCCTAAGAGACTGGGGACCCACACAGCCATCCAGGCTGGGTTATTCACCCTGTTCCACCGCCCACAGCTCCAAGGAGGACTTTGGGCCTCCAGGGGACAGCTCGCTGAGGAAAGGGTTTCACAGCCCCTGTGGAGGGGCTCGCAACTGGGCAAGGCAGTATGTGCTTGGATTACAAAAACTGGAGAAAGTTCTGATTAGTGAAGGCAGTTTGATTGGCAGAATCTTCCCAGATATGGAGGCTCCTTGCTCAGGCTGACACCTCGGTCATCCCCACCCCTCTCCCAGCCTCTCCCCACATCCTCCAGCGCTGGCCTAGGGCCTGCCCCAAACACTCTTGGCCACTGTATTCGTTTCCCACGGTGGCTGCTGCAACAAAACACACAAATGTGATAGCTGAAAACAGCAGAAATGTATGCTGAAGGCCAGAGTTCAAAATCCAGGTCACTGGGCCCAGAAAAGGCACCACAGGGCTGTGCTCCCTCCCAAGGCTCTAGGGGAGACTCTGTTTATTGCCCTTTCAGTTTCTGGTGGCCCCAGCCTTCCTTGGCTTGTGGCCTCATCACTCGAGTCCTGGCCTTTAGGGTCCACCTGGATAGTCGCCTCAAGATCCTTAGCCTAATCATATCTGTGCAAAGTGCACGTGACCCTGTTTCTCAATAAGGTCACGTGCACGGTTTCCCAGGACTAGGATCTGCTATCTTTGAGGGGCCGTCATTCAGCCTGCTGCCACCCCTCCAGTCTAGTCTTCACATAGCAAGAAAAACGGTGTTCCTAAAACACAACTGGGGCTGCACCCCTCCCCTGCTAGAACCTGTCTCTGTCAGAATGAACTTCAACCAGAATGCTGCCAGGCCGGTGGTCGGGCCCTGCCTACCTCATGGCCTCTGCCCACTTGCTTCCCATCTACCTCAGTTCCTGCAGTCTGAGGGGTCCTTCCTTGCCTCAGGTCCTTGCCTGGAATGCTCTCCCAGAACAGCCTGTCTTGTCTCCCCAACCCCAGCCAGCTAAGCAGACCACCCGGGTGGACCCCAGGAAAGAAATTCAGTGGGAACGGGAGCTCCATGTGAGCTCCGGGATGGGATCTGCTGGGCACAGTGGGGATGCTCCCAGGCCCCAGTCCTCATACATAGCCTCTTGTGAGGTGGGTGCTGTGAGAGTCTTGCTCTCCCAAAGGAGAAACTGAGGCGCAGGGGTTGTGGCTGCCCATCCCTTCCCCTTGGGGAGCGCCTGCTGGCTTTCACTCTCTGGCTCCCTCCTTGGGGTTGGGGGCTGGTGGGCAGTGCTCCCTGGCTGTGGTCTCCACAGGCCAACTCTGCGGCAGCTGAGAGCCCCTCCCTGGCCTGGGCCCCTCTGCAGCCGCCCCAGGTGAGCGCTGGTGCCCACCTCAGAGACGGAGAGGCCGCGGGGAGGGCGGTGCGTGGGCTTTTGGGTCGGCATGGTTGCCAGCGACCCTCGGGGCCGGGTGTGTCCGTGGGGGGACCTTGGGAGCTGTGGTACAGAGGAGGCGCGGCCGCGAGTCCCGGCGGGGCGAAGCCCGCGGCTGCTGGACCCACCCGGCCGGGAATAGTGCTCCTGGTTGTTTCCGGCTCGCGTGGGTGTGTCGGCGGCGGGGCCTGACACCCCCGGCCTCCTGGCCTCCCGCCTGGCCCAACTGGGGTCTGGGGCTGGGGAGGGCGCATGCTCAGCCTGGTGGCTGTGTGCCGCCCCTGGCAGGGCCTGCGGTGGGTGCCAAGATGGGAAGTGACATGTCCTGGACCCCACACTAGTGGGAGGTAAGGCTGAGGAGCCGTTCTGGCCCTTCTGCCCACCCCACAGACTCTCTGGGGTGGGACCCCCTTCCAGGGAGGCTGGAGGGTCACACTGTCCCCTCCCCTCCCCCACCTCAGCTGCTGTCACTTTTCTGGGATTTCTGGGGGTTCAGGTAGCACCCCCACCCCAGAATCTTCCTGAGCTCTCATTCCCAGTGAACCAAACCCATGGAAGCCAGAGATGGAAAAGCCTAACCGGCCAGCGGAGGCAGCGTGGCTGCAGAGCACATGAGGCCTGGCTAGGCTGTGTGACCTCGGCAAGGGACACCCCACGCTGGAGCCCAGCCACTGGGAAGGCTCTGCTTAGGGCCTGACTCCTGGTGGGGGTGGGGTGCGGTTGGAACAAGAGTGCTGGTTTCTGAACCGAGGAGAGCCCACATCCAGTGTCGTCCAAGACCAGGAATGCCCAGGTGGGGCCCTGCTCACCTGTGTTCTTCTGTGTTCCCAGCTGGTTCATGGGGCGGCGGCCCGAGTACACAGACCCCAAGGTGGTGGCTCAGGGTGAAGGCCGGGAAGGTAAAGCTCCCTCCCCTCTCTTACCCCCATCCCCCATACAGGTTACAGCCTGGGAGTGGGTGGGCCCAGGGTTGGGGTGAATGCCGGGGACCTGCCAGGCACATAGGAGCTAGCCCACAAATGTTCCCAGATGAGGGCCTGGTTGGAGCACAGAGGGTTTGTCATGTCTGCCTGTCCCGGCAGCCCCTTTACCTCCCAGTGAGGGGCTTGGGTCAGGCACTGTTGTCCCCATTTTACAGATGAGAACGCTGAGGCTGAGATTCCCAGATCAACCTGGGTCTCTCTCTGCCCCAGCCCAGCCTGGCTGATGCTGCCCTTCTGTCCCCAGTGACCCGTGTCCGTTCTCAGGGCTTTGTCACCCTCCTCTTCAACGTGGTGACCAAGGACATGAGGAAACTGGGCTATGACACTGGGCCTTCTGATACACAGGGTGTGTTGGGGCCCAGCCCACCCCAGAGCTTCCCCCAGTGAAGGCTCCACAGGCTGCACAGTCTCTGATAATGAAGGGCTGCCTTCCCGAAGTCAGCCGCTGCCCATCGGCCTGAGGGGCAGCCTGGTGGCCAGAGCTGGGGGCACACAGAATAGTTTTGTATAATAAAGTCTCATTTTCAGAGAGCCTAGGCCTGGGGCTGCCTTCTCTCCTGTTTAGCCCCTCCCCCACAGGAGCTGGGGGCTCTTGGGCCTTTCCTGGCCCCACCTCCAGGGCTCTCCCTGTCCCTACCCCTTGTGCCGTGGAAGCTGCCAGGAGACCAGACCGTGCAGCAGGATGGCATGTGGGATGGGAGCTTTGACATAACCAGGTTCTGCCACTCAAAGCTGTGTGGCCTTTTCTATACCGCAACACATTGTTCCTTGAACTAACTGGGCATGGCACCCTCCTTAGAGGCTTGGGGTTAAGTAGAATCACCCGTTCAGCCATGCTTCTGGCCACCAGCCTCCCTTGGCAAGGACAGAACCCTGTTATTGGGAGCTGGAATGGTGAGGTACCCCGGGGGATGGCAGACCCTCAGCCTGCCCACTCCCCTCTCTGCCCCCCTACCCACAGTCCAAGGATGGGGGCTGGAAACCTCTCAGAGGTGGGAGGCCGCTGGCTGGGGTCCAGCTTTCTGGCAGCCCCTTGGCAGGAGAGGAAGGTGAGCCCCCTGGCTCAACACCCTGACCTCTGAGGTTGTCCAGGCCCTTCTGGAAGCAGAGCCCCTTCAGCATTACTTTGGGAGGCCCTGACCCTGGGCCTCCCCACCTTCACAAGAACCCCTCGCACCTCACGAGGCAGCCCCAGGCCCTCTCTGCCCTGCCACTGAGCTTTCGGCAGACATGGTGCCCCAGCCTAGATACTGCCCTCAGCGGGATCCAAGAGAAACCACAGGCTCCTGGCAAACCCCCACCTCCCAGCCTCGCCCATGTTGCCCTGGACTGTCGTCATGGCACTTGCCCTGAGACCATCTGGGCCGACCCTCTTCTGCCTTTTATCTCACGAGCACTCCCGTGCCCTCCCCCCAACTCACTGTGCGTTCTGAAACTCATCGTCTGTTGTCAGCAAAATTCCTGTGATTCCATCTTCTCGGAATAGGAAGTTCCCTCTGCCTTCTGGCCTTACTGAAGCCCACTCAGTACCCTGCAGCCCTCTTAAGTGGAATCTTTTTCCTCCCACTCCCCATGTGCGGTGAGCCTAGAGCAGGGGTGTGTCCTTGCCTCTTCCTCAACCTCCTCACTTGGAACAGTCTGTCTTCACCTCTACCCCTCACAGCCAGGCAGGCATATCTCTTGTTACTGGTGAAGGCACTGCCTCCAAAGTCTGGATTGAGGCATCCCTCCCTCAGGCCAGGCCCTCCCTCATGTGGCGCTTCCCTGTGCTCTTCAAACCACCAGGCCCTCCAAGCTCCTGGCCCAGCCCCTTTTCGCCAACCATCAGCCCCTCTTTCCTTGCTTTCCTCCCAGCCCAGTTTAGAACTCTTGGTCATCTGCATGCACTTCCCATAGTGCCCTCCATCCTTCGTTTATGCTCACCTGGCAAGGTCTCCACCCTGGTGACAGCCAGCTGTTCCTTCGCCTGCCCTGCACCTGCCTGAGCCCCCAGAGCCACAACGGCTCGCGTTCCATCCATGGCCCAGGTCTGTGTTTCCCTAGACAACTCCCTCATGCATTCTCTGAGGAAACTTAACAGCCTTTGTCTCTTCAGGCCTCCAGCACCCTCCCTGCCAGCTTAGCTAAGGCGCTCCCTTCTGTTCCCACAACCACCCCACATTAGCTGCCTTCCTTACCCTACCTGAGGACATGCCTCAGGTGTGTGGGAGATACAGTGCTCTCAAGGGTCTTTCTTCTCCCCTTCTCCCTCCATCGTGAGTTTTCCTACACGGGCTCCTTCACGCCAGCCTCCACATGTGCCCCACGTGTCATGGGACGACACAGAGCAAAAGCCCAGCACCCTCAGCTGCTCCTGTCCTCTGCCCCATTTTATCACAGCTATCACAGCTCCCCGGAAAGCTGTCTTCTCTGTCCATGGCCTCACCTCACCCAGGGCACTGGCCTTGGTCCACATCAAGGGGACCTGAAGCTTCCCTGAAGCCTCTAGCCTGTGGTGTGCACGTACAAGCCTCAGGCCCCATTTGTCCAGCCTGTCAGCAGCTGGGAAATACTAAGTCACCCTCTTCTGGTTATGTTTAATTTTCCAATTTTTCTCAACATTACTGAAATGTCTAAATGTGGAAAAGTTGACATCATTTTACAGTGAACACCACATACCCACCACCTAGATTTTACCATTACCAATTTCCTGTTCCGTACTTGTATATTCACATATATCCAACTATTCATCCCTGCTTCAATCCATCCTATTTTTATTGCATTTCAAAATAAACTGTGAAATCAGGACTCCACCTTCTGTATATTTCAGCACACTTACCATTAACCAGAATCCAGTGTCTGGCTTTAGTGTGTTCTTTTGAGGGGACATTTACGTACAACAAAATGCGTAACTCTTTTTTTTTTTTTTTTTTTTTTTGAGACAGGGTCTTACTCTGTCGCCCAGGCTGGAATGCAGTGGCACGGTCCTGGCTGACTGCAACCTCTGCCTCCCGGGTTCAAGTGATTCTCCTGCCTCAGCCTCCCGAGTAGCTTAAAATTACAGGCACCTGCCACTGAAGCTGGCTAATTTTTGTATTTTTAGTAGAGACAGGGTTTCAGGGTTTCACCATGTTGGCCAGGCTGGTCTTGCACTCCGGACCGCAGGTGATCCGCCTGCACCAGCTTCCCAAAGTGTTGGGATTACAGGCATGAGCCACTGCGCCTGGCCAAGAATACTTTAAGAATGCACAACCAGGCCGGACATGGTGCTGACGCCTGTAATCCCAGCACTTTGGGAGGCTGATGCAGGCGGATCACCTGAGGTCAGGACTGTTAAGACCAGCCTGGCCAACATGGTGAAACCCCGTCTCTACTAAAAATACAAAAAGTTAGCCAGGCATGGTGGCGGGCGCCTGTAATCCCAGCTACTCGGGAGGCTGAGGCAGGAGAATCGCTTGAACCCGGGAGGTGGAGGTTGCAGTGAGCCAAGACTGTGCCACTGCACTCCAGCCGGGGCGACAGAGGGAGACTCCATCTCAAAAAAGAATGCACAACCCAGCCCCAAAGGCACAGAAATGTCACTGTCACTTCACAAAGCTCCTTGCATCCCTGCCCAGTCAAGGTAAGAGATGATGCAGTGAGATTTAAGAGGCTGAAGGCGCGAGTGCCCGGGAAGCCGGGGGGGGGGGGGGGTTGGGCATGTGGGACCCCCTCCATGAGGACAGTCGAGGCATACGGCCTGCAGGTCCACGCTTACTTGCTGTCCATGCTGTCGGTGTCACAAAGCTGCATGTTGACCAGCCTATCTCCCTTTTCTCCTGGCACACCAGAAGACTACATTTCCTAGGCCCCTTGTATCAAGGTGGGTCCATTTGGGTAGTTCTAGCCAAAGCAAAGTATGAAAAGGATCTTCACCACTGAGAGGTCTGACCCACTTCAGGGTCACACAAGCACTTCTCGTTCTTGTCCATGGCACCCTTTGAGGCACACATTGAAGAAAGCAGCATCATAAGGGAGGAGCCTGAGTCTGGGCACCCCAGCTTGCAGAGCACTGCCAGGAACATCTCCATTAGGCTTTTTGTGAGTGAGAAACACTCATAAGATACTGTGCTCAGCCAATGAGAGCTTGGGGTTATTTGATCCTGCATAGCCTATTCTATTGCAAATGATATGAAAATCAGGAGTGGGTTTCTGCTGTAGCCAAAAAACAGAAAAAACAAACTCTTGTTGGCTAAGCAGCTGCGTGGCAGGCAAAAAGAATACAGCTCATAAGCTGGACAGCAGGAGATCTATATTATGCAAGTACAAGACATTTGCTAAGACTCTCATGCTAACTTGGGAGGCAGGTTATGTGCCCCAGAGACAGCAGCTCTAGGGGAAAGGGACAGGCCAGATAGGATGTGCAGTGTGAGTTGGCTACTGTTGACTGCATTTTGGAATGCTATCACAGTAAGGAGGAAAGAACTGGCTAGTTTGCAAGCAGAAATGAAAGGCAACAATCTAAAAAAAATTAGCATCAAAAGGTTGCAAAAGACTTTCTCAAACTCTAATGAGAAAAGGTAAGATTCAAAATTGCTTTCAGCAATAAAGGCATAATAAAACTTCTCATCTGAACAAAATAACTTGGTCTTTTGGTAAATACGGAATTAAGGGGGTGGCTCTCCCATCATGATCCCAGATGGCCTCATGGTAGCTACCATTAAATTGAGAGAAGCATGGAGGTAAGGCAGCAAGGAAATAAGGCAGCTTATGTCTAGGAAAGAATTTTATGTGTGTGCTTGAGTTGTCCATTGCTGTGTAACAAATTACCCCAAAACTTTGTCACTTAAAACCACTATCATTTATCACTCATGATCCTACAGGGGACTGGGCTCAGCTGGGTGGCTATGCTACACTTGATTCTGGCTAGAGCTATTCCACTGAGCTGACCAAGATGATTACTCACATGGTGGGCTGTTGTCTGGGGCTCATGGGGGCTACTGACAGAACACCTCCGTTCTCCCCCATGTGGCCTCTCCATGTGTTTGAAGTTCTCATAGTACGACATGTGGGCTGCCAGCAGAACATGCCAAGAGGTCAAGCTCCATGTGCAGGCATTTATCAAGCCCCTCCTGCCATCATGGCACTGGCCCCATCTAGTCATATGGCCACGCCCATCAGGTGACGGAGACCACACTGGGAGACAAGGTCCATCAGGGGCCACCAAAGTAACACTCTGACCAAAATAATGCAGTTATTTGTACATGGAACTGATTAGAAGTACAAAGATTGCCACATTTTTGATGGAAGTGTGCAAAGTCCATGAGCCTGGACTGAAGCCTCTGGCTCACTCAAAACAGGTCCTGGCCTGGAACCATCCACCCACAGGCAGCAGGTGAGAAAGCTGAGCTTGGCCCAAGAGCTGCAGCCAAGGGAATACAAAAAAGGCCAGCTCCCCACCAGGGGGCAGAGCCCAGAGCAGGGCACCATCAGGTCCTTTCCCTCCTCACCGCAAGGCGACCTCAGTCTGTGCGGCAGCTTCCAGCACTGTGGGGCAGTCTCCCATTCTCTGCTCCTCCAAATGGAGCTGGACTGTGGGTACTGACCCCTGCCCTGCTTTGTTGTTATTGTTGGGGGAAGGGCACAGATCATAGGTCTTTCTAGTTTATAGGCTGTGTCTGCCTTGCTGGAGAAGGCTCTGTACTCCACAGAGCCCAGGACACAGGACCTTACTGTCTATGTTTGAGAAGAAGACTGAAATAACTCTCTGGGAGCCAGACAGTCCGCTGTGATAGAGACTGGCAATGTTAACCAAGCCCATTTCCCCACCTCCCACCCTCCACCACTAAGGAAGCCTGCACTTGCCCATCCCCACCCACCCCACATCTGGATGGGGGCCGAGGGCCTAATTCTGGCACTGGTGTGAGTGGCAGTGAGGCAATTCCAGGCCTGGCTGTAAGAAATCTATGCTTGACCCTTGTCCATTTTTCCCTTCATAGCCACCTTCAGGGCTGTCTGTCAAAGATAGCAGTGTTTCAAGATGAAAGCGGCTTGAGTCCCTGAGTCACTGACTTCTGTGAGAAACTTCCGCGGGAAGCCGCTGAGACCTGGAGATGTGTTACTGCAGCGTAACCAAGAGCATCCCACACACCCTTCTTTCTCTCCTGTCCCCTGCACTGAACGGGCACCCCCTGCCACCAGTCCCTAGCCTCCTAGCTCTGAGTCAAGCTTGTCTGCTTATCCTTGGGTGGACACCAGGAGCCAGGCACTTGCACAGAGAGCAGAGGGCTGCAGGGCAGTCCCAGACCTCCCTCCAGGCTCGTCTCAAGGCCTCTCCAACCCTTCCCATCAGGGTCTCCCAGCCGCCTCTGCCTCGGCCTTGCCTCTTCCCGTGACCAGAGCACCTCTTCCACCTCTGCTGCCTGGAGATGCACGTGTCCTCCCGCCGCTGCCCTCGTCTGGTTGGTGGCTCTGAGGCACAGGCCCTCTGTCGGTCAGCTGTTGCACAGCAAGCCACCTAAGAACCAGTGGCTCCAACAGGCCCTTCCTCTCAGGAACACGCAGTTGGCTGGGCAGCTCCACGCACTCCCTCCCTCTGTTGCCTCAGCTGACAGGCAGTGGCTTCCCAGAGCAGCTCTTCTGCAGCATGGACACAAGAGGAGGCAGAGCACAGGAAGCCTCTGGGGACCCGGCACACTGTCACTTCCACCTCATCCAAAGCAGCCTCCACCAGTGACAAGGCCGCATTAAGAGGGCGGACACAGAAGGGTAAAGGGCAGTGGCTAGCACTTCCCCCAGCACACCCGTGCAGGCCACCAGTCTCAGCACCTCACAAAAGGCACGCCTCCCACCCCCTTTCCCTGAGGTTCAGGGGCAACCAAATGCCCAGCTCACGCGGGCACTAGGACCAGGCTGGTGGCCTCAATAACTGCAGACCAAGCTCCACAAGAATCGGCTCCCTCATCTCCCACCTCTCCAGTGGCACAGGACTGATGAAGATGGGGTGGGAGAAGGACACAGCCAGAAACCGCATCATGGTACAAATGATAAATTATATTTATACAGTAAATAAGTATCAACAGTCAACACAAGTTCAAAACCAGCCACCGGCCTCTGGGACTGAGAAACAGCTGGGTGACTTCCTCCACCACGGTGCCCATCAGGAGGGAGCACGATGGCACAGGTGCAACATGCGTGGCAGTGGCCGGTGGCTTCATGATCAGTGCAGTGGGCAACAGGGACATGCACTCGGGATGGCCTGTGCCAGAAGATGGGGCAGGGGGCTGTCTTCTTGGGTCCCGGTGGCCCAGTGGCTGTCATGTTGGGGCCTCAAAGTCACATCATGAAAGACTCGTTACAAAAGAATCACTGACCCCAAGTAGTCGAGTCTAGTCTACTGACCTGTAAGGCTGGCCCAGGCCCTGCACCGTCTGAAGGAAAGCACCTTTCTGGGCAAGCATCCTGCCTCCCATCCCATTGCACCTCCCCACCCTTCCCCCGGCAGACGAGACCAGCCACCGGCTTACCCAAATGGCAGCGGGAGCCTAAGACCCAGCCGCAGGCCTGCAGTTCTGGCAGAAGGTGGCTGGTCAGGAACTCTAGACACGGCTCCTGGGACTGGAGAGGGCGGCCTCAGGAACAGCATGAGTGGGTGCAGTCCCCACTCAGAGCCTGCATGTCCCAGCAGCCCAGAGACCATTTAAGATCTCTCCTGTGCCGGTGCGAAGGGTAATCTTCTGGAACCAGAGAGGGGCTGGCAGGTGGTCAGCTGCCCTTAGAGCTAGAGGTGAGAAATTCCCATGGTGGAAAAAGGGCCAGAAACATCCACCAGGCAAGCTGCCCAGACACAGGATTGGGGGAATGTCCCCTCCCTGGGTAAAAGCAAGTCTTTTCTGGTCTTTAATGCACGACGTAATACTTTTACAGTGGTGGGTGAGGTGAGGACAGTAGGAGTTTGGAAGAGGGAGGTAATATTAGTGCATGTTTGTTAAAAATCCCTCCCAGGTGAATGACTTTTTTCTTCATCTCCAAAATACAAGAGAATTATTTTTAGGTCTCCAACTTAAAAATAATATCTGGAGTTAGCAGGTAGGTGGATCAGGGCCAGCCCTGGTCCCTTAGCCCCCCACCCCTGTCTTAGCCTAGGGACTGTTGCCCAGGGACCCGTGGGCACAGAAGCACCCCCCACCCCACGCCCTCGGGACAACTGCCATTTCCACATTATCCCCATCTTTAGCCTGAGCGTGGATTAAGACAGAGGAGATCACAGACACACAAGGTTAAAGATGTTTCTTCCATTTCAGATTTCCATTGTAAACAGAAGTCCTGTTAATCCCTGCATGCCTTTAATAAAAAAAAGGAATTAGTTGATAAAAATTGGTGAGTCACATTCATACATTAGATTTTTTTCTTTAACTTTCAGGATGTTGGTATATTCGTAAGAAAAATAGCCTCTCAGGATCTAGCCAAAAAGGCTGAAAGTCAATCAGTTTAGTAATTCACCAAAAACAGGAGCTAAAGAAAGGAAAAGGCAACTGGAGGCTAGGATTTTTTGTTGCTGTTGTTTTTTTTTTAAATAAACATCATCATCTATGTGTAATCAAATTCCCATATTTTCTTCCTATAAAGAATTTGCTTTAGTTTTTCAATAAGGCATTTTTTTGTCATCCAAACATCTCTTCCTTTTAAAATTTTCTTAGAGTTAAAACCATAAATAAGAGGATTTAAACCACTAAAATGACACGTGCCAACATCTTCATTCAGCCAGACCTGGTAAATTCTATCAAAACTAGACAGTTAAATAAGAACCACGTTATAAAAATATTAGCCAAAAAAAGACTATTAGATAATTCTGCAAACTCAAATATGAAACTGTACTAAACAAAATATGTGCAAAGGTACACAAGCATAGAGCCACGTTGGGGGTTATGCTCAGATTAGTTTTAAAGCTCGCTCTAGTGGATTTAATTCAAGAGTTGTCCACGGTGGTGGTGTTTACTTTGAACTCACACGAGTCAAAGAAAAATAAAATATGCACAACCACTTCCCCAAAAGGTGTCTTATGGAGCCGGTGCTTCATCGTGTCCACACCCAGGACTGCCTGGGGTGTCCCTAGGGCTGGGGGGTGGGGAGGACAAAGACAAGGCCACTGTCCCAAGTCCTGGGCCAGGCAACATCCTGGAGACCCTCGGGCTGAGGTTAGGGGCAAGGGCAACACTGATGACTCCACGTCCTCGTCCAAGGCCTCAGAGGAGCCCTGCCAGGACCTCAGTGCTTTGGAGGAGGTGGTGAGAGCAGGCCAGGCTGAGGGGCCTGCCTTGGAAGGCGAGGGTCTGAGGGTTGGGGCTGTAAAGACAGCCCTTTCATCAGGAAGCTGGAGCTGAAAAGCCCTAATACCCCTAATCCCCAAACTCTTGGATCCCGTCCCACAGACGAGAGTCCCTGCTCGGCATCCTCCAGCACAGGTGCTCTGGGTGGGTCCCAGGCCCAGGCACTAGAGAAGGAAAGGGTTGGTTGTGCCAGTGGCCTGGGCTGCTGATGGGGGTATACCCACACTGCCCACCATGTTCATCATTGCAGGGCCCAGTGGTGTCAGAGAGGAACCAGTGGCCCCCAGAGCTGGCTGTGGGGCCGCGGAGGTCATCGAGGCCACAGCCATGGACTCCACTCCTGGGCCAGGCCCAAAGGATGTGCTGGTCCCCAGGACTGGGCTCCCCCGAAGCTGGTTCAGTGTCAGCGGCTGGGGCTGGTTCACCTGGAAAGGGTTAACAGGGGCCGAGGTGGCGGGAGCACCTGGGGAGACAGAAGGAGGGGCAGAGGCTGAGCCGTCAGGGTGTGGCTTTCTGAGCTCCCAGGTCAGGGACTGCATGCGGGTGTTCTGGTCCCTGCTGTGCCCTCAGAGCCCGTGACAGTGCCGGCCGAGTCCATGGCAGACACTAGCAAATATCTGCTGACTGCATGAATCTGCACTTTAAGGATGAGGAGATTGAGGCTGTGAGAAGCCAAGTGATTTGTCCAGCGTCACAAAGCTGAACAAGGCCATGCCAGGAACACACCCATCTCGGGGCACCCTGGCTCCTCTGCAGTGCTGGCACCCAGGACACCTTCACCAGCCATCAGCTACCACTGCTCCCTCATTTTGTTTGCTGAAAGGGACATGGGACTGGCAGTGTGTGGCTCATGTGGCAGTGCCCACAATGCACCCAGGGATCCACATATGACACCGCGAAGGCTAGAAATCCTGCAGTCAAGAAGTTGATGCAGCTTTGTCTTTCCCAGTGTCTCCAGAATTTACCTCATACCAGAAAGCCTTTTCTTTGCAAAAGTGTGTGCGCTGCTGGCACCAACTCTCCCATGCAGCCTGGCCCTACCCTGTGTGGCCTGGAGAATGGCCCTGTATGTCCAGCAGAGTTGCCCAAACCTCCTCCATCTTGGCTGCAGCCCCCAGGAACCATGACTGGTGTGCAGCCAACAAAGCTGCCTCAGGCCTCCAGCCAGGTGCCCACCAAGAGCTGACAGACACAGATGACCACTGGAGCTCCTGCAGGGCCTTCAAGGGCTCTCTGGGCAGAAGAGGCATAAGGCCTCCTGGGGCAGACACAGACTCCTGGCTGGCTGAGGAGGCTGGAAACTAATCTAGTTCCACCCAGGGAACCACCTCCCCTGGGGGCAGCCATGTCCTCACCCATCTCAGGACCTCAGGGTTGGCCAGGACCCAGTAACTCCACACACCTCACCTCTGCCCAAGGGTCCCCAACCTCAGCCTCTGTAAGTTCAGTGGTAATTCTCCTCTGCAAGGTACTGTCAGGGACGGTGGCCCAAGATCCTCAGATCCCTACATGGTGGGGCCAGCCTGGGGCTGAACACCTGAGGGTGACACATTCCTGCCCTGGGGGAAGCCCAAGGCTTTGGGGAAACCCCGTGAGGAAGGGGGCTGGGTGGACTTCCTAGAAGGGAGTCATCTGAGCTAGGTGTCAAAGGATGAGGAAGATGCTTTCATTAGGGAAGAGGAGGGAGGACATTCCAGGCAGGGGAAACTGAGTGTGTAACAGCCTGGGCTTAAGGAAGGGCTCTACAGGCTGAGGGGCGCCAAGGGGCTGGATGTCACAAGGGTTTCATGCACACAGGAAGGGAAGAGGAGGGTGGGACCAGGCCATAATGGCCCTGGATACCCAATTGAACAGCTGGGGGCTTGGCCGGCAGCCAACATTGAGCCCTGAGGGCAGGGGGCAGACTCTGGCACCAGGAGTGGAAGCAAGGGACCTGGAGGAAGGCTTGTACCCAAGGGCTAAGTTACATTTTTCCCGAGAGAGGAATGCTACACGCCAAACCCTGGCTCTTCCTCACCCCCAGCAGCCCACCCTACTCCACCTGTCTTAGAACTGACATTCCCTCGAGGGTCTCACAACTGGGGGGGCACCAAGTCAGGGACAGTTTCTGCTTGGTAGTCTCAACTGAGAGGAGAGGAGCTATTTCCTACCCATACACTCCCCACATAACTGACAACGGCTTCCACACCCCACCCCATGCAGCACTGGCGAGGGCATACGTAATCATCTAGAGATTCCAGCTAGTCCCACCCCTTCCCCGTCACACAGTGGGAAGAGCCCCCAAGAGGCCTGCTGCACACCCATTCCCAGGCACAGCAGGCAATGGATGAAGCCTGGGATGAGAGCCTACCTGGTGCCAGGAAAGGGTTGAGGGACTGGGCTGGTGGGGCAGGCCTGGTCACCAGTGAGTCCAGGTTCACCAGGGCCGCGTTGGGGCCCAGGAAGGACTCAGGTGTTTTCCGGGCACTGCTGGGCTTGCTTGAGGCGACAGTCAGGGGTTGAGACTCAAAGGGGTCAGGGCTGGTAGTTCCATTGTTTTGGGATGGCAGAGAGGTCACAGATTCGGCTACAAGACAAGGACACATATGGCAGGGTGAGTGTGGCAGGGAGAGCCTAAGACTGTGTACTTAACACAAAACATGGCCTCCTGGGGACATGCCTGCCTGACAGCGCCACGTGACGACACACAGCCAGTCATGGGCTGGGTTAGATAAATCAAGTGTCCACATAACGAAACACCAGCATGCAGGAACAGAAGAATACCTAATGATAAGCAAAGAAAGCTTTATCAAAATACTAAAGCAGGTTATAAAAGAGTGTGTATAGCTCATTCCTCCAGAATACCAAGATGTCATTTTGGGTTGGAAGCTAGGCATGGGCAATTTACTTTTTTTTTTTTTTCTTACATTTTCCATTTACTAAATTTTCCACAATAAACATGAACTTCTTGATAGTAAAAAGAAAGCAAATTGTGTCTTTTAAAATTCAGCCCATAGAGGCAACACAGGCTGTGCTGAGCCAGGCCGGTAGGAATGTGATTGCCACGACGGGATGCTTCACGGTACAGGAATTCTTAACAACAGTCATTCTCTCACTTAGTAACCCCATTTCTAGGAATCTGGTCTAAGCAAATAATGTAAAATGTGAACAAGGTTATAAGCACAAAGAGTTTCACAACAGCATCATTTACAGTAGCAAAACCTGAAATCAACCTAAAATGTCCTCCCCCAAATTATTGAATTGTTGCTGAGCCATATAAAGAGAGATTATATAGCAACAAAGTATTTTTTAACAAGTTTTAAAGTCATGAGAAGATGTTTTCAATCTGTTAATCCACAAAAGTTGAGGCAAGGGGCAGGACAACTCTATCTGACAATATGAGCTGAGCAAAAAAGACTCAAAACAAAACAAAACAAAAAAACAAAACACCAATAACACCAGTGCACTCCAGCCTGGGCGATCGATCAAGGCTCACTGCAGTCTCAATCTCCTGGGCTCAAGGGATCCTCCCGCCTTAGCCTCTTGACTAGCTGGGACCACAGGCAGGTGCACACGACCACATCTGGCTAATTTTTTAATTTTTTTGTAGAGACGGGGGTCTCACTATGTTGCCTAGGCTGGTCTGAAACTCCTGGGCTTAAGCAATCCTCCCACGCTGGCCCTCTCAAAGTGCTGGGATTGCAGGTGTGAGCCACTGCACCGGCAGGGGATAAATGTTTCAAAAGCTGACATGTAACAATGGCCACGCTGCCTTCTCACTGAGGCACGGAGCAGGAGTCAAGGACAGGTTAGGCTATACTTTGGCCTACAGAGAAGACACATGGAATCTTATTAATGCAGCAAAGGAAAGACCCAAAAAAGCAGCACATTCTCAAAGCTGCCTCTGGTCTCTCAGCTGGGAGCTCTTGAACTGAGAGGGGTTAGAGGAGGTCAAGGGGGTCGAGCAGGGTCAACGGTGCCAGGCTGCTTGTACCTCACACCAGGGCCTAGCCAGGCTTGTGGCTACAGTTGGTAGGGAGGGATAAAAGAGAAGGGAGAAAAAGAAGAGACTGGGATAGAGGTGGTAGGGAAATTGGGGGAGGCAAGCAGCAGAAGCCAAGACAGGAAAGAAAAAAAGAGAGAAGTTGCCATGTGTGGCTGGGAGATGTGGCCCAGAGATGGACAGAGGCTGTCACACCCCAGTCCAAACAGGGTGTGTGAAGAATGCATCCCAGGCCTTCTCCCTCCACCCCTCCAGGCCCACCTTGGCCCACTGGCCACTTGGCCCACTGCATCCACCTGATATCCTTCCATCCCAGAGGCACACAGGGAAGGAAAACAGGTCTGGAGACTGGACTGTGGGTCTGCTGGGCTGGAGCGGTCACCTGGGAGGTGACAACACAGGGCAGAGGCTGGCCCCACTGATGCCCAAAGGTGGTTGTCTGGGAAAAGGAGGCCCTCTGAGGAGTGGAAATTGGCAGGAGGAGGGTGAATGGAAATGCTGGATCAGGCCAGAGGTGAGGCCCACTCTGAGCTGAGGAGGCCGGGGCTGTGGAATCTGCAGGAAGCTTTGGGGATCCTAACCTGGAGACATAGTCCTGGGGGACTCTACCTTGTGATTTTTAACTATTGATGTATGAATTCTTAGAATTAGAAACTTCAGGCTCCCAAGATCAAAATACAAAGAAAATGCAGGAAGCTGAAGGGTTTTGAAAGCTGATTATTATTTCTGCAATAACTCAGCTGGTCAAATGCACGGAGGATTATGGAAACCATCATCACCTGTACATACCTGTTTTTTTTGAAGTCCGAAGGTTGTCAAATTCAGAAAAGTCATCTTTAATTGTACCATTCAGATTACTGAAGAGCTCAAAGGACCCTGGGTGGACACAGAAGCCAATGACTGGGGGCATCTCACAGGACTTCATGGCAACTCCACTGCCCAGTGCACACCCTCAGGATGGGCTGGCAACAGGGGCCTCTCCCCGCTTACCCTACCTCATGGAGGAGAATTCTGAGAGCCAAAGAGGCAAGACAGCCTGGGGTCACCAGCACGCTGGGAGGGGAGACAGGGAGCCTGGCCTCCCAGGACAGGGTGTGGGATGCCCACCTGCTACTGCTTCTAACACCCTCACCCCAAAAGGCAAAGGGGTGCTGGCAGTGGTGGAGGTGCATCAAGCTGGGTCTGGTTGCTTGGATGAGGGTCTGTAGGAAGTCACCAGAAGGAGTGCCTGGAGGCCAGCCTGCCCAGCCCCCCAGGGGTGAGGACAGGACCCACAGGCTGTGGGCCCAGGGCAGTCTTCTCTCTCAACACCCAGGTGGAAGCCCCCTCAATTTGGAGGGAGGTACCAGCGCACAAAGCCTGGGAACTCGCACTCACTCACTCTCACACTGGGGCACCTGGGATCTGGGGATCAGGAACAAAGGCTAAGGGGGAGGAGGGGAGCAAATGCAAGCAAAGCAACAGGGCTGATGCCTAGGAGCCAGGAGCGGCTGCAGGGCCCGTGGGCGCTCAGAGGCCAGGCAGGAAAGTGGGTGAGTGAGGGGCTCACCAGAGACAGACACGGGCTTGGTGGTGGAGACTGCGCCCCACGCGTCAGAAGCTCTTTTCCCAGCACTGGAGGCAGGCTGCTGTGAAGCTGCCCAGGGGTCCGAGTTCTTGGGGACAGATTGTACGGTGGCTCCAGTGGGCACCCCCCATGGGTCAATGGAGGCAGCTGGCTTGGTACCTGTTGGAAGGCAGGGTCAGGGCTCAGAAATGCCTTCAGAGGGTCTGGGCAGCTGGGGTGAGAAGGGAAAAGGATACTGCCAGCCACACCAGGGTCTATGCCCTGTGCCAGGTGAGACAGCCATCAAAAGGGTACTGTCCCACGCCAGCAAAGAGGGACACAGCTGGGGCCCAGGGCCAACAACCCTGGTAAGGAAGCATGCTAGGCCAGGATGTCCCAGGATAACCTCTCCCTGTCCTCTAGTAATGACCAGAGGAAGCAGCTGAAAGAGGTTCTCTCCAAGCTCCCCACCATACAGGGGGCTTGCAAAGGGCTCCTGAGCTCAACCCCACTTCGATGGACTATCTGAAACAAACCTATCTCCCCACAGAATCCAGGCTCCCTCCTCAGACAAGGGGCCCCAGGCAGCCCTCCCACCTCGGCCCAGGCTCTGTAGAGGCACAGAGGCATCCTCTCCCCATGTGCTTTGAGTGGTTTCTGCTTTCTGACAGAAGCATATATAAATGGATGAGTCCTGTATAAAAAGGAATAAAACAAACAGCTACATACTTACCACCCAACTTAAGCAATAAAACACTTTCAAACAGGGAGTGACAAAATCAATTTAGTGGGTCACAACTGGCTTTAAAAAACAGAGAAAAAAATTTTTAAAAAAAGAAAAAACACACACAAAAAAACTAAAACATCTGAGTGCATCTAATGTTAAGTGTCAACGCTGTGATGTGCATCTTTATGTATAGACACAGATTTGTGTATACATGAGTACATATAAAATAAAACCAACATCTCCTTCCTTCTCGCGGAGCACTGCAAGTGTTCAGACACCACTGCCGCCTCTCAGGGACCAGAAAGTGCCTCCCCAATGACATTCCTACCCCAACCATTATGAACTGTTTATTAGCCTTTCTCTTGTTTCTCCTTCTAGTTTATCTTGTAGGGATACCTTTAGTTAGTTGTGCCTATTTTCTGAATACACACACACATATATATTATGTATATGTATGTGTGTCTAAATATGTGTGTGTATTCATTTATTTATCAGATAGGGTCTCACTCTGTCACCCAGACTGGAGTGCAGTGGTGCAATCACAGCTCACTACGCCTCCACCTCCCATGCTCAAGCGATCCTCCCACCGCCGCCTCCCAAGTAGCTGGGACTACAGGAATGTCACCACGCCCGGCTAATTTTTTTTCTAATTTTCGTCGAGATGGGGTCTCACCGTGTTGCCCAGTCTGGTCTCAAACTCCTGGGCTCAAGCAATCCTCCTGCCTCAGTCTCCCAAAGTGCTAGGAATACAGGTGTGAGCCACCATGCCAAGTCCCTATTTTCCGAACTTTATATGAATAGAAGCATTCTGTACACATTCCTTTGTGGCTGGCTTTGTTCACTCCACATTTTATTTGAGAGAGTCATCTGTGTTGAGGTGGAGCTGGAATTTGTTTTGTTCCATTCTATGAAAAAAAAGTCATGATTCCTCTGTTGAAGGATACTCGTTTGGTTTTGCTGCTTGTTCTTGTTCACATGTATACACGAGTTGCTGGGTCATGGGTACCTCTGCCTTCACCAAGGAATGCTACAACTATTTCCACATGGTGGCACGAGTTTATGTTCCATCCAGCAGTGGGTGCCAGTCTTGCCGCCCCAGGAGTTGCCTCATAACCTCTCTGATGCTTAGTATTAGCTTACTTTCCCATGTGTGCCAATCTGGTGGGCTGAAAAGTTATTTGATTGTGGTTTTGATGTGCATTTCCCTGTTCTTTAATGAGGCTGTGCATCTTTTCATATACTCATGGGTCACTCATGATTCCTCTCCTATAAGGTGCCAATTTGAGTCTTTTACCGATCGTCCCTTATGGTTACCTTCTTCTTGACTCATCCCAGCAGCATGGACTAGAGTCCATCCACTCCTCGCAGCATGGTATGCAGGGCCTCCTCTGTCGTAAGTCAAGTCTTTGTGGGCTTATTACTGGGCTCTCTACATTTACCTATTTCCGTCCTTGCACTTTTTTTTTTTTTTTTTTTTGAGACGGAGTCTCGCTCTGTCACCCAGGCTGGAGTGCAGTGGCGCAATCATCGCTAACTGCAAGCTCCACCTCCCAGATTCATGCCATTCTCCTGCCTCAGCCTCCCGAGTAGCTGGGACTACAGGCACCCACCACCACACCCAGCTTATTTTTTGTATTTTTTAGGAGAGACGGGGTTTCACCGTGTTAGCCAGGATGGTCTCGATCTCCTGACCTTGTGATCTGCCCGCCTTGGCCTCCCAAAGTGCTGGGATTACAGGCGTGAGCCACCACGCCTGGCCACTTGCACCTTCTTAATTATCCTCACAAACAGTGTTATGAGAATTCTTGATATCTGATACAGCAAATCACAATCTTGTTTTGGCTATTCTTGGCCCTCTGCTCTTCTGTAGTCATCTCAAAATCATCTTGTCAAGTTAAAAAACAAAAGTGAAGAAACAAAAATTAAATATTTTTGGGATTTTGGCCAGAATTGCATTGCATCCAAGATCAATTTGGGGAGAAGCATTATCATTACAATAGTGAGTTTTCCAAACCAAGATCACATGGTATCTCTGCATTTGCTTAAGTTTTAATATCTTTTGGTCAAATTTAATCTTTTTAATTTTTACCCTTTATCTCCCACAGATATTTGTACAACTTTTGTAAGATTTATTCCTAGGAACTAAGCATTATTTCTAGGAACTAGTATCTTTTAAACTTTTCATAGAAATCTATTTATTGTTATGCAGAAAAACTTTTGTATACTCTTTTGTACCCAGCAATCTTGCCAAACTGTTAATTAGAAGTCATTCCAATTATTGATTCTAATAATAATTCAAATAATTCTTAATTCTAATAACTTATCTGTAGAAATTTTTTCATGTTCTATGTACAATCCCATCACCTGCAAATGATGACTATTTAGTGTCTTCTTTCTAGTCCTTTATACTTTGTCTTTTTCTTGTCTTACTGCATTGGCTAGGATCACCAGTTACATCATCAAATAGAAGTGCTGGTAGTTGGTATCCTTGTCTTGCTCTTGATGTTACAGGATCAATTTTTAATATTTTACCATTAAGTTCAATGTTAGCTATAGGCTTTTTTCCTTTTAGAAGCCCTTTATCAGGTTATGGAAGTTTGCCATTATTCCAAGTTTGCTAGAATTTGGAAATAAATGGCTAATGAATTTTATCAAATGGTTTCTGCCTCTAAGATGACCACATGTTTTCTGTTTTAATCTGTTAATATGGTACATTTGTAAATTTTCTAATGAGTTGGTTCTTGCAAACAAAGTACTTCATAATGTACATCTTTGAAAATATTTCCCTGGCTTGGGTTTTGTAATTGTTTCTTTCCTTAGGATTTTTACATCTATATTCATAACCAGACTGGCCTGAAATGTTTGTTCTCACTGCACTGCCCTTGTCTGGTGTTGCCATTAGGCTTCTGCTAGTCTCATACAATGACTAGGAATATTCTTTATTTTCCTGTTCTCTAAAGGAGTTTGTATGAAAGTGGGATTGTTTCTTGAATATTGTTAGTACTTACTAGCAAAGCCCTCTGGGTGGATTTGCAGAAGGGGAGGATTTTTAAATACCGATTCCATACCTTCCATGATTACAGATTTCTATTTATAGGTTTTTTATTATTCTTCAGTTAGCTTTGCTGTTTCCTTTTTAATTTTATCCATTTTATCTAAGTTTTTGGATTTGTAAGCACAGAGCTGATCAAAGAGTCAGCCTCTCACCCGACATGAAATCCTGAGTGTGCCGGCAGTTATGCTGTTTCATTCCTAATGCTGTTTGTGCCCTTCCTCTTAAAAAAATTTCTTGCCAGAAATTTGTCTATTACTCTTTTCAATTACTGACTTGTCTTTACGGATACTATTATGTGTTTATGTTCTTTTCATTAATTTCTATCTTTATCCTTATAATTTCCTTTTATTTTACGTCAGTGTAATGCTATTCTAACTTCATTATATCTTTTTTACTAATGTGAACATTTAGAGCTATAAATTTATTTTACTATTGCTTCAGTTGTCCCACAAATTCTTATGTAAAAATATACTATTGGCCAGGCGCAGTGGCTCATGCCTGTAATCCCAGCTCTCTGGGAGGCCGAGGTGGGTGGATCACCTGAGGTCGGGAGCTTGAGACCAGCCTGATCAACATTGAGAAACCTCATCTCTACTAAAAATACAAAATTAGCTGGGCGTGGTAGCACATGCCCGTAGTCCCAGCTACTCGGGAGACTGAGGCAGGAGAATTGCTTGAACCCGGGAGGCAGAGGTTACAGTGAGCTGAGATCACGCCATCGCACTCCAGCCTGGGCAACAAGAACAAAACTCCGTCTAAATATATATTTAATTTGGTTCTAAATATATCTGATTTTCATTATAATTTTTTCTGTGACTCAAGAATTTAGAAGTGTTCTTAAAATTTTAGGTGTATGAAGGTTTTCTACTTATCCTTTTAACTGATTTTTTACATAAGTGTACTGTGATCAGAAATTGTGTTATATGTGATACCAATTTTTTGCAATTTGTTGAGACTAGCTTTTCTGTCTAGGACATCATCAATTTTTTCCAAGTATTCTGCATGTGACTGCAAAGAATGTGTATTCTCCAATTGCTGGGAACAACAAATTCATAAGCTTATGGATTGTGCCGCTCAAATTTTCTTATATCCTTATTACTTCTGAAATGTTCTCCCAAATTATTTCCCATTTCCGATGCTCTTCATTCTGTCCTGAAGATCTGAGTTTCCATCTGGTTTTCCCTCCTATCAGCCTGAAGAACTTCTCTTAACATTTCTGTGGTACAGATGTGCTGGCAACAAATTCTCTTAGTGTTTTATTAACAGATGTCATCCTTTCAACTTTACTCTTCAAGAACACTTTCACTGAATACAGAATTCTGGGGGTTGGCAGTTTTTGTTGCTGTTGTTGTTTCCAAATTTAAAATATCTTTTTTAAAAAAATTATCAATTCTTGGAAGAAAGATGATTTTGCTAGCAATGGCTTTCTAGTTGACTGTGTTTTTCTTGCAGCACACTGAAGACTCTATGCCACTCAGACATCTACTGTTGCTGTCAATAAGTTAGCTATCCATTTAGTTGCCATTTCTTTGTAATGAATGGCCTGTTCTCTGTAGGTTTATTTAAGGTATTTTCTTCCTCTGGTGTTCTGCAGTTTCCTGATGATATGTCCAGGTGGGGATTTCTTTGATTTATCTTGCTTAGGATTCACCAGGCTTCCTGGATCTGAGAAGGAGCATCTTTCCAAAATTCTGGAAAACCCTGTCAGCTTTCAAATATTAGCTCTTCTGAAACTCCAAACAGATATGTGTTAGGTGTCCTCACTCTGCTCCCGTGTTTACCCCCAGCCACACTGATTCCCAACTGCTTCCCAAATGCCTGGCATCTTCTGGGCCTCTCCGGCCCTCTTATTTTCTCTTCCTGCCTTCTCTGACTCCTCTGGAATCCCCCCCTTGACTTTTAGATCACTTATCATACAGCACCATAACTATTATTTAACTATGAGTCTCTCATGCACTGTAAACTCCCTGGAGTGAGGGCTACCTTCAGCCCTGGCACCAGACATTAGGGTGGCACCCAGCAAGCTTGTGACAGCCTGGCTGAGCTCTGAGGCCTAGAGAAAGGCAGCAGAAGGTGGCAGTGATGTGTCAATCTCAGAAGACCAGGGAATGCTCCCCTGAGCCTCCGAGACAACTAGTCTCTTCCCTCATTCCTACTCTGAATTCTACAAATGCTTCTCTTAAAAGCCCCAGCTCTGCTGCTCAAGGATGGACAGGTGAAGAGGAGACTCCTTGGCTTTCAAAAAGATGAACCAACTGCTAGGCATCCTACATGTAGCTTCATGCCTTCTCGTCTCTGAAATGCTGAATAGCTTTAGTAAGGGCCTATTAAGCCACACCAGCCACTACCTTTTTTTTTTTTTTTTTTTAGAGACAGGTTCTTGCTCTGTCACCTAGGCTGGAGCGCAGTGGTGCAATCACAGCTCACTGCAGTTTCAACCTCCTAGGCTCAAGGGATCCTCCCACTTCTGCCTCCCAAGTAGCTGGGACCACAGGCACACACCCCCATGCTGGCTGATTTTTTTATTTTTTGTAAAGATGGGGTCTCCCTATGTTGCCCAGGCTGGTCTCACAGGTTTCAGTTGTCCCACAAATTCTTACGTAAAAATATATTATTGGCCAGGCGCAAGGAGACACTGCACCTGGCCCACCAGCCACTATCTTGGTGGCCTTTTTCACTTTTGGCCGGGATCAGCTACTGGCTAGCTGTAGCAGCACTAGGAGGGAGAGGAGGAGAGTGCTGCCTTCACTCCTTCCCAAGCTTGCCCCGGCGATGGGGGCCTGGCCAGGCCAAAGCAGATGTCAATCTGCAAGCTTTGTTCCCAACATCCCATGGATACTTGTGCCTTTCGTTTCCTCATGGCCTGTCCACTCCTGTTTGGACTCAGGGCTTCTCCTGCTACTGCCCCAGAACCCACAACCTTCTAGAGGCTCCAGAAATAACTGTTTCCATCCAGAAGCTTCTTCTGACACTTCACTCCTCGTCTTCCAGTGTCTCATGCAGATCGTCCTCCCCCAGGACTGAAGCTGCCCTTGCCAGGTCCACCTCTGCTCGACATGGGGAAGGGGCTATCAGTAAACAAAAATCTGCCCCCTGCTGGAATCACACTGTAGAGACAAGCCCTCACTCTAACCCCCTGCAACAGGACACCTTGTGGGTCCTCAGCTCTCTGTCCCAGCTGGACGTAAGTGGCATGGTGGAAATGACAAATCAGGGAGAGAGCTGACTGCAAGCCGAAGAGCTGTGGTGTGACTTCAGGACTGCGGTGACACAACACAGAGGACACGGGAGACCTGGGGCCAAGTGCCAGGCTGATTCTGGCCCCCTGTGGAGCCTGGGGGAGTCAACATGCCTTCCTCACTGCCCATGCTCAGCAGCCCAGCTGTGCCTGGATAACAGACTGGAGCCTCGCTTTCCCTGCAGCCCTGACCATGCATCATCTCCCCTGCACAATATCTCACTCCCCAGCTACTATCCCTTCCCACTTGCCTCTGTCAGGGGACATGCCCCGGTTACTTCTATCCCCCACTCCTGCTTTCTCCTGCAAGGATGCCCTGGTTCTCCTTGGAAGAATTCTCCCCTCACCCACTTCCAGTCAGTCTCAAAAGGGACAGATCCTGCCCTGGCAACAGAAAAGGGTTCTCACTGGTTAAAGTCAATCTGCAAAGTGTCCCCAACTCCAGTCCCCCATCCCTAAATCCCAGAAATGGTACTGGAGCTACAGAGAAATCCACTCTCTCTATTCCCTGGGCTGTGTTAACTGGGACTATGAGGTGGGCACCAGAGGCAGCCACTGTGCGTGCCAGAGCAAAGGGTTGAGCTTCTGAGGTGAACAACACAGCAAAGGGGGTCTGAGTGTTGGTGGTCACCTCCTAGCCACTGGGTCAAGCTGAGGGCAGCATCACATCTCGAACAAACTGGCTCCCCTGACATACTGTATGTGGGGCACTTGCTGGGAAGGCCCAGCCCCCACTCTGCAGCCTCTATGCCAGCCCGCCATGCAGTTCCCACTCTAAACCCAGCTCAAAACCCTTCTCAGGGCACTCATGCCGCTTGTGTGCATGTGAGACTGCATCTGTCCCCCTTGCCAAAGCATGTGCTCCATGAGAACATCGGCTGGGTCTGCTTTGCTGCCCATCCCCGAGATCCAAGCCTGACACACAGAGGGTGTGCTCCATCACTAACTAGGGATTGAAGAGAGGTCACAAGGATCAAGGGACCCACAGGACCTCAGGCTGGCAGGGACTTTGCAGTTTATCTGCATCTCTGCACACTGGAGTTCAGTGACCACTTCTAACAGGTTCTGGATAAATGTCCAATTCAGGGGCTCAGAAACACAACCAGATTAGAGTGGCCCATAATCTCCATCCTGATTATCTAAGACATGGAGCTTTCAAGTGTCTTAGACTGAGTGGTATTCATGCACCCTGGGCCAGGGGGCACCAGACTAGTGGTTCTCAACCATGGTTCTTCTTGGGAAGCTCTTAGGGATTTTAGTAAAATACTGATGCTGTCCTCTGCATACACACAGATTCTGGGGTGGGCCTGAGCATTTGGATTTTTAGAAGCTACTGAGATGACTCAAATGGGCAGACAGGATGCATAAGAAACACTGAGCTCTGGGTGCACCCAGACCTCTCACCAAGCCCTCCTCAAAAATGAGGCCCCATGTGAGCACCCAGCTCAGACTTACAAGCCTGAGTGGGCAGATGCGTGGTGGAGACAAGCTCTGGTCTCCCACGGTCACCTTGTTCTATCCAAGCAACATTTGGTCAGCAGTCCCCAGGCCTGGCCCCAGGATGGCCCCTCCCTCTGAGATAGAGAAACAGACAGCCACTACAGCCAGCATGCGGGTCACAGGCAGCCATCAATGGCAAGAGGGCAAGAGGCAGGCCTGAGGACGGGGTGACCACATCCCCTGAGTAGGGATGTCTGAGCCATGATTTCAAAAATACATAAGAGTTTGCCAGGCAGACAATGAGACACAATATAAAGATTAGGCATTTAAGGGAATCCAGGATGCCTGAGCCCCTGCAGAGGCCCTCACCAGAGAGGAGTCTCTGAGCTCTGCTCCGAGCCCCAGGTCCCTCAGGCTTCGCCTTTCTGGCCTCAGCCGCTGCACACCCAGGCTCCCTGCAAAAGTATAATCTGTCGCTGGGCATGGTGTAATCCCAACGCTGCTCACGCCTGTAATCCCAACACTTGGGGAGGCCGAGGCGGGTGGATCAAGGTCAGGAGTTGGAGACCAGCCTGGTCACTATGGTGAAACCCTGTCTCTAATAAAAATACAAAAATTAGCTGGGTGTGGTGGCAGATGCCTGCAGTCCCAGCTACTTGGGAGGCTGAGGCAGGAGAACTGCTTGAACCTGGGAGGCGGAGGTTGCAGTGAGCCCAGATCATACCACTGCATTCCAGCCTGGGCAACAGAGGGAAACCTTCTCTCAAAAAAAAATAAAAATAAAAAATAAAAAAAAAAGGGGCCAGGCGAGGTGGCTCACGCCTGTAATCCTAGCACTTTGGCAGGCCAAGGCAGGTGGATCATGAGGTCAAGAGTTCAAGAACAGCCTGGCCAATATGGTGAAACCCCGTCTCTACTAAAAATACAAAAAAATTAGCTGGGCGTAGTGGCACTCGCCTGTAATCTCAGCTACTTGGGAGGCTGAGGCTGAGTCAGGAGAATTGCTTGAACCTGGAAGGCAGAGGTTGCAGTGAGCCGAGATTGCGCCACTGCACTCCAGCCTGGGTGACAAAACGAGACTCCATCTCAAAAAAAAAATTTAAAAAGTAGAATCTGTCCTTCCATCTAGACGTACTCTCAGACAGTGAGGTTCTAAACACAGTTTAAACTAATAGGTTTATATCTTTAAGAGTTAACACAAGGCATTTTAACATTTCTGGAAATTTTTTTTTTTTGAGACAGGGTCTCACTGTTGCCCAGGCTGGAGTGCAGTGGCATGGTCTTGGCTCACTGCAATCTCTGCCTCCCGGGTTCAAGCGATTCTCATGCCTCAGGTTCCCAAGTAGCTGGGATTACAGGCACACACCACCACACCTGGCTAATTTTTTGTATTTTTAGTAGAGACGGGGTTTCACCATGTTGGCCAGGCTGGTCTCGAACTCTTGGCCTCATGTGATCTGCCAAACTTGGCCTCCTAAAGTGCTGTGATTACAGACGTGAGACACCATGCCCAGCCAACATTTCCGGAAGAATTCTTTCTACCATGAACTCTGCAATATGTGCAGTATCTCCACTGCACGGGTTCTGAAGCACTCTCCATGAGCCAGCAGCACGCTGACCCACCATCCAGGACTCATGGGCCAGGCTTCCACGTGAGAACCCCACACTCCAGTGGAATGCCACCTGAAACTATTCCAGAGACTCTTCTGACACCTCCAGTTAGCTCTTATGGGCCCTGCTTCCCCTTTAGAATCTGCTATTAAAATAACAAACAACAGCACTGCTAAGAATTTTAAAACTCTGCAACTGTATCATGCACAATGTTGAAACTACAAGTTTTGGCTCAGAAAGAACCCCCTACTCTTTTTTTTTTTTTTTTTTGAGATGGAGTCTCGCTCTGTTGCCCACGCTGGAGTGCAGTGGCATGATCTCGGCTCACTGCAACCTCCGCCTCCCGGGTTCAAGCGATTCTCCCTGCCTCAGCCTCCCAAGTAGCTGGGATTACAAGTGCCCACCACTACGCCTGGCTAGTTTTTGTATTTTCAGTAGAGATGGGGTTTCACCATGTTGGCCAAGGATGGTCTCGATCTCTTGACCTCGTGATCCGCCCACCTCAGCCTCCCAAAATGCTGGGATTACAGGCGTCAGCCACCATGTCCAGCCAAGAACCCCCTACTCTTATAGCCCACACAGACAAAGTTGGTCACAGCCCAGACAGCTTTGAACATAGAGTGAAGTCTGTGCTTGAATCAAATCCTGACCACCTCCAAATCACCCAGGTAATCATGGACAAGCTGTTTGGCGTGGGTGGGCTCTGTCTAGTTTGCATTCTGCAAGTGACACTGGGGACCCATGTGTATAGGACACTGCAAACTGCTGGGCTGAATTCAGACTATACAAATGGGCAAAGCCCCCCAGACACATACAAAGTCCCGTGGCCAGTGTGACCTCCTTCTTTGCTGTGTGCGGGGGAGTCATGGAAGGTCACACACTGTGGCACCTTGCTTTCTTGAAATGTGACTTGGAGACAAAGTCACAAAGTCACAATCATTCCCTGAGGGCCAGCTGTACCCTCAGGGAACGCCTGCTGGCTCGGGGAGGCAATGGGCATGCTCCTCCTCTATGAATGGACAGTAGATCCGCTGCAAGGCTTCTCTCTGTGCTCTCCCTCTCCACGTCCTCGGCAGGGTCCAGGCCATGCCACATACCCAATCAATAAATGCTTGTTGAAAGCTCAAGTGAATGAGAGGAAACGAAGATGGAACCAAGGTTTGAAAGATCAAGCAGTTTCCGGCCTCTTCCTCTGTGGGGCCCATTCACAGGGAGCCTGTGTCCCGGTCGCCTCCCACCCGCCAGCCTGGCTCATCCCGAGCCTCACAGATGAATATTCATGTGCACAGGGAGGCAGTCACAACGCGGGGGGGTGGTGCGTCACAGAAGAACTGAGCCGTGCAGAGGTCACCAAGAAGCCAGTAGCACCACCTGCTGCTGCCAGGGCGGAAGACAGCCTCTGTCCCAGCCCAGGCAGTGGGCGGGAGTACAGAGAGAGGGCTCCAGCCAGCCAAGGTCTTCTGAATCAGCAGGCTATAAGCCCTCCTCAGACCAGGTGGCTGCTTTGTGTGTCTGGAACAGAGGAGGAAGCGCCCCACTGACCTGGCAGGCTCCAATCTCCCTCCTTTCAACCCTGAGCATTTCCTCCCAAGGCCACTTGGCCAAGTTGCTCCTAGTGCTGCTTGGAAAAAACTGGTAATGATGGGGCTCACTACAAATGGTGGCTTTCAAAACAGTGTTTCTTTCATCCAGAGGGCACAGCTAACACTGTTAGGGGAAGGGACTCCAATCTTTCTAATTTATGAATGAGTCTCAGGATGGAGGGGTGACCCTGAAAATTTGCACTATTGGATTTAACTAGATGCTAAACAATAAATCCAATACCACACTCTTGCTCTGAGGCTACGCTGATGGAATGTGGAAGCAGAGGGTGTGCTAACACGCTTCAGTGAATGCAGGAGCTAGCAGAGGGCCATTCTCCTGCAGAGCTGGTCAACACCACCACTGAGAAAAGAATCTCAGAATTAAAAGAAATCACTGTGATTTTAATGTATTTTTCTATTGAAAGCAGAGTGCCAGAACTGCAAAAACACCCCTATGAACATCACTAGGCTGCTTAGTAAATGATGGTACAGCGTGGTATTGTTTAGAATTTCTAATGATGCCTAGAAATGCTCATGACACTACAAATTGAAATATACACATACATACACACGTAATTATATATACAATATAGCTTCAACTGAGTAAAAACATAATGCCCAGAAAAAAGACAGGAAGCAGACAAGCTAACATTTTAACAGTGGCTATCTCTCCATATTGGAATTTGTGGTGACTTTTCCAGGACATGCCAGGGCCACAGAAGGGCCTTGCAGCAGTCCAGGATGGTGTGACAACTACAGGACATGGTGCCATAAGCACTGAGCCTGTCCCAAACCTATTAACAATGTCTATGGGCTTTGGTGGCCTATCTCCTCCCCAAGTCACTGGTAATAATGCCAAGTGCATCAGAACCAAGAAGGTCCTAGGCTGGGCAAGTGGCAAGAGATGGCCAACTGGCAGTCAACAAGCCACATGTGCCCATCCTCAGATAGCTTTTAATTAGCTCAAACCATATTCTTAATTTTTAAAATTCACAGCCAACATTTAAACACTAGATTTCAAAAATCCAGGTTTCTATCTTCTCTTTAAAAAACTGGATTCATAATAGCCAAAATGTGAAAACAGCCCAAATATCCATCAATTGCTGAATGGTTAAACGAAGTGTTGTATATCCATGCAATGGAATATTATTCATCCACAGAAAGTCATGAAGGACTGACACACGCTATAACATTGATGAACCTTGAAAACATGATGCTAAACAAAATAAGCCAGGCACAAAAGTCCACACAGTGCATGACTCCGTTTCTATGAAATGTCCAGAGAGGCAAATCCCTGGAGATAGAAAGCACATACTGGTTGCCAGGGCCTGGGTATGCGGTTTCTTTCTGGGGTGATGGAAATGTTCTGGAATTAGATATCTGATGGTGGCTGCACAACATTGTGAATGTGCTGAAAACCAGTGAAGTGTCCGCTTTAAAATGGTTGAAATGGGCCAGGAGCGGTGCCTCATGCCTGTAATCCCAACACTTTGGGAGGCCGAGGCAAGCGGATCACTTAAGGTCAGGAGTTTGAGACCAGCCCAGCCAACATGGTGAAACCCCGTCTCTACTAAAAATAAAAAACTAGTTGGTGTGGTGGCACAAGCCTGTAATCCCAGCTACTCAGGAGGATGAAGCAGGAGAATTGCTTGAACCTGGGAGGCGAAGGTTGCAATGAGCTAAGATGGTGCCACTGCACTCCAGCCTGGGCAATAGTGAGACTGTCTCAAAAAAAAGAAAAAAAAAAGTTGAAATGGTGAATTTTATCTCAAGTTCTTAAAATTTGGGAGGGCAGATTCACATGGGCAGCATTCCTAGGTGAAGCAGCAGCCCATCAAGCCCACCAAGTTGCCCCCATTCATCAGGGGAGACTCCTCCGCTCACACCCCCTGGACTCCTGTACCGAGTCTCACCCCAGGGTGCTCTCAACATGGTATTGCTATTACGCTATGTTCCTAGAGGGTCAGGTCAGGTCCTTGGCTCGGCCCAGAACACTGGGTCCAGGGCACAGCCCTGTTCACCAGCCAAAGGAGGGGCTGGGCATAACTTGGTCATTTAAAGATATTTTGAGATTTTTGTCTCTCCTGACTGGGAAAAACTTACCCCTGGTAAACAAGCCAAACAATATAAAAAGGTAAAGTGTTAAAACTAAGTCTCCTTCCCACCACTCTGATCCCCAATTCCCTCCCCAGAATTTAACTCTATTAAACCCACCTGGCTCCTGGTGTGACCACTTTCTTTACAGGGCACTAAGACAACTATCCGACAGTTTAATGAACAGTCTTTCCTGAAAACATCCTAACCATAACTTATGGTGGCCATCACTTTACAGACTAATCATTCTTCAGATTTAAAAATAAAGCCAAAGCCACTGTCTAAAAGGGTCTGCCAGCCCTGGGGCACCACAGTCCCCATGTGTGGTGAGTAAAACCATACCACAGGCTCCCTGGGGGTACCACACACAAGTGACAAACCTTGTGAACCAACCTCTTGAGCAGCCCTGGAACTGGCCTTCAGTCAATGAAAGCTGTGGGCAATTTTGCCTGGGGCTTTTCCCAAGGCCCAGAGGGCTCCTGCCAAAGGGGGTATAAGGCCCTGCCTGGGTTACAGAGGCCACCATCAAGCTATTGGAACTCACCAGATGCTAAAGGGCATCGGGGGCTGACAGTGTCTTCTGGACCAAGTCCAAGCACTTGGTAAGGCTGAGTGCAGGCCCTGAGTGATCTGGGCCCTTCTCCCCTGCTTCCCAGTTCACACCAGCTGGTTGCATCTGCACCCACTCCACCACTCCGTACCCCTCTGCTTCTCACACGCTGAGTCTTCTGCAGGGAACTCCCTGCCTCTTGGTGCCTGGACACCTTCTTTTCCCTGGGGACTCAACGGAAGTGGCCTTCCTCCAAAATGCTTACCTCACACTCCTGGACTCCTGTACTGAGTCTCATCTCATCCCAGGATGCTCTCAAATAACCTCCATCGAGTCCTGGACTACACAGTACTGCTATTACGCTGTGTTCCTGCCCTGCCCGCTCCTGAGCAGGGCCTTGACAACAGACAACAGGGACAATAATCACCTGTTGTCTCAGGGGTCATGCACAGCAGAACACAGCCTGTCACTTGGTACATTTTAGCAAACATCTAGGGAACCGAGTTAAACACAAGAGACGGTTCTGAGAGAAACAGAGACTCCAGGAGATACAGGCAAGATGCCACAAGATATACAAAGTTCCCAAACAGCCCACAGGTCAGCCACGCCCAGTAGGGTTTAGCACACCAGGAGGGGCCTCCCAGGGCACCAGGCCAGGAAGCCTTCATAAAGCCTGCTGGGCCATGCTCCTGCCCAGTGATTAAGAAACTCGTGGGCCCAAGATCATCACCCAAATCAAACCAGTTGTGTCATGCTCACATTTTGAACTTCCCACCACAATTCCTCTTACATCTCACATTAAGCAAAACTTTAAAATATTCATTTAGCCTATTAAACGGATTTTCTATTGCTTTAAGTAACAAGCAGAATTATAGCAAATGTATCCCCTTTTCATCAGCAGTGGTGGTAAGCACATCATAATTTCCATCTAATTACAGCAGCTTGATTTGGATGTTCCATGCTGTGTATTTTGGTTCCTTCAGCTGGGACGCTGGGTGTAACGCTGAGGCTGCAAGAGTTGAAACATGTCCCAGAGAAGGCACAAGCCATTTCTGATGCAAATGGGAGGTTGAGGGGAGGTTGACTTTCCTTCTCCCAAAGCAGAAAACCACTCAAAACAAAGAGGGAACACCATGCCACCATCCTCAAGGAGGAGGGCAAGGGCCAGTTGGATATCACTGCTGAGGGCTGGAGGAGCCTGGACACCCACCACAATCGACCAGACCCAAGTGGGTGAGAGACAGCAAGAAGCACTGCCCTGCCCCTCACCCATCCAGCAGGCAAGCACGGGAGACCAGTAATGGGGTCTTTACCAAACGATGGCCAGGGGTCTGAAGTACTCGCAGGAGCCGCTGGCCCGCCCCAGGGGTTGGTCTGGTTAGTGGAGGCTGACGGGCCCCAGGGCTCTGCTTTCTGGGCCGCGGGGCCCGAGCTGGGGAGAGCATCCATTAAATCCAACAGCGTAGTCTGCTGTGGGAGAGAGCCATGCTTTTAAGACAAAGAGAAGGGGACAGGTTTTACTATGCTACAGTTACAGCAAATACTCATGAACTAGCCATAAATATCACCCACCTGTGCCTCTTCCTCCAGTGAAGCCCTCTAGGAGGGGCTGAGAAGAACTTGGAAACTGAGCCGTCCCATCTCCCTCCCCGTCCAGCCAGCTCTCCAGTCACAACAAGCTATTTACTGTTTGCTAAACCCCCTCACCAGACTTCAGAGACCTCAGGGCTCAACAGACTTTTCCAGGCTAACACTGGCTTCTGCCCAGGCTGTGGACCTCCTCCAGAACGCCATCCCTCCCACCTGCCAGCCACCATCCAGGGCCAGCCTGAGGGCCCTCCTCCTCGGGCACCTGCATGCTCCCCACTCTCAAGACCACCCCATGTGTCATCAGGGATCATCAACATCAACCAGTCAGGAGCCAGGGGCTCCACCGGCCTCAGTAGCACTGTAACAGAGGAGGCCAATGGAGCCCCGGGGCCTGTGGTGTAGAAGGGGTCTGGGTCTTGACTGGATGATGATGAGCTTGTCAAGAGCCCAGCCATGTCCTGGTCATCTCTACATCACAGCAGGAAGCCTGGCACAGGGCTGAAGAGGCAACCAGCACTTCTGGGGGCACACCCTGCTGCAGGAAAGCGTTCCGCAGCCCCTGGCATGTAGCTCACTTGACAGCTGCCGTAGCCACAGCGGCAGGAGGCAGGCACTATCATCACCTCCATTTTACAAACGAGCAGACTGAGGCACTGGGACATTAAGTGTCTCCTGGTTAGTTCAGGTGTGTTTTCAGTCGCTTGCTCACCTGGCTCTCGCTCACTACAGGCATGAAGGTTATTTGCTGAGGTTGGAGAACTCACTGTGCATCACGCCATCCAGGCAAGTTGGTGGGGGGATATTGAGGCAACAACTACAGGACAGGGTGAAACATCTACCCTCCCAGCAAGCTCTTACCTCTTTCTTTTTTGGAATTTTAACTGTGTCCCTTCGGCTTTCTTCCAGGGCCATCTGTAATCTGAGGTCATCACCCCGCCTGAGGCGTTCTTCCTGTAGAGGGACAATGCAAACTGGTAATTGTAATAACATCACTGTACAGAACAAAGCCACACTGGCCAGAAACAGGAAATGCACATTGTATGATGCAGTATTTCAAAGGAAGATTTCAAAACTACTTGTAAAACACAATTACTTTCAAATCCCAAATGTGTGTGTACCCAGAAGGCCCCTCCCTCATGGCGACTCCTGTGACTTGGACCCCTGTGGGGTCACACCAGGGAGACTATGGCTCAGGTACCACCAAACTGGGGAAAGGGAATGCTTAATCTAAAATATTTTTTTCTCAAAATGAAACTGGCTTTATAAATTCTACTTATAGAAGCAATGTGTGTCCTTATAAAACACAAATCTGACAACCCAAAAAGGAATTAGAAAGAAGATAAAAATCACGTATCATTCCACCTCCACTGTGTATGCTTCCGGAAAATGGCTGCATATTTCTATGATTCCTAACAGAAATGATTCACTATCTTTATTTAAGGCAAAGTCACCATATGCAAAAGACAGGGTTGTCCTAAGCTTTTATATAATATAATAATTAAATATAAATAATATATTCCTTGTATTTTTTCTTTTCTTGTTTTTAAGAGATAGGGTCTCATGGTATTACCCAGGCTGCTACACAGTAGCTATTCACAGGGACAATGCCACTACTGATCAGCACGGGAGTTTGAACTTGCTCCCTTATATTTTATTATAAATATTAACTAAAATGGGCTCAAACCGTCCGTCTGTCCCTATGTTTCTCAGTGGATGCTACCACGCACCTTCTTCCTGGGCTGCTGGCCATGAAGCCACATGCATCCACCTGGGCAGTTACTGGTGGCCTGTTTCCCACTGCAGGGACAGAGAGGCCACAACTGAGATTGCCCACTGTCACTGAGCTTTAGAATGTTGCCAGTTATAGACACACAAACAATGCCGGGATGAACTTGTCAGTACTCAAATCTAACTATCCCCAGTATTCCTCTCTGAACACCAACTTCTAATAGAGGAGAGGAATCCCTGTGCTGCCCCTGGTCCCATCTACCTTTTTTAACCAAAGGTCATTGGAGACAGCCCTGATAACTGCAACCAAAGGCTTGACAATTTGTAAGGCCACTCTAATTGCTCCTTTCCCTTCTCGCTGTTGTAAAGTAATGCATGCTTACTAAAGAAAAATGGGGGCCAGGCACGGTGGCCCAAGACTGTACTCTCAGCACTTTGGGAGGCCGAGGTGGGCAGATCACTTGAGGTCAGAAGTTTGAGACCAGCCCGACCAACATGGTGAAACCCTGTCTCTACTAAAAATACAAAAATTAGCCGGGCATGGTGGCACGCGCCTGAAATCCCAGCTACTCGGGACGCTGAGGCACGAGAATCACTTGAACCCAGGACGCGGAGGTCTCAGGGAGCCAAGATTGCACCACTGCACTCCAGCCTGGGTGACAGAGTGAGACTCTGATTCAAAAAAAAAAAAAAAAAAAAAAAAGAAAGAAGGAGAAAGAGAGAAAGAAAAGAAAAGAGAAAAGAAAAGAAAAATGGGAACTGAAAAAAACTAAAACTATACATACTTCCATCATCAAAACACAAGCACTCTCATTTCGGGAGCATTTTTTCCCAGCCTTTGTTTTTTGCAAATCTCTTGCTACAGGTCAAAGTGCTTGGCGGGGGCTGGGCTGGCTCCTGCCCCTCAGGCCTGCATCCCTGCGCCCACCCTGCATGCCACCCTTCAAAGAGCCTGTGCAGGCTCAGCTCACTCAGGGAAAGCCCAGACACGTGTCTGCACAAGTGTTTCTGGGAAGCATTTTTAACTGGTTTCTTTCCTTGGCAATGACTTCCTAGAAAATCTTTCCTAAATGTAACTTTGCATGGGATCCCTCCCTGACTGGGAGGGACACTGGGTGACAAGAATACACACTTACGGCAGCATGAAATGCCATCTCAGCAAGCATATCTGAAATGTTTTGAAGACAGGGCTGTGTCTGCCATCTTCTTCCCAGTGAGCCACACTCCACCCTGAGCATGGGCAGTCAATGCAGTGCAGACCTGCCTGGGGCACTGACCTGCTCAGCCACTTCTCTGCTCATGGCAAGTGCCAGCTGCAGCTGAAGCTCCTCTTCTCCACTAGTCTGGGGCCGGGCTTGCTCCAGCTCGGAGGACACTCGCGGGGAGGTGGCTGTTGGGGAAGACCAAGTCATCATATGCAAAAGACAAGGCTGATACAGCTCCTGCACAGCAGTTTCCTGGGCAGACCACATTCCATTCCCATCTCAAACCCGCAAGGTCCAGCAGTAGCCCAACAATGCAGGCAGAGGAAAGGAAAGGCTTACAAATATTTGAATGTTAAAATCAAGTGACAGTCAAACGTAGCTTTCCCAACTACAGAAGTCCCCTGGTACCAACCAAGAGAAGATGCCTTTGGGTATGCAAGCCCCAGCCATCAGGCCTCACAAGGATCAGAACCTCAGTCTTCACGGCAGATCTGCAGTGCTCCAAAAAAGGAACTAACTCAAAGACCCAAAGTATAGCTCTTGAACAGATGAACCAAAGAGCATCCTTCAAACAGGTGGAGGGCATCTGGAGACCAAAGACTCCACTCCAGGCACACCAACATTCAAGAGCTGACTTTTGAGGCCAGGCGCGGTGGCTCACGCCTATAATCCTCACACTTTGGGAGGCCGAGGCGGGCGGATCACAAGGTCAAGAGATCGAGACCATCCTGGCCAACATGGTGAAACGCCATCTCTACTAAAAATACAAAAATTAGCTGGGCATGGTGGCGTGTGCCTATAATCCCAGCTAGCAGGAGAATCACTTAGAGACCCGGGATATGGAGGTTGCAGTGAGCCAAGATCTCGCCACTGCACTCCAGCCTAGTGACAGAGCGAGACTCCGTCTCAAAAAAAAAAAAAAAAAAAGAGTTGACCTTTGTCTCTCGTAGTGTTACTACGAGATCATGGAAAATGAAGCCCGCCCATTTCTGCAGTGACCCCAAACATTTTCGTTCTGTAAGCAGCTTTGTACACTGATTAGAAAGAAATGCAGATAAAAATGCAGACACTTTTGCTGTGCACTTAGCTAGTTTAAATACTTCTAAGCAGCTCCTGGAAAGACAGTTTTTATTGAATGAATGAGATGTGAACTCCTAGCTGATGTAACAAACCCCACGGGAGTCTTAACATTCACAACATAAACCATGGTGCTGGGTGCTGGGGCTTACACAGCCATCAGGATGTTTCACGATCAGGGAATCTAAATGCTTTTAGAAATTATTGTAGTTTTAGAAGTATGTGCCCACCTCTGCCCCCGTTTCAGGAAGGGTCCATAGCTTCTCTAAAACTCTCAGAACAAGACCTGCCCTCTGAGAGATTTGGAGCTACTGCTTTAGATGGTTCCTTGCCCTGTCCTCCTCCCGGGTCTCCGTGCAGGCTGTTCCCTCAGCGCACCCACCTCCTCTTTTGTAGTCAGAGCTCGGCTTCCCGGACCTGGTCCTTCCCCTCCATCCTGATGCTGTGTCAGACTCTGCACCTCTGCACCTCTCCCTTGTAGCACTCACCCCTGGCTGACAAACACCTGTTGGGTGGAGGCTTACATGCATGCACAGACAGGTGCATGCACAGGTCGACAGATGGACAACTACAGAATTCAATTTCATGGTTAACGGGTCATTTTAAAATGTTCTAATTGTGCCGGGCATGGCGGCTTATGCCTGTAATCCTAGCACTTTGGGAGGCTGAGACGGGCGGATCACCTGAGGCCAGGAGTTCTAGACAAGCCTGGCCAAAATGGTAAAACCCGGTCTCTACTAAAAACACAAAAATTAGCTGGGTGTGGTGGCGGGCGCCAGTAATCCCAACTACTTGGGAGGCTGAGGCAGGAGAATTGCTTGAACACAGAAGGCAGAGGTTGCAGTGAGCCAAGATCAAGCTACTGCACTCCAGCCTGGGCAAAAGAGCAAGACTGCATCTCAAAAAATAAATAAATGTTCTAATTGTGTATTAGTTTACTTCCTTCTTTCATTACATCTATTTTAGGAAACCTAACTAGCAGGATTCATTCACCTAGGTGTTGCTTCTGCCTTACTTTCCAATCTAAATTTGCTTCTTAGGGTTTTCCTCTTTGAGAGAAACTAAAAGGTTAGGAATAATTCCTGACAAAGGAGGCTTTCAGATAGCTGGGCCATGGCTATGGTGAATAAAACAGGGGAAGAGGCCTAAATGCAATTCAGGCCACAGACGGGATCCACAGAAGAACCAGGGGAGGTAGAAAGAGGCTGCTTCTGGGCAGAGGGCTGAGGTGGGGCCGGGCAGGAGACTGGGAACTTCTCTACCATGTGAGGTTGCCAAGCAGAGGCATCACCCTGTCATGAAATTCTTAAAAACACACAAAACATATAGCAATAAATTTACTTTGGAACGGGCCGGGCACAGTGGCTCACGCCTGTAATCCCAGCACTTCGGGATGCCGAGGCAGGCAGATCACGAGGTCAGGAGATCGAGACCATTCTAGCTACGAGGTCAGGAGATTGAGACCATCCTAGCTAACATGATGAAACCTCATCTCTACTAAAAATACAAAATAAATTAGCCGGGCATGGTGGTGGGCACCCATAATCCCAGCTACTCAGGAGGCTGAGGTAGGAAAATGGCATGAACCCAAGAGGCAGAGCTTGCAGTGAGCTGAGATCGCGCCACTGCACTCCAGCCTGGGTGACAGAGCGAGACTCCATCTCCAAAAAAAAAAGAAAGTTGCAGCTATAAAAACATAAATGTATTTTTCTAAATAAAATCAAGTCAAATCCCATCCTAGTGTTATCACTCAATTATATTTCCCAAAGTATCTCTTCAGAAATAAAGCTAGAGGGTAAAGAAAAGTCCTCAATCCACCTTAACAACTTGATTTCTTAATAATACACCAAAACAAAAAGTATATTTTTTTGTTCGTTTTGTTCCTAAACTTCACCTATGCCAATCAGAACTCTCAAGTTTGGGCTTTCCTATGTTCAAAAAGATGTCACCATCCACATGGAAGAGAATAAAGGAAGCCAGACAGTTCCTGGGGACTCTTCTCAAGTGAACAGGGCACTCACACCCAAATCATTAACCACTCCAGCCACCTGTTCCCAGCCTCTTTCCTGATAAGGAATCTCTGAGGCTTGGTTCACAAAACCCTTGCTATAAAGCAAATATTGCACTTACGACATCCTTCATTTACTACCAAATGGAAACCACAAATGAATCAAGTAGAAGGCTCATATCCCACCCCACCCCAAAAAAAGTGCTCTGGAAAACAAGCCCCATCCTGGCAGGGAAGCTGGTACTGAGTTGCACAGCTACAGTGCCTGATACAGCCAGGTTGGAGGGGGAGAGTGGGCACGGGGCTCTGAACTGGACCTGCTGGAGAAGTGAGGCCTCCTTTGTCCTCTGAGCTTTCTAGCACATCTGCAAGGCCAGAATAGCTTCAAATGCAAATGTACATGTTTACGTCTACCATAACTGACACTGTTAGAATAACGCACAGCTGGCACATACTGGCTCACCACATCATAGCTCGTCACATCAATGTAGAAATTAAAGACAATGGGTATTCCCCTGAATGTTGTGGTTTTCATAAACGGATGTACAGCTTTCAGTTCTGCAGATGGCAGAATTCTTGGCCACCAACCATTGAACATCAGCTGAGCTACACACAACGGGACTGAGCTTCGAGGGAGGATTCCAGCAGAGATATTCTTGCCTTGGTGACAGCAACTCAGCTCCACAAAGGGCCTCTTGTGCCCATGCACATGACAGTGAACACAGACGTCGTTGTGAGACAGGCCTGAATGGGCCCTTCTGACCACCTGAGCCTGGCCTTGGCTCTGCTCTGAGGATCTGAAGGTTCAGAGCTCACAGGGACCAAGGGAAAAAGCAAGTGCTGGGGGATGTGCCACTCTCTCATTGTTGCAGGTTGCTTTCCCAGACACTCACTGGAAGGAAGAACGGGAATTGTTAGTTTAAGCTCATCACTAAAGTCGCATCAAATGCACGGACCTTCTCCCAGGAAGGCGGCCTTTTGCATTATGAACCCCACTGGAAGAGCTCCAAGTCTTCACTTGCTGTGGTCAAGAACTGTAACCACAGGTAGGCCTTATTTCTATCCTTTCCAGTCTGTCACACCAGCTGAGAAAAAGCCTAAGGGGGAGAGGCTGAGTAGGAAGGCTAGAAAAGCCCAACATTTCCCTCAAAATACAATCTAAAAAGAAGACCAAGAAAACTCTCCCAACTCAGGCAGACAAGGGTCTCTCCCACTCGAGTCCACCCTGTCTGCTCCAGGGACTGCCCGGCAGAGCCTGGGTGCCTGTACTCTGTGCTGGGGGAGAGACACCCTTTCCCAAATGCGCTCCTAAAACAAAGGGTGAAAGATTTTTTAATAAAGATGCTTCAGTGGGCCACTTTCAGGTAACTGTGAAAGAAGGCAATCGAGTTGGTAGAAAAACAGGAAATTGATTCTTATCAGCTACATTTTGCAATTTTCCTAGAAAGTATGGAAGCAGCATCTGCCAGTCACATAGTGCTGATTAAAAAGCCTCCTCTAATCTGCATGGATAGGTCAAACAGAAAGAAAGTGGCAAGTACAAAAAACACAAATGTAGGCTAGGCATGGTGGCTCATGCTTGTAATGATGTCACAGCACTTTGGGAGACCGAAGGGGGTGGATCACTTGAGGCCAGGAGTTCGAGATCAGCCTGGCCAACGAGGGCAAAACCCTGTCTCTACTAAACATACAAAATTTAGCTGGGTGTGGTGGCACGTGCCTGTAGTCCCAGCTACCCAGGAGGCTGAGGCATGAAAATCACTTGAACTAAGCAGGTGGAGGTTGCAGCGAGCCAAGATCATACCACTGCACTCCAGCCTGGGCAACAGAGCAAGACTGTCTCAAAAAAAAAAAAAAAAAAAAAAAACCAAAGTATATTTTTACATTTTACAGCACATGGGACAGGATTCTACCATCAAATGGCTCTGTGCAGTGGGCAGCATGACTGCACTGGTACGTGAGCGTCACAGACCCTGTGGAGAAGGCAGGGTGAGGTCCTGGTTTTCCTATGTCCCTGGGCCTGGTGTGGCAATGCTGGGTACACAGGCATGTCTGACAACTCAGAAAAAATGAAAGGTTGCCAGGCCTTGGGGGCGTGAGAAGACCCCATGTGGGCCCAAGCACTGCTACCACCTCTCACACCCTGTGCATGTCAGCCAAGGGAAGACCAGATAGTGGAAAGAGCACTGGACGGACAAATCTTGTCCCCACCGCTGACAAGCAGTGGGAGTCCATGTGATAGCCTGACCTCTTTGAGCTTCTGCTCCCACATCAGTGAAATGAAGACAGTGGGGCCTGTGGGAGGAGGTAAACAACTGACCTACCAAGGGGTCAGGAGTGCTGGGATGCAGTTGGCTCTTCCCTGTGGATTCCAGCCCTGTCCTGAGCTGGTGCTCTTTCCTCCATCCATGGGGACCAGACCACCTGAGGGCTAAGCTCCTTCAGACACCCCACCCTCCACGTCACACACAGAAAGCGTGGCCCTTCCCAGGCCTCCGAGGAACAGGCCTGGGGTTGCTTTCTGCTGGGCTGACCTACTTCGAGGGAGGGGCTAGGGAGCCAGCACTGAGCACAGGGTCAGCGTCCACTGTCCAGTGGCCAGTTCTCTAGTTCAGCTAAGTTCCTTCCTTGTTACTGAACAGCAGTGAAACGCTTCCTCAATGTGGTGACATCATCCTGTGGTTCCAGGGGCCACTTCCTGAATCAGCAATGACCTTGGCTACTGAGGACGTTCCTGCCACTTCTCAACACAGGAGAGCCTCCAAGGCCCTTACTTTACCTCCTCGCAGGGAGATGCTGGGAAGGCTGCTTTTAGTCTAACGAGGCAAATTATAAAAAAGTTAAGTTCAGATTACACCAGGTTATTTATTTATTTATTTTTTGAGACGGAGTCTCACTCTGTCACCTAGACTGGAGTGCAATGGAGTGGTCTCAGATCACTTCAACCTCCACCTCCCGAGTTCAAGCGATTCTCCTGCCTCAGCCTCCTGAGTAGCTGGGACTACAGGCACGCACCACCACATCCAGCTAATTTTTGTATTTTTAGGAGAGACGGGATTTCACTATGTTGGCCAGGCTGGTCTTGAACTCCTAACCTCGTGATCTGCCTGCCTCGGCCTCCCAAACTGCTGGGATTACAGGCGTGAGCCACCCCACCCGGACTACACCAGGTAATATTTAACAGGAACATATATATATATGTGATGCAAAAGACAAAAAGGTGTATAATGAAAAATGCAATGAAGCATGACCACAGCCAGATCACTGTCCAGCCACAAGGTGGATGTGACTTTACAACACAGGGACAAACCACAAAGTTATTTTGTGCTGTGGCCAACGCTGGCACTATCGGTGGTGGGAGGGCTGCCTGTCAGGTGACGTCATACCCCCATCTATGACAGTCCCAGCAAAACGCTGATGTGCACAGAATCCAGACTCTAGCCGTGATTCCGGTTCTCAGGAAGCTCAGGGTGAGGGCCAGGCTGAGCATGGTGAGAGGCAGCAGACAGATCCAGGCCAGGGACAGACATCCCGAAGGAAGGCTGGCCCGGAGAAATGGAGAACGTGCTGCCATGACACAGACTGCAGGGACAGGATGGCCAGACTCAGCCTGGGGTCCTGGGGTGGACTCACATTAGGCTGATCAGCAGCAAGACACTTTCAGACAACTTGAAAAATGTGACCATGACCTCAGCGTGAGATGATGCTGCTAATTTCCCATTTTGTGAGGTGTGTGACTGTGTGTGTGACAGTGGCTGTGTGACTCTCCAGGAAGAGATGTGTACTGAAGCATTTAGGGGAGTAATGTGAGGATACCCACAACTTATTCTTAAATATTTCAGCATAAAAGGAAGTGAGAGCTACTCCTCTCATCCTGCCCCACTGCTCTCCCCAGAGGAAACAGCTGTTCACATTTTCTTGTGCTTCCACCCAGGAAAGCGACTGAACGCACACTCTGTGTGTGGATGCCTGTAGTGCGCTTCCGTCTCTGACACTCGCCCAGAGGGAACTCTTCCTCCCTGCCCTATGTGCTTCTCCCACCTGGGCCTGACCCCAGGCCGAGTGTCATCAGCCTGAGAGAGCAGCCCAGTGTGGCAGACGAGAGCACGGGCCCTCAAGTCCATGCCTGGGCTCAGATCTGGGCTCTGCCACTTCTTAATGCATGACCTTGGCCTAGGTCAGCTGTCCCCAACCTTTCTGGCACCAGACACTGGTTTAGTGGAAGACAATTTTTCCACGGCCAGGGGTGGGGTCGGGGATGGTTTCAGGATGATTCAAGCACATTACATTTATTGTGCACTTTATTTCTATTATTATTACATTGTAATATAGAATGAAATAATTCTACAACTCACCATAATATAGAATCAGTGGGAGCCCTGAGCTTGTTTCCTTGCAACTACACAGTTCCATCTGGGGGTGATGGGAAACACTGACCATCAGGCATTAGATTCTCATAAGGAGCATACAACCTAGATCCCTCACATGTGCAGTTCACAATAAGGTTTGCGCTCCTATGAGAATCTAATGCCACTGCTGATTTGACAGGAGGTGGAGCTCAGACAGTAATGCAAGTGATGGGGAGCGGCTATAAATACAGATGAAGCTTTGGGTCTGTGGCCCGGAGGTTGGGGACCCCTGGCCTAGGTGATTACCTTCTCAGTGCCTGTTTTCTCATCTGCAGAATGGGGACGGGAAACCGTCTCCCAGGGTTGTTGTGGGGAACGAACAAGAAGCGATGTGAAAATCACCCACTGCCTGTGCAACACTGTCTCTCGAGGAACCCTCCATCCATAAGGGGGTGCTGCCCCACTTACAGTCCAGGCTGAGGCCTAGGGGTGCAGTGACTGTCCCAAGGCCACCCAGCTGGGGCAGGTGGAGTCTGACCCTGAAGGTCTGGCTCTTCATTACCAACCCTTCCCACTGATGAGGACACCGGGGCCCAGAGAGGGTAAATGGCTGCGGCTCACAGCCGCCCAGGGGCAGGATGAGAACTCAGAGCCAAGACTCAGGACCTATGCCCCACGCTTGCTCCTAGCACCCTAAAGGGGCTTTGCACCCTCAGTCAGTTACATGCGCACACCCACACCAAGCAGGGCCTCCTCTAGGCCTGAGGAAAGTCCCTGTTCCCATGAGCTTGTGTTCTAGTAAGGAGAGACCATAAACAAATCTAAAAAGGAGGGACAGGGCAGGGCAGGGTGGGGAAGAGGAGAGCTTGCTCAGCTATGCTCTGACAGGAGGCGATGGCACAGAGCCCTGGAAGGAACGGCAAAAGGGCAGGGGCACTTCTGTTCTGAGAGCAGGGGACAGGCTCTGAGGCTAGTGTCAGCAGAGGCACCCAAGGGCACATGACCAAAGAGTGGTGGGGGTTCAGAAGCCGTCAGAGGTGCTTTGGAGAGTCTTAAGTGGGGCAGTGATGCCACTTGACTGGTCTAGGGAACTTGGGCCAGAAAAGTAGCTATGAAGGGGATGAGAAGTGGCCAGAGTCTGGACACATTTAATTGGGATCCTATGTATGACACCTGGTTCCTGAATCAGCTAGTGTGTCATGCTGCCACATGGTGTGGACTCAGCACTTACAGTGCCTTCTTCTGACCAGGGGTTATGGGCAGAACTGGGTCCCCCGTAAAGTAGGATGAAGAACATGACCTTATTTGTAAACAGGGTAGCTGCAGATGTAATTAGTGAAGATATAATTAGTGAAGATGAGGTCATACTGGAGCAAGATGGGCCCTAGAGTCAATAGAACTAGTGTCCTTAGAAGAGATAGAAACACAGACACACCAGGGGAGACTGCCATGGGACCATGGAGGCAGAGACTGGGGTGACACAGCAGCTAGCCAAGTAACACTGGGCCCTGCTCGCTTCCCATCCTCCCCCAGCACCTGCCACGCAGGCTCCTTCCTGCCTCGAGCCTTTGCTTGCCCGCTGCTCCCTCACACTGTGTATGCTGCTCGTGGTCCTCGAATGGGAAGGAGAACCGCATCCTCATCCCTAAGTATCAGCTCTAAGGCCACCTTCTCACTGCGCCTCCCCTGGCTGTGTTATCAGGCCAGTCTCTCATCAGACTGGGAGCTCCACAGGGCAGGGGGTCCATCCGTTTTGTTACTTAACACCTTGATACCTGGAGCTGGCCTTGGCGCACAGGGAGCACTTGGTGGATGTGGAGGCCAAAGCAGCTCCATCTTGGAGGCTAATTCACCATGCTGGCTTCTGATTAATCCCAGTTCCAGGAAGGCCTCCAAGATTGACAGTTTGCCGGGTGCCGGTGGCTCATGCCTGTAATCCCAGCACTTTGGGAGGCCAAGGCGGATGGATCACCTGAGGTCAGGAGTTCGAGACCAGCCTGACCAACATGGAGAAACCCCGTCTCTACTAAAAATACAAAATTAGCCAGGCGTGGTGACAGGCGCCTGTAATCCCAGCTACTTGGGAGGCTGAGGCAGGAGAATCGCCTGAACCCAGGAGGCGGAGGCTGCAGTGAGCCGAGATTGCACCACTGCACTCCAGCTTGGGCAACAAGAGCGACTCTGTCTCCAAAAAAAAAAAAAAAAAAAGATTTACAGTTTATTGTTTTTATGTAAGAGCACATACTTACCTTAAATCCTATCTTTAGGTCAAACTACCTTAATGTTATCATACTTCAAATATCCTACACATTCTTTCTGAACCACTCCTTCCCTATGGCATATAAGCCCTGGCTCTGGGGGCTAATGGCGTGGGATCTGACACCTTGTCTCACCACTTCCTGAGAGAAACATGGCTTCTGCTCCTAAGTCCCTGTTTCTTTCTAAGAAACTGGATTTGTCAGCCTCCTTCCTTGGCCCCTCCGCTTCTCCGGACATTGGGGGTAGATTTGCATAGACCTGCCCACCACGGAACCATGGGGCAGCTAGGTGGCACCTAGGCTGCAGCCCTGATCACCTGTAGCTGCATGTTCTAATCCGTTCAACTGCTTCCAGCCGGCCATCTGCCCAAGTGGGCGGAAAGCAGGGGCCACGTCAGCTTTACTTCTGGCACAAAGTAGGTGCTCAAACACCCATCAGATAATGGTCAAGTTTAGTTTCTGGTGAAAACAAATAATGGCTCTAACTTCTCCACTACCCCTCTGCAACACTGGTACCGCTGCCTCAGTTTACAGAGGAGGAAGCTGAAATACCAGGTGAAAAAAGGGAGAGCCCCAACAATGACCACGTTATGGCCCCAATGCAGGGCTGGTGAAAGAGGCAGGAGGGTAAAGCAGAGACAAAAGGCAGTCCATTCATTTGTCTGCATGAGTCAAATCCCATCCTCAGTCAGAAAAAAGCAAGTTGTGCCATTCTCTTCGGGCTGTTATTAAACTCTCTCCTACAGTAAGAGCACCAGCTTGTTGGGTGGGAAAGGAAGGACTTAGCCAAAACACTAAGCAGCTTTTTCTCACTGTCATTTACCTCAGGAGTCCCTGAGCTTCCTGCTGCTTCTGTCCATAGTGAAAGTAACAAAGCTACAGCCTGTCATTCTCTAGGTAGAGTGCTGGGGCAGGGGTCTCATCATGGCTGGGGACCAGCAGTAAGGAAAAGAGGACCTGCAGCCTCACCCTGAGCCACCCGCAGCTCTCCAGGCGTAAGCCAGGGTGGGAGGAGGGGTTCTGAAGCCCAGGCAGTGCCAGCTGAGGTGAGCGGGCACTTCAACAAAGATAATCATTTATCTCTTTTTTAATTCAATCATAAACTTCAAAGAAGTTAAATGCCTGCAACAATTTCTTAGAGTAATACTTATAAACAGGAAACTCATTTTTAAAATTAGTATTCTGATAGTAATTTTCATCTATTCAATTGGAAATAATCGATTACAAAATTATAGCACCTGCTGTGGGCTCAGGGGCTCCCAATTGAGCACTCTCCTTCACTGCTGGGGGGAAAGCATTTGTTTGGAAACAGTCTGTTTGGAAAACATTTGTCATGCTTCAAGAAACAGAATGTTCATACACTTTTCCCACTAATCTCACTTCTGGGAATTCCACATTGAAGAAATAATCCAAAGAATCCTTAAAAAAAGAAAAAAACAAGCTTTCTGTTCAAAGAAGTTTACCACAGCATTATTTACACTGGTGAAAATCTGAAACAAGTCTGATCATAAGAATTAACAGTGACAGGGCCACTTCTGGAGCATTTCTTGTGTGCAAGCTGGTATGTGAAGTGCATACATTATTAGCATATGTAACGTACACAATAACCCGGGAGAGAAGCACTATGGTTACGTCCATTTTACAAGTTACAACTTCTCCAAGTTAAATTAAGTAAGCTGCCAAAGGTTTAACCTTTAAAACTAAGTGTTGCTGGGCTCGGTAGCGGGTGTCTGTAGTCCCAAGCTACTCAAGAGGCTGAGATGGGAAGATCCCTTGTGCCCAGGAGTTTGAAGATACAGTGAGGTAGAATCACAACACCGCTCCAGCCAGCCTGAGTGATATAGCGAGACCCCAGCTCTAAAAAAAACATAAATAGGCCGGGTGCCGTGGCTCACGCCTATAATTCCAACACTTTGGGAAGCTGACCTTGAGGTGGGCAGGATCACATGAGGTCAGGAGTTTGAGACCAGCCTAGCCAAAATGGCAAAACCCCATCTCTACTAAAAATACAAAAAATTAATTGGGCATGGTGGCACACACCTATAATCCCAACTACTCAGCAGGCTGAGGCAGGAGAATCACTTGAACCTGGGGGGCGGAGGTTGCAGTGAGCAGAAATCGTGCCATTGCACTCCAGCCTGGACAACAGAGCAAGACTGTGTCTCAAAAAGATAAATAAAAATAAATTAAAAATACATAAATGAGGCTGGGCGTGGTGGCTCACGCCTGTAATCCCAGCACTTTGGGAGGCCGAGGAGGGCAGATCACGAGGTCAGGAGTTCAAGACCAGTCTGGCCAATATGGTGAAACCCCATCTCTACTAAAAATACAAAAATTAGCTGGGCATGGTGGCGTGCACCTGTACTCCCAGCTACTCGGGAGGCTGGGGCAAAAGAATCGCTTGAACCCAGGAGGCAGGGCTGCAGTGAGCCGAGATCGTGCCACTGGGTGACAGAGTGAGACTCTGTCTCAAAAAAACAAAACAAAACAAAATACATAAATGAATCGATAAATAAATATAACTAAGTATCTAGCAACATGGAAAATGCATAGAGTTAGATTTTTTCAAAAAAATCAAACTGCATAATTGTCCTATTTCTCATGGGCACCCTCTGTGGCCAAGTGCACCAAGGTCACTGCTCCTGCCCTCCTAGTTTAGGCCCCCCAGTGGCTTGCCCTTGGCCTCATGCTCCCTCGCAAACTGGGATGATGACAAGTGAAGGGCTACAGCAGCTCCATAGTTTACAGCCACTCTGCACTGCCTGCCTGAACACCACCTTCCCCCACACCCAGCACCACACGGTGTCGGTATGTCTGCCTCTCTTAAATGGGGCCCACCAAAAACAAGGTCTCAGCTACCAGCTGCAAGCCCCTGAAAGCTTAGGGCTGGCCCTCACACACATGAGTGCAGAAAGTGAGCACATGAACCAACTTTTTGGAAAATATGTTTTGAAAATGTCACACGGTTGTGAATGACATGTCCATAATACTGTTATACTATCTGCATAATATAAAATGTTAGATCTGCTTTGTTTTCAGACCTATGATTCAGATCTGTCAGCACTTTTGGGGATGTGGGTCTTGCCCTGGCCTTCAGTTCCTCTCCAGATTAAGAACCTGCATGCTTTGCCCACAGACAGATGGCTACAACAAAACTGCACAACTTGGTAGATCCCGACTGCCAGTGGTCAGTCTATGCAGCCAGGGCCCTGTCACTAAAATCTGTAGGCTGTTCAGTGTGAAGATGAGGAGTGACTGACAGTCCAACGTCAGGGCAAGGATGACTTAGGGATCTTCACCCAGAGGAATACTATGTACAACTGTTAAAATGTTTACAGGGTGTGTAGGAACCACAGAAAATGCTTCTGTTTCAATGTCACAAGACAAAAAGCAGGAATGCAAAGTTGCGTTCACAGTGTGAAAAAGAAAATGCTTGGGAAAAAGTCCAGAAGGAACTACACCAACACGTGGCCAGGCATGATGGCTCAGTCCCGTAACCCCAGCACTTTGCGAGGCCACAGCAGGAGGATTGCTTGAGGCCAGGAGTTCCAGATCAGCCTGGCCAACATAGGAAGACCTCGTCTCTACTAAAAATTAAAAATTCGGCTGCGTGTGGTGGTGTGCGCCTGTACTTCCAGCTACTAGGCAAGGCTGAGGTAGAAGGATCGTTTGAACCTAGGAGTTCGAGGCTGCATGGGCCATGATTGTGCCACAATGCTCCAGCCTGGGCAACAGCAAGACACTGTCTCAAAACAAATAAATAAAAATAAAAATAAATACACCAACATGTGAATAACAGTTGTCTTTGCATATTATAGTTAAGATTGAAGGATTTTTTTCTTCTTTTTCTATTTCTATTTTTTTTGCATTTTCCCAATTATCATGAATGGACATACATTATTACATTTGTACCAAAAATCTAGCAGGAGCCAGGCGCAGTGGCTCACGTCTGTAATCCCAGCACTTTGGGAGGCAGAGGTGGGTGGATCACCTGAGGTCAGGAGTTCAAGACCAGCCTGGTCAACATGATGAAACCCCATCTCTACTAAAAATACAAAAATTAGCTGGGCGTGGTGGCACGCACCTGTAGTCCCAGCTACTCGGGAGGCTGAGACATGAGAATTGCTTGAACCTGGGAGGCAGAGGTTGTAGTGAGCCGAGATCACGCCACTGCACTCCAGCCTGGGTGACGGGGTGAGACTCTGTCCCAGTTTAAAAAAAAAAAAATAGAATGAATGACTTCATGCCCTCACTGTACTTGGAGAAGCAGGTCGCAGAGTGGACTTGCGGGAGGAGCTCTGGTTATCCCACTGCAAGCTGGACTAAGCTGGACTAAGCTTTCCATTAGCAGTCAGCAGGAGGAGACTAATTTGATGTGTAATATCAATTTCCAAGCTGCTCCAAGTTGGAGTGTTGCCTAGCTGCCTGTAACTCTGTAAAAAGACACTGCTACGGGCCATGAGTTGAGGGGAGAGGGGAGGAAGAGCCCTTCAACTGATTAAAGCCTGACAGGGAACCAGCAGCCCCCAGCACACTGCTGTCAGTGCCACCGCGGCACCTGGGGCCCTCCCAGAGATTCTAATTTGAGAGGTGTGGGAGAGGTGTGGCCCAGGATTTGGGACATTTTGGGAGATTTAAAAGCTTGAGAGCTAGTGATTTAGGGAAAAAAGGCAACTGTCAAAATGAGGAACTGCCTTGTATCACTAAACAAAAACAACAACTATGAATCATACTGTTGCTAAACTCAACCTTAAAGCATCGAGAAACCACACAAATATATAAGGCATTCCTATATTTCTGGAATTGACTTCAAATGTATTTTTTCTTTTCTTTTCTTTTTTTTCTGAGAGGGAGTTTCACTCTTGTCACCCAGGCTGGAGTCTAATGGCACGATCTCGGCTCACTGCAACCTCCACTTCCTGGGTTAAAGTGATTCTCCTGCCTCAGCCTCCCAGGTAGCTGGGACTACAGGCATGCACCACTACACCTGGCTATTTTGCGCGCACGCGCGTGTGTGTGTGTGTGTGTGTGTGTGTATTTTTAATAGAGATGGGGTTTCACTGCGTTGGCAAGGCTAGTCTCGAACTCCTGCCCTCAGGTGAGGAGAGAGGAGAAGAGAGGCTTATTTAGCACTCATGCATGAAGTATGTTCTGAGCACCTTTCCTGGTTCAGGTGTTGTGCTAAAGACACTAGGGATACAGCACGGGGCATGAACGGGGCTCCTGCTCTAACAGCTTGTTTTAGTGCAGGGAGACAAAACAAAGCAAATAAGAGAATTTCAGGTAGTGAAAAAGACTCTGAAGATAGTAAAAAAGGATATGATACAGAGAGAGATTTAACTTATATGGCCTACTTCCCATGGGAAGACAAATCTATCTGCATGCCTTCCCTCCTGTTTCTAGTCATATAATTTTTTTTTAATGCCTCCTGGAAGTTGTCTATTTGAAACTAGCAACTGCTGTACTGAGCATCCATGAATAAAGACACCGTCAGCAGCTGTGACTATGCTAGCCAATCTGACTTAAAACATCTGACAGGGAACCAGCAGCCCCCAGTACAATGCTGTCAGTGCCACCGCAGTACCTGGGGCCCTCCCAGAGATTCTCATTTGAGAAGTGTGGCAAAGGTGTGGCCCAGGATTTGGGACATTTTGGGAGATTTAAAAGCTTGAGAGCTAGTGATTTAGGGAAAAAAGAAAAGGCAACTGTCAAAATGAGGAACTGCCTTGTATCACTAAACAAAAACTAACAACTATGTATCATACTGTTGCTAAACTCAACCTTAAAGCATCGAGAAACCTTCTACACTTATTGACAGTTTATAAACAATAGTTTGTTTACCTATACTACAAAGGATCCTTAAAAAACAGGTAAATATTGTATTGATCCATTTTCTATGGCACACGCCAATGTCAATCATTTAATCAATAACCCAATCCCCAATATTTTTTTTCTTTTGAGAAAGGGTCTCGCTTTGTCACCCAGGCTAGAATGCAGTGGCACAATCTTGGTTCACTGCAGCCTGGACTTCCTGAGCTCAGGCGATTCCTCCCACCTCAGCCCCACAAAGTAGCTGGGACTACAGGTGCACACCACCATGCCTGGTTAATTTTTTTTTTTTTTGTAGCGATGGGGTTTTGTTGTGTTGTCCAGGCTGGTCTCAAACTCCTAAGCTCAAGCAATTCACCTGCTTCAGCCTCTCGAAGTGCTAGGATTACAGGCATGGGCCACTGCAGCCGGCCTCCCAATCAGCAATTTTGATAGCACTGTTTCTTTTTTTTTTTTTTAAAGACAGAGTCTTGCTCTGTTGCCCAGGCTGGAGTACAGTGGTGCGATCTCAGCTCACTGCAACCTCTGCCTCCCAAGCTTCAAGCAATCTCCTGCCTCAGCTTCCTGGGTAGCTGGGATTACAAGCATCCACCACCACACCCGACTAATTTTTTGTATTTTTGGTAGAGACAGGGGTTTCACCATGTTGGTCAGGCTGGTCTCAAACTCCTGACCTCAAGTGATCCACCAGCCTCGGCCTCCCAAAGTGCTGGGATTATAGGCATGAGCCACCGCGCCCAGCCTTGATAGCACTGTTTCAATTCTGAGAACAATCCCATATTCTGACAATCAGAGGAGCTCCTTAAGATCTGGGGCCCAATTAAATAATGGTTTAATTAGGTATTCCTGGCTGAGTGTGGTGGCTTGTGCCTGCATGCCTGTAATCTCAACACTTTGAGAGGCCGAGGCCAGAGGATAGCTTGAGCCCAGGAGTTCCAGATCAGCCTGGGCAACGTGGCAAAACCCCACCTCTACAAAATACAGAAAGTAAAAAAAAAAAAAAAAAAAAAAAAAGCTGGGTATGGTGGCATGCACCTGTAGTCTCAGCAACCCAGGAGGTTAAGGTGAGAGCATCACTTGAGCCCAGGGAGGTAGAGGCTGCAGTGAGCCACAATCACACCACTGCACTCCAGCCTGAGCAACAGAGCAAGACCCTGTCTTTTTTTTTTTTTTTTTTTGAGATGGAGTTTCGCTCTTGTCACCCAGGCTGGAGTGATCTCGGCTCACTGCAACCTCTGCCTCTCAGGTTCAAGCGAATCTCCCACCTCTGCCTCCTGAGTAGCTGGGATTACAGGTGCCCACCACCATGACCGGCTAATTTTTTTGTATTTTTAGTAGAGATGGGTTTCACCATATTGGCCAAGCTGGCCTCGAACTCCTGGCCTCAGGTGATCTGCCCGTCTCAACCTCCCAACATGCTGGGATTACAGGCGTGAGCCACCCTGCCCAGCCAATCCCATCTTAAAAAGAAAAAAATAATAATACAGAAAAAAGCATTATATAAGATGAACCATATAATTTTAAAATTGTAATAGGTGTACACCGTATTTGCCTATTTTGCAGAAAAAATTTTAAAGCAATTTCAAAAACTGTCAAGTAGAGGAAAGAGAACCAGAGTTCTTCAAAATCCCAGTTCTAATTCTAGCTTCTTCACTTACAAATGAGAGGATTTAGGGGAGCAAGTTCATGTCAGTTTCCTTATTAACCTCATCTGCCCTGCCTACCTTCTAGACAACTGTGAGAAGCAAATGGACTCCTCCTAAGAGAAGGCAAAGGCCCAGGAGAGGTGATCCAGATGCCTTCTGGTTGTGTTGGGCAACTGTCTGACTTTAGCAGCCCAGCCATTCACGAATCACATTCAAATCCCACTTAAAACCCAAGCCCTTGTGGCAAGAACGAGCATCTTTTATACCTGATACTTGGATAGATGTGTCAATAAATCTGCTGCCTCTGAGGGTGTGTTCATGTTACTGATCAGCTTCCTCCATGACTCAATTTTCCACCTGAAGAGATTAACTCTCTCTAGAGTAAGCTAACGCTGACAGCCCTGCTGTGCCTCTGCCCCTGGGACTGACTGCCAGCCGAAGATGCAGGGCTCCCCTGACTTACAGAACACATTTGTTCCACCAAAACAAGATGCCAAATGAGTCTCATCTCCCACCAAATTCCTGGTCCATCCCCAAAACCCAATGGAAGGGCCCTGAGGGCTAGACACACTCCCCACAGGTAGCTATCCCTGGCCTGACACTAGGAAATACCTGGCTGGTGGCCACCAACCACCTCTCAGCCCCGGGCGGGCCCTGCTGCCCTCCTAGTTCCTGGCAGCATCACTCAGCCCTGCACCTTGGAGCTCTGTCACCTCCCACACTCTCAGGAGACCTCAGCTGGCCCAGGATCCTTCCAAGGTCCACCTCAGAAGCACTTCTGACACGCTGGCTGGGTTTGGCTTTTCTTTTTTTTAACAATATATTTTCCCACATCTTTGAGTTTTCAAAAGTAGACCCATGTAGGACTCCCTTTTCAGATGCCTCCTTCTTACCAAAACACTCTCCTTTGTGTGTACATGTCTGGTGTAAGTGCACATGTGTCTGTGTGTGCGCATGCTTCAGCTCTATTCCCAGAGCTGGGCAAGCAGGGCTGAGGCCATGACAACTCTGGTTCACCCCTGAGGTTCCCTTGTTATGAAGACAGCTTCCGTAGAGAGTCCTCTGAGGGCCCACTGTGCCTGGGGACTTCCTGGACATACTCATGAAACAGCGCACAAGAAAGCTTTCAAATTCTACCAAGTCCCCATTGGGTTTAAGAATGAGGCCGGGCGCGATGGCTCACGCCTGTAATTCCAGCACTTTGGGAGGCCGAGGCGGGTGGATCATGAGGTCAGGAGATCAAGACCATCATGGCTAACACGGTGAAACCCCATCTCTACAAAAAACACAAAAAAAAATTAGCCGGGCGCAGTGGCGGGCGCCTGTAGTCCCAGCTACTCAGGAGGCTGAGGCAGGAGAACGGCGTGAACCCAGGAAGCGGAGCTTGCAGTGAGCCAAGATAGCGCCACTGCAGTCCAGCCTGGGCGAAAGAGCGAGACTCCGTCTCAAAAAAAAAAAAAAAAAAAAAAAAAAAATGAATGGCTGATAACCGTGGATAGCCTTGCCATTCCACTCCCTGAGAAATCCTGTTTCCCCTTAGATTCTTGCCAGGCCACTCGAGAGTGGAGGCATGGCCCGAAGGCCTGGCGGACAGCAGCAGCAGCTGTTGGGGTGATGCCGCAGGACAATGATCACGGCCACTGCTCCATGAAGTCCTGGGCAGGCTGCTTGACACTCTGGCCTTCCCAGCTGCACAGTATCAAACCAAATTTGGATCCATCTCTAGCCACTGTATACAATCCTGGCTTTTCTTTCTCACCTCTGTTTTCCTTTTGCCCCAATTTCTTCTGGTATCTATTGAATCCTGTGGCATTGCATGTGTTTTATAAGCCAACTCAAATCCTTTCTAGTAATCACTTGGCAAACCCTTGCCGGGTGGGGTGTGAGAGGAGCAGCCTCAGCACAAGGGGCTCTCAGCCCAGAGGACCAGTAGCCCAAAGGAATCCCTGTCATTTCTCTGGGAGCAGACTTGAAGCATACTACAGCCAGGGCCAGCGGCGTCAGCAAGACAGGAGGGGCCATGAGGAGAGCCAAGAAGACCCGGCTGCAGGCAGCAGCCCCCACCTGGTACAAAGCCCACCACTGCTTACTTTGGTTTCAGAACCCAAGTTGGTTCTGATTCACTTGAGTGAATCAGAAAGCAATGAAGATTTCTATTCTGCCTGCCTTCCTTTTTCTTTTTTTTTCTTTTTTTTTTTTTTTGAGAACGGGAATGCTGGGCAGTTAAACTCCCACCAAGAACTGCAAGGTACCAGGCAACTCGGGACTTGCTCAGGGAGCATCAAGACAGCTGTAGCTCTGGCTCCGCAGACTCAGCAAGGGGGCTGAGAACACCAAGCTGAGCATTCCTTCCTTCCCTTACCCACCCTCAACAGAGGCCAGCCAAGGCAGAAGATCTGGCCCCTGGCCTTAGAGTGTCCTTGGTGAGAGGACAGCAGCAATCTTTCTTTCCATTCCTTGACTCAGGAATGCTTTTCTCATCCCCATCTGCCTCCCTTTGATGTAGGTTCCGTCTACCCCAAGAACTTCTGTAATTTCTCCAAAGCCTTTTGACACTGTGGCCAGTTCTGCAGAACAGAACAGGAAATGGTGGAAAGAGCCCGGGGGGCGGGTAACATGTGGGCTGCTCACCCCCACCAGGTTGCAGTTCAGGCCAGCTGCCATCTCTGCGTGATCTTAGGCAAATCCCTCAACCCCCTGGGCCTGAGGGTCCTCCTTTGGGCTGCGCAGCTTCTGCCCACACACAACTGTCCTGAGCACTGACTACATGCCAGGATCATGTGAGGGCAGCCAACACGGGTAAGCCTTAAGAGGAGCCAGCCTTGGGAGGGCAGCTGGTGTGTCTGAAATTACAAGACCACCAAGTAAACATGAGTGCCAGAGGCTAGGCATGGTGGCTCACGCCTGTAATCCCAGCACTTTGGGAGGCCGAGCTGGGCAGATCACTTGAGGTCAGGGGTTCAAGACCTGGCCAACATGATGAAACCTCATCTCTACTAAAAATACAAAAATTAGCCAGGCATGGTGACATGTGCCTGTAATCCCAGCTACTCAGATGGCTGAGGAAGAATAGCTTGAAGCCAGCTAGGCGGAGGTTGCAGTGAGCCCAGATCACCCCACTACACTCTAGCCTGGCCAACAGAGTGAGACTCCATCTCAAAAAAAAAAAAAAAAAAAACCATGAGCGCCAGGTGAGGCCGAACAGCTGACGGCTATAAGCACTGTCCATGCCCTGACAACTTCCAAAGTGTGCCTGCAGCCCAGAATTCTCCCCCCAACTCCAGACTTCTCAGACCTTCTTGACACCTCCACTTGCGTGTCTAGGAGACACTTCGATGTGTCCTGAACTCAACCCCTCCACTAACCTACTGCACCCACAGCCGCCCTCATCTCAGATGATGGCAGCTCTGCCTCCAGCTGCTCTGCTCCCAGCCCTCAGAGTCATCCTCAGCTCCCCTCTCACTCTGCCCAGTCCTCTAGCAAGGTCTGTCAGGTCATCTTTAAAACATACCCAGAATCGTCCAGGTGCGGTGGCTCACACCTGTAATCCCAGCACTTTGGGAGGCCAAGGTGGGCGGATCACGGGGTCAGGAGATCAAGACCATCCTGGCTAACATGATGAAACCTCATCTCTACTAAAAATACAAAAAATTAGCCGGGCGTGGTGGCGGGCGCCTGTAGTCCCAGCTACTTGGGAGGCTGAGGCAGGAGAATGGCGTGAACCCGGGAGGCAGAGCTTGCAGTAAGCGGAGATCGTGCCACTGCACTCCAGCCTGGGTGACAGTGCAAGATTCTGTCTCAAAAAAAAAAAAAAAAAAAAAAAAAAAACATACCCAGAACCTGGCTACTGCCCAGATTTCTGCAGCCCTGCCAGGTCCAGACCCCCACCATCTCCCACCTGGATGGGGACAGTGGCCTCCTGACCTGGCTCCCTGCTCCCACCTTGCCCATACACACCCCAAGGGATCCTCCTAACCCTCATCTTCCCCCATCTCACTGTGAGTGAAAGTCAAAGAAATTTCTGACATAAACCCAGAAGGCCCAGCACCGGGCCACTGAGTGCATGGTCTGCAAGGTAAGCACAGTGAAAGTGTTTCAAAAGCTCCTAGCAATGACATCGGCACAACATCTAAACATGGACACAAAAGGACCCGTCTGGATGGACTAGGAATTCAAGGAATGCTCCCAACCAGACAGAGTTGAGAGGCCCTGCCCCACACCTCCTCCAGGCCCACCTCTGCCACGCTCCACCCCCACATACTGGCCATGCTCCGTCACTCATCGCCACCTCACTGGCTGCCTTTTCTCAAACACCCTGAGCACACTCCCACCTCAGGGCCTTTGCACAGCTGCCCTTCTGCCTGGAAGGCTCTTTCCAACCTCCACAAGGCTCACCCTCACACTCCTTCAATCCTTGATCCATTCATACTGCAAGCCACCCTCTCTTACCTCCCCAAAGACACTCAAGCAAGACTGTTTTTGTTTTGCTGTTTTCCAGAGCGCTCATTACATAACATGCTGAATAATTTATATTGTGTTTTTCTTTCCCATTACCATATAAGCTCCACGAGGGCAAGGGGCTCTGTTCTGTGCTCAGTGCCTGGTGCCCCATGGGAACTCAATAAATACAGAGCAGAGGGCAGGTAGACCAGGCTTCAAAAGGAAAGCCCAGAGCTGTGCCTGCAGGCAGACGTCAGCAGGCCTGGGAAGGTCTGGAATGCTTCCGCCGGAACAGGAGGACCCCCAGACTGAGGGCAGGGGACACAGCTGGTGGAAGCAACTGAGGTCTGCAACGTCAAAGGCTCTGGGATGGCCCTGCAGGGCCTGGCATCTAAAGGGGCTGAGACTCAGGACCAGGGCATCCTTTATGAAGATGGAGGGTAGGTGAGACTGGGAGATAATGACAGCAGGAAATTGGTCAGAAGGCTGGCACTGAATTGAGGCCATGGAACAAGATGGACAATTCAAGAGACTTCCAAGGTCAGATCTACAGATCTATGTGGGAGGTGAGAGAGAGGGAGGGGCACAGGGAGGATGAGATGACATATGGCACATGAAAGAAAGCTCTCCTCAGACATCCTCATGATTATCGCCAGTCACACAAGAGGCCTTCCCGGCTGTGGCTGCTCTCATGTGAAGAGGGCTTCTGAGCAGTCTGCCTCCTCTGCCTCTGTGGGGTCTGCAGTCCCAAATGCACCCCTCACAAACATCTCTCCTGAATCACAGCCTGCATCTCACCTGACAGTTTTCTGAATGGCCGGCATCATTCTGACCTTCCCACTGCTGATTTCCAAGAAGGTGTGCTCCAAACAAATCCACTGGTGTGCATAGATTAAGCACTTACCTTATACTCAACCCTTTGTGAAGCATCAAGAAAGAACAGAGAAGAAACATGGCCAGAATCTTTGCCCTGGACTCCGACAGCCCCCTACCCTCTGACGGGGAGGGAGTGAGATGTGGAGAGGATGCCACACCCAACAGTTAAAGGATGAAATGCAATCCATATAACACTTGTTTGCTCAAAACTCATCTGGGGCATGAGAAATCTTCAAAGAAAAAAATACTCATTTTTATCTTCAACTCCTATCAGGGCTGAAGGACAACATAAATCCACACGGGGTGGATACCTTAAGCAACTTGCCAGGTTGGGGGAACAGGGGGCAGGTGGTGGGAGCGATATCCAAGCAGAGAGAACGGAATGGCACAGGCGAAGGTGCAGAGGCAGGGCCAAAGACAGCCGCAGTGGGGGAAGATGGCCAGCCTGCAGGCCTGCCAGGCTGTATTTAACATGCAAACGTCCCAGGAAAGCCAGTTTGCCAGCGGGAGAGCTAGAGGGCCAGGGTAACACAAAATTGGCCACCAAGGCTCAAAACAGACCTTGTCAGTTACCAAATGGGTAGAACATGGGAAAAACAAAAAGGGAACTCCATGGAGAGTTCCGCGGGACCTGCTGAGAACAGCAGCCTCTGACTATCTGGGGGGGTGAAATGGGCATGTAACTCCAATGCCTCTGGGTGACCCTTTAACGAATGCTTTTATCATTTACATTCTTTACAGTGCAGAGCTGGCCTTCCTTACGTTTTCTAATGTCAGTTTAGAAGAAGCCAAAATCCTGTATAAACTGTTAGGGGAAAACAGGGACATGAAGGAAAATATCCTAGAGTTAAATATAGTTATTACACAAATACCCAAGTCAAACAAGCTGTAATATTAATGAGGCATGAATGAACTGTAACTGTTTCCAGGGCTGAATAAAGGCTGGTCACCTTATCAGGGAAGTCGCACAAAAGCTCTCTGTCGTGCCCCTTCTTGTAAGAAGAGTAGAAGAGAACAGACACCTTTCTTCCCTGTAGCAGAGAACCCACTTGGGACCAATGGTAGACTGAGAGCATTTTCTTGTAGGAAACAGTGAAAATCTGTTTTCAGTTTAACCTGCTACAGTTGTAAGGCTCTGATCAGGATACATTATTAATTAGTAGAAAGAGAAGCCCCATTTTTAGTTACCCATTGAATTAGGTATCTTCAAACACCGTGACCTAGAATTGACAGTACAGCTAACTCTCTGTTTTCCATGGTAACAGGGATTTCAGGAAGAACAGCAGTTAATTGGGAAGCAAAAAAAAAATCCCATTTTATTCAGGGCAAGGCATACATTACTGCATTAAGGATAATGGCTTCCAATGACCATCACTGAGGATCTTATATTTGTCTGGTGTTGTGAGGTTTAAATCACACATTTCCGGTCCAACAAGCCAAGTTGTCTGACCCACCACCATGGGTGGGCCTGATAGGTGGCAGAGCCCCCTCCAGTTTGTCAGGGAATGGGAGCATGGGGAGAGCATGGGCCATCACCCCATGCCTTACCCAAAGAACAGCTCCCCTGCTAAACCTTTGACAGAACTTCTAGCAAGTGACATGTGATCCTGGAAGCGGAGCACGACCAGGCCACAAGCTCCCAGGAGAGAGGAAGAAAGGGCTCCTGGGCCTGCTGGAGGCCAAACCCCCAGGCCCAGAGGAGACAGGGAGAGAGTTGGCTGTACTGGCATGGCAAGCACACCCCCAGCAAGCTGCCCAGCATTTCTAGTAAGGAAAAAAGCAAACCGCCGTCCCACCTCGGGCTGCGCGGTCACAAGTGAGGCAGGGCTGGGACCAGTCGCCATTTGGGCGGGAGGCCAGCCCCAGGTGCGGCAGGAAGGGGTGGCGCTGGCTCAGTGGCTGCAGCTCCTCACTCTGACCCAGCGGGGCCCCTGTGCGGTGCTGGGGGCACAGCGAGGCCTCAGGCGCTGTGGGGCAGGGACACACACACACACACAGAGAGACACGCCATTAGAGGGTGCGCAGCAGCCCCTGCAGGAGGTACGGGCCAAGGCCACTCGGGGTCAACCCCGCAGCCCACTGCGGTGGAAGCTGTGAAAAGCCCACTGACCACATTCTGACCCTGAACATGCAGCTCAAGCGTAAGGTCTGAGGGAACCAAAAACATCACAGCTGGAACTGCAGCAGTATCATTTAGCCCAGCAGGACCTATGGCTACAGGCCCTGGACTCGGTATGAGGAGGAGGGGTGGATCAAACCAGGCTCCTGCATCCCCACTGTTCCAACCCCTGCATCTGCAAAGTTCCACAAATTGTTCATGGAACATGAAGCTGTTTCAGCTCCTTGCTTAGCATCCTCTGGCTTCTTGAGAATAATGACCATGAAAAGCACATAAAGAGAATGGCAGCTCCCCTTGGCCTGCATCAAAGCCACAGCCACAGTCACAGGGACAGAGGAAGTCAAGGCAGGTTGGGACCAACTCAATCCAAAGAGAGCCTCTCTGGGGGTTGGTAAGAGGATCCTTGAGAGAAATAAAACAATTTCACTTCTTAAAGGGCAATCTTCATTTGTTTTGGTGCAATTTAACCCTGCATTGAGGCTTCTGGAGATTAAGGTTAAATTGTTTTCAAGTGGTTTAACCAAGGTCACAACCTTTGCTTAAGCAAAACAGTTCAAACTAAGAAGAAAAATGACAACTACATATGGGACAAGAATATGTTAACCTGCTCCAAGCTCGGTAATAATTCAGAATTCCTAGAAGCAGGAAATCTGACTTTAATATGCAAATCTCTCATTTAACACATTTCTCAAAATGCTAGTGGTGGCGGTACAATGTCAAATCGAAACCTGCAAAAGCAGGAAATGTTAGTAAATGGTCTGGTAACAGAACACTGACTAAGTAAGGGTTGACTGAGGTCTGTCAAACTACAGACAACTTCCTTTAAAAAGAAGTTTTCTGCTATGCTGACATAGTGTTACTAGGGATCTGCACTTTTGTTTTAGCAGCCAGAAGATATAATTTCTACAATCCCCACCTCCATCCTCACCCTGTCCCCCAAAGGCCACTAGGGCCACCTGTCTCTCTGAGTGTGGGGTCCACACTGTGGCTGGAATAGCACTGTGAAAATGGAGAAACACCTGTTGGGGGACCACTTCCAATGAACAGCCAGGATGCCAATGTGACTCACAGAGACCAGCTTCCATCAGGCCCTGAACTCCACTCTGTTCCCTGAAACCTCTTCTGACCATAAGGCAAAGACCCAAATTAATCCAACATGCAAAACCAGAACTCAATGCAGACCCAGCCATGCAACCAGATCACTAGCAACTCTCATTTGCATGTTTGGCAGGGAGGCCTTGTTCACACTAGCAACCTGTACAAGTTTTTTTGCTGAAGTAGAATAATACTGAGCCATTCAAGAGACCTGAAGCTCAGTCAGCAGAAAAACACTTAATATGAGATTAAAGAAACAAGATTATCAAGAAAGAGCATTTGTTTCCTCCTGGCTACCAGAGTCAACTCCCCATTGTATGTGCAGCAGGACAACTCCTTTGCTGCCAGACCCATTCTGACAAGGAAGCAGAAAAGACCTGCCTCTGCCCACCGTCTGCCCAGATGTACAGAATGAGGCCCAGAGCAGCAAAGGGCGTTAGAGATCCCTGAACCAGAGCAGCCAAGGGACTAAAAGTCCCTTTATAACCAAAACTCAATCCAGACCAAGGACAATTTGCCTGGGCCACCAAAAGCTGGGTACTGAGGACAGGTTCGAGCTCTGCAGTGGCCACCACTCCCTAAGCCCAGAGACACCCACCCTGCCTGTCACCCATTGCTGCTGCTCTGGCAAAGGGTGAGAAGCACTTCCATTACTCACAGCCATGGTAGGAGGCCGGGGAGCCCCCGGCCTTGCCATACTCCTGCTCCGAGTGGCTGGTGGAGAGGTTGGGCTGGCTGGAGCCTCGCCCAAAGGTGATCTGGTTGCTGCCCATGCCAGTGGCAACCTGGGCCATGCGCTCTTTGGTTTTGAGAGCCTGGGCCCTCTCAGCCTTCAACCGTTCCTCGTCCTTGAGGAGAGCCACCAGTTGCTTTGACTTCTCACGCACATTGATGCCCTGGTCCTTGCCATCTCGGTCAATGTACTGGAAGTCCTTCAGGGTCTGGATGGCGAAGATGTTCTCCCGGCACTGCTGGGCCACACGTTCGGAGCCTGTCTTGATGAGGTAGTCCAGCAGGGTCAGCGCCTTGTACACATGCCGCCAGTTCTTGCCATGGTCATTCAGCCGCTTCCACACCATGCTCATGATCTCCGAGAAGGCCACCACGTTGTAGGTCAGGTCGGCAATCTCGGTCATCAGAGAACTGGACGGGCCCCACGGGTCATTGGAGGTGGCTTCCCGGACTTTGATTTCTGCCTCTGAGTAATTGTTCACGATGTTTTTCATCTGCCGTCTGATAGACGAAGTCGTCATTTTTATTTTCTTTGTTATAAGTTTAAAGCCCTTCAAACAGAGAAACCTTCCTGTCCTTGGTAAGTGCGCACCCTATGAAGGTTCAGTCTCCGTAATCAAGCTGGAGTAAGATCCCTGAATGGTCATTTCCTCCTTTGGAGCCTCAGATTCGAAAAGCTGGAAGCCATGACCTAGAGAAAGAGAAAACCCATTCCACTGCGACGTAAGCCCCCTGTGAGGGTGGGAGACTGTGGTCCAGCAGCAGGTACTGGGTAAAACTGGGGAGCTGAGTGGACATACCCAGCCTCCTTAGGACGAACCCAAGATAAAATCAATATCACCAGTCAACAATGAATAAAACTTACACTCAAGTTTAAGCCTTTAGGAGAAAAGAAGTAAACATCATGACTATTGCTCTATTTTCAAAACACTTCCACTGGAATGGCTATTTTATGGGTTGTCTTTTCACTGCCTGGCAAAAGCCAGCTGTGGAAGAATCGGAAACACTGGGGGAAGCTGATCTTGGCAGATTTAAAATTACATGTGAGACCAGATATGGTGGCTCACACCTGTAATCCCAGCACTTTGCGAAGCTGAAATGGGAGGATTACTTGAGGCCAGCCTGGTCAAAACAGCAATACCCCCATCTCTATTTTTTTAAAGTTTATTTAAATAAAAAAAAATACACATGAGGACAAGAAAGAGACTAATTTCAGGTCTATCTTAACTCAAAAATGCCTGTCAATACCTTCAAAACTGCTTTGGTCCACTGTGTTTCCGAATGTCCAGAAAATTCTCCTTGACAACCACTTTTCGCCTGACCTTCCCTGTTCAAGAATTTATAAAGATTCCTAACAGCAATTCTAGAAAAAGGATAAAGACCTCCACTTGGCTTTCAGAAGCCTCCAGCATCTGGCCCAAGCTAATACAGCCTTAAAACTAATCTGGTTATAGCCCAGCCCCTCATTTCACAAAGAAAACTGAGACCCCTGGCTATCTATTAACTCGCTCCAACCAAACACATCATCTATCCCCTCTCTTCCTCCAGATAACACTCACTTACCAGGCTACAGTGAGGTCCACGTCTCTGATATGAGGCTCCTGTCCACAAGTTTGGTAACCTTCATCTGCCTCATCACCAGTGAGCACCCAGCACTTAGCACTGTGCCCGACACAGAAATGAACACTGTTAAATAAATGAATGTTACAGATTAAAAACAGAGTCCCTGCCCTCAAGAAGGCCACAGTCTGGCAGGGGATGAAGGTTCCTTACCTATAAAATGGGAAAACTGAGGCCCTAGAAGTCTCCAGGGATTGCCCCAGGTAGATTAGGACAGCTAGGGCCCGGATAGGAAGCAAGGGGCTCCACCCACCATTCTGACCACCTGCTTGGCTGTCCACCCCCCACCCTCAAACCCTCAGAGGAAGGATTATTTTTCCCACTACACAAGTGAGGAACCGAAGCCTGGAATCACACGGTCAGCTGACTAAGGTCACTCCAGGCCCAGAACCTGCGCCTCCCTTTCTTCCTGTGGTGGTCTTTACTCTCAAGATGTTTCTGCCACAGAAACAACAGGTAGCTCCTACCTTCCTCATCTAAAGCCTCAGATGGGTAATGGGCACATCAAAAAAACAAGCAAGTAAACAAAAGGTGGCAGAAGCAAGGAAAAGCCACAGGAAATGCAATGACTACTCATCACAAACAATCACACAAAAAGAAGGGTTTGCTATTGTGAAATATGTATTTGGTCTTCATCCCGGGCACTTGGCAGGGATTCCAAACCTAAAATCCTCGGAATCTCCACAGTGATGTCTTTTTGCATGTGAATGATTGACTGAGGGCTGGCAGTCCCTAGGCAGCTTCAGGATGGGGCTGGTTACCAGAAAGACCAAGGCAGGATCAGTCCCGGTAAGGGGAGATGGACTGAAGATTAGGTTTATCACCAATGGCCAATCATTTAGTCAATCATGTCTCCATAATGAAGCCTCCATAAAAAGACATAAGGACAGGCTCAGGAAGCTTCTGGATGGCTGAACACACAAAGGTTCCTGAACGGTGGCACTGAGGTATGGCATGGAAGCTCTGCACTCCTTCTCCCACACCTGGCCTATGCATCTCTTCATCTGTATCCTTTGCAATATCCTTTATAATAAATAGGTAAATATAAGTCAATTTCGCTGAGTTATGTGAGCCACTCTACCGAATTAATTGAACCCAAAGAAGGGGTCTCAACTTGAAGCTGGTTGGTCAGAAGTTCCAGAGGCGTGGACTTGCACTGCTGGGAAGAAGGGAGTGTTCTTGTGGGACTGAGCCCTCAACATATGGGATCTGAAGCTATCTCCAGGTAAATATCAGAGTTGAACTGAAGGACACCTAGCTGGTGTCCTGCAAAACTGACTGCTTGCTTGTTACGTGGGGAGAAAGTTACAGAAGTTATCTGTATTGATTGCTGTTAAGTGAGAAAATAGGAAAAAGCACTTTGTATGATTTTTCCACACACAAAAAGGGGACAGCTCATAAAATTTCACCCTGGTAATAACCCATACATCTGCTCTGGCCAAGGAGGCCTTCTCTCCATCCTCAAATATGTCAAGGAATCTGACTCTATCTGAAGCCACAGAACAGGGCTTCAGCTAAAAGCAGGCATATTCTGCAAAGGCTGTGAAAGGACCAGGGATAAAAACTTTTGCACGGTGACCTGCACATTTGATGTAATTAGGTTTTTCATTCATGATGCAACATTCACTGCTGGCAAAGATACGATGGGCCTCACAAAGAAAAAGAACACTTTAATTTTTAATGAATATTTCCCAGCTTAAAGGGCAAATATGTGTCAAAATCAATAGTAATGTTCAGAGGTACTTAATGTTCAGGAGCCTTACAATGTGCCAGGGACCACCAGGCCCTTCAATTTGTTGTTCCATTTGATGTAGAGCAGGTATGACTCTTCAGCTTCTCAGAGAAGTGGGCAGAGCTAGGATTCACCACTGACAAAGACTTTGGCTGGGCATGGTGGCTCACACCTGTAATCCTAGCACTTTGGGAGGCCCAGGCAGGTAGACTGCCTGAGCTCAGGAGTTCAAGACCAGCCTGGGCAACATGGCAAAACCCTGTCTCTACTAAAAATACAAAAAATTACCTGAGTGTGGTGGTACACACCTGTAATCCCAGCTTACTCAGGAGGCTGAGGCACGAGAACTGCTTGAGCCCGAGAGGTGGAGGTTGTAGTGAGCCAAGATTGCGCCACTGCACTCCAGCCTGGGCGATAGAGTGAGACCCTGTCTCAAAAAAAAAAAAAAGAAAAGAAAAGTAAAGAAAAAAAAGAGGACTTTGGCCACCTCCTTCCCAGTAAAATGGTCTCAAATGGTTGAGAATGTCCTAAGAAAAAAAAAAGGAACACTTTCCTGCAGGGTGCGGTGGCTCACGCCTGTAATCCCAGCACTTTGGGAGGCTGAGGCAGGTGGATCACAAGGTCAGGAGATCAAGACCATCCTGTGAATGGTGAAACCCCGTCTCTACTAAAAATACAAAAAATTAGCCAGGCATAGTGGCGGGCGCCTGTAGTCCCAGCTACTTGGGAGGCTGAGGTGGGAGAATGGCGTGAACCCGGGAGGCAGAGCTTGCAGTGAGCTGAGATTGCGCCACTGCACTCCAGCCTGGGTGACACAGTGAGACTCTGTCTCAAAAAAAAAAAACAAAAAAAGGAACACTTTCCTAAGTGAGAAACAATGCTCTGGGCTCTGCTGCCCTCCCCCATCTGGTGACCTTGTGGGTGGAAGCAGAAGACCTCCAGCTGGGCCTAGTGTCCTCCCAGGGAGGCTGTGAGGCCCAGCCAGGGCTCCCAATGAGCCTCCTAGACCTTTGGCAGCAAAGAAAAGGCAGTGATTCCTGTGAGCAAGGGCCAAGGTGCCGCTGCCCTCCCAGACATAAGCTGGGAAAGGAACTCCAAACAATTAAGAAACAGGGGCTGTTGACCAAGGCAGGGGCTTTCTCTAACAGACTAACTTGCAAGGACATCTGCTGATGGTCTCTGAAATACTTAAACTTCAGGAAAAAGGAAAAAGCTAATAAAATAATAAAATACTGGTTATAGTAAAAAAAAACGAAATAAGGCCTATATAATTTGCATGGCTGCCTGCTATTTTCTTGA